>NC_000010.11:127859266-128170746 GCF_000001405.40 Homo sapiens | reverse complement strand
CTTGAACCCGGGAGGCAGAGGTTGCAGTGAGCCGAGATTGCGCCACTGCACTCCAGCCTGGGTGACAGAGTGAGACTCTGCCTCAAAAAAAAATTATGTTAAATTCAAACTTCAGTTGTCCATGAGTAAAGTTTGATTGGAACACAGCCATTCCATTCATGTAGGAACTGCACATGGCTGCTTTGAACTGTAACAGCAGAGTTGAGTAGATGCCACAGAAGGTATGGTCCTGCAAAAGCTCAAGTTATTTACCCTCTGGCCCTTTACAGAAGTTTGTCAGGCAGCCAGGCACACTATGATGTACCTTCCAGGCACTTGGTCCACCCCAGCGGGAGAAACAACCCTCTGTCCCCTCCATGATCCCAGCCCAGATCCTCAGCAAAACCTCCTTCCCAACTGCCCCAGGTGATGTCCCCTCCCATGGCCACAGGAATATTAAAGCAATAGAGCCTATTTCTTTTTCTCCTCTCTGCATCGTTCCCGCAGCTCTGAATATTTCACCGCCCAAGAAGACATGCCCTTCTTCCGGCCAAATCGTTACATCACATTGTCCCGGTTCAATGCACTCTAACCCATGGACAGCATAGAATGCAGAAAACAGCACCAAACATGCACGACCACACACAGAGCTCTTATGAGATACATTTCCCATGAATATTGCTTAATCTAATAATTTTCCCTGTTTTAATACCATCAATTTCCCTCCTGATCAGTGCTACCCATCAGGAAGTATCTTCAGGTAATTAACATTTTTACATTTTTAATTATGAAATATTTCCTGAGCTGGCAGGGTGTCAGAGATGAGAAGCATCAAGCATCAATTGTGCTGTGATCTAAGGATTGCTGGAGGCCTGGAAAATCAAGAGGAGTGTGAATTCTGCCACCTGCTATGCCAGTACCCTCGTCTAAAACAGAACTGGACACTGGCACAAAATAATGGGGCTCAGTAGAGGCAGCTGTGTTTGGTGGCCAGCTTTGCTCTAAAACTTTGATTCCAAAAGCAGATGTCACTTTCATTAGAAGACACCAGGATTCTGTGTTTAAGGAGACAGAGGGAGCCTGCTGCAGCCAGCCTCCACGCAGGGCTGGGACACAGTGCAGACTCCCTTCTGATAGCCACTTCGGGTTTCCACTCCCCTGTCGCCTTTGTAGTCACACTTTAAATGTTTTCCTCCCTCATCTCTACTCTGTCCTTCCCTCACAACCCTCTTTATCCCACATTCCATTAAAAAATTCTGTTTAACAACCTGCACATATCAAATCAGAGTTTGGGTTGTTCCCCAATTCCTAGGCTGCTGCAGAAGCATGTGTCCTTAGAAATGCCCCAGAATGGCAGGAAATCAGGACCAGAATGGAAAGAAAAGCAGGAAAGCAAGGTGCACTTACAATTACTTGGTAGATTTGCTCATGTGGTTTGGACGCAATGTTCCTTGATGCGTATTCATCTTAAGCCCACCTCAGCTTAGACCATCCACATTTGCTAAGCCCTTTCCTCAGCATCCTGCAGCCAGGTTGTCGCTGTTCTACCATCAAGGGCAAGCAGAGGGTGATGTGTTCTGAGCTCAGAAAGGCTGCAAGGCTTGTCCGAGACCATGTCCCATGGAGGGAGCTAGGGTTACCCTACACCCTGTCTCTCCTTCTCCAGGAACAGACCACACACCTCACATATGGAGGGGGCCCTTCATCAACTGTCCCTGCTCCCCAGTCTTAATCCATCCTCCCAATTCCAGCTCCTTCTCTGCCAGAGACACTTCCCTCCCTTCCTTCCCCACCTTTGCTCCCCCTATTGTGTTGGTCCCTCCAGGAGCAGTGGAGATGTCTACTCTCTCTAACCCCAGCTTCCAGGGCTTGGGGGTCCACTATGTGTAGCCATAGCAACAAGTGCCCCAAAATTCCTGTTTAAGAGAATGGACAATGAAATCAGAAGGACGGTCCTGTTGAAGGGGAAAAAAAACTGTCTCTAAAATCAAGTTCTCATGAAATTGGATCTTCCCCTCCTCTTAATTTCAAAAGTATTCAGGCCAGGTGCAATGGCACACCCATGTAATCCCAACACTTTGGGAGGCTGAGGCAGGAGGCTCACTTGAGGCCAGGAGTTTGAGACTGCAGGGCTCTGCCCTGTACTCCAGCCCAGGCAATAGAACAAGACCCTATCTTTAAAAAAAAAAAAATAGGTATTCTGAGGCCCAGCCTACATAAGGCTAACAGGTTGACATACTGGCTTGACAGTTTGGTAAGAAAAAAATTAACTTGTCTCTTGCCTGGTCTAAATAATTTCATCTGCTTAAGAGTCAAACTTGCCATCTGATGAGGCATACATATAACTACTAGAAGAGAATTATCTTACATAGTCATGTGTATTTAGTCCACAGCACAAAGAGTGTTTGTCTCAGGATCCTCATGAAATAAAAGCAGAGTGCTGGCCATCCAGTGCATTCCCCATGAATACACTGAATGAATAAAAGGTTGCCAGGAGATCCATCAGAAATGCTTTTTAAAGTTTTATTCCCTAAAGTCCTCATTTTTATGTTAATGGTTGAATTTCTAAGCTTGGATGTCAAGAAATACAACTGGTGGAAAAATGTAGGAATCACCAGAAAATCACCAGGATTGCCTAGGGAGAAGTCACTCTGGTGCGGCTCCCAGCGGGAGAGGCAATGTCCTTCCAGGTGATGGCTCTGCACATAGGCAACAATGCTCTCCCCTTGTACCAGCCACTGGTATTTTCAATTATATGGTTCTCAAAAGTCCGAAAGTCACCCACAACTCACTAAATTCATGTGACCACCTTCCCCCCAAAAAATGTGCTTTTGAGCCCCTCTGGTTGAAAGTGAGAAGAAAACGGTTGTGCCCTATCACGCTCTAAACAGAAGCTACAAGTCTGTTTGTAACTGGGATTAAATTGCTAGATGAATGGATGGATGTGTCACAGGAAAAGCACCCAAGCAAATCCTCATCACTTTGCTTCATTGCTGTTATCAGAAAATGTAGCAACACCAGGCATACATTAAGAATTGGAAGAAGCCACCAGTCGGCCCTCTGGTTGCTGTCTGCAGGGTATAAACAGTGAGCCTTTTGTCTCTTTCCACCAGCAAAACTACCTTTTCATAATCTCAGAAGATTATTGCACTTTTAGAAAATTATTCAGTCCTCAAGGATCTAGAACCAGAAATACCATTTGACCTAGCAATCCCATTACTGGGTATATACACAAAGGAATATAAATCATTCTATTATAAAGATACGTGCACATGTATGTTTATTGCAGCACTATTCCCAATAGCAAAGACATGGAACCAACCCAAAGGCCCATCAACGATAGACTGGATAAAGAAAATGTGGTACACATACACCGTGGAATACTATGCAGCCATAAAAAGGAATGGGATCATGTCTTTTGCAGGGATGTGGATGAAGCTGGAAGCCATCATCCTCAGAAAATTAACTGTTCTCACTCATAAGTGGAAGTTGAACAATGAGAACACATGGACACAAGCAGGGGACCAGCACACACCAGGGCCTGTCAGGTGAGGGGGCGAGGGTGAGGGGAGGGCGAGCATTAGGACAAATAGCTAATGCATGCCGGGCTTAAAACCTATGAGACATGTTGCTGGGTGCAGCAAACCACCATGGCACATGCATCCCTTTGTAAGAAACCTGCACATTCTGCACGTGTATCCTGGAACTTAAAGTAAAAAAAATAAAAATATATATTAAATAAATAAATAAATAAGAATAAATATTATCAGAACTACTAATGCGGGCAAGGGGATGACTTTGCCTTAACTAGTAGATTACAATGGCTACTTTGCACCATGCCTACCTATGGGATCAAAAAAGAAGAAGAAACAAGTTCTAATGCCATCAACTTGCTTCTCTGCTCGTTTTAAAGTTTTTGTTTTTTTTTTTTTTTACTCAATGGCCTAAATTTCAAGCAGAGAAAAATATATGCAGCTAAGGTAAACAAAGCTATTTGAACAATACCTTCCATCCTAAGAACTAACATTTAACCTGGTGTTCTAAAAGATGATACTTGCAAATATGGCTAAGCCATGTATTCAATTCTGTTCAACTACTGGTGTGAAATTTTAATCAAAAAACTAGAGAGCTCATTCAAAAAAGAAATTAGTGAAAAAACTTTGGTCGTCTCTCATCAGTGAAAACTGATTTAGTTATGCAAATTACTGCTATGAATATTAAACCACTGATGAAAGGTTTTTAATGAAGGGATCTTTTGTTTTGGAAATGCAAGGGTATATGCTTTAATTTCTTGCTAATTTACTGTTCTTTGATAATGTTCACATTTTCCCCAAAGTGGCTTTGCTGATGGGTTTAATACTGTGAATAGAACTACAGACCAACAATACTGGTTTTGACAAGCTTTCCCTTGTGTAACTATACATCGTGATTTGCATCCCCTTATGCACAATTCTATTAGGGTGAATTTTGTCTACAGGGCTTTCCCTGAAATGAATTCTCATTTTAATGTTAGCCTCCTGCAGTTTTTAATTTTTAATCTGTAATATGAAATTGCAAATTTTACAAACATCATTTGAAAAAGCCACTAGGACAGAACCGAATGCCAAAGTTTACATATTGCCTAATTAGACTGTTATGAGAGGCAGCTTATCAATGTCACACCAAAGATCATCAAAAAATCCAATTACTAATTTGAAAAACACATATATTTATAGGTTCATTTTGTTTCATTTGCATCCGGTTAGCTCAATAATTGTTTTAAAATTGTATTAAGGCTAATAATTTGGGTTTCACTGGTAAAGTACCTGCACTGCCAAGGCGGTGCCCTGCCCTGCTGGCCACTGTGAGTGACAGTGGTGCTGTGGCCAGGCCACCAAAAAGAGACCTCCTGCCATGCAAAGCTCCGGTCCTCAGGTACCGCGGAGAGAAATCTTTTCAAAATGGAAAGACCTCACATCACCTTGCCAAGGAGGCCAGGTTCCAGTGGATGGAGCCTCGGGCAGTCTGCAGATAATTAAGAATAAGTGAGAGGCAGCAAAGGAGCGGGCACAGGGCCCCATGCTGGGAAAGGAGTTCCATAGATGGGTGGGCGGAGACCTCTGGCCTGGGGAGCTGGCCTCAATCATTCCAGAAGAACAAAAGCAGCTTCCTTCAAACTTTCTTGTCCTGGAGAATGTCAACAAGCACAAAAGCAAAGAGAACATACCCCTACTGCCCCCACTTCAATATTCAGCAACTAGGGGCTGATTGGCCCACCCACCTCCTTTCCCTCTTCCAACATTATATTGGAGCAAATCTTGGGAAACCATTGTTCCAACCATAGAGATTTGGGGACTATCTTGAAAAAGTCTTTAAAAGACTTTAAGCATAAAAATGTATCATACCTGAAAAATTTAGTAAGAATTTCTTAATATTGTTAGATAGCCGGAGTTCAGCTTTCCAATTGTCCCATAAATGTCCCAAATAATTGATTTCTTTACAGTTTGAGTCAAGATGCAAGTTGACTCACATCATAAGTTTCACATGGTAATTGGCTGATATGTTAAAGTTGCTTTTAATTTCTAAGTTCCAACCAACTCTCTCTCTCCCTATCTGTACCTCTCTCTCTCCCTATCTCTAGCTCTATCTCTATTTCTGTCTCTATCTTTATCTCTTTCTTCAATGTGTTTATCCATTAAAGAAGCCAATCATTTGTTTTGTGTAATTTCCCTCTGTTTGGATTTTGCTGACTATGTCCCTCTGGGGTCCTTGACACACTCCTCCATCCTTTGTATTCCCTGGGATTTGGTAGTTGAATCTATAGCATTTATGAGACTCAGTTTTGTTTTTGTTTTTTGGCAAGACTACTTCATAGGTGGGTATATCTTTCCACCAAGAGTTGTGTAAAAGTAGGAACTTTTAAATTTGCTTATTTCTCATTTCCAAATGAATATTCAATGCAAACATTACAAATAATTCAAAAGAAGAAAGAGGCAGTAAGATGCATCCTTCCAGATATTTCATCGTCTGTATATGTTGTATTTTTCTTCCTTGTATATTTGTTGTCATGAAATAGGATCATGCTATACATTCTTGTCTTAGAAATTGTGTTTTTCACTTAATAAAATACCATATGCACTGTTGCTAAATCACTGAACTCTCCTTAAACTGTTATGAGTTGCCTTTCTAACTCTTCATTTTATTAGGGCAGCTTCTCGAAATAATCTGGGGTTTAAGTTGACTTTTCAGACTCAAAATTTTTGTACCTATCTTGAAGAATAACTCACTAATTTGCTTATTCCACATCCCAGCTTTTAAATTAATAAAAGCAGTCATTCCTTTTGAGTATAAATGATATTTTCTTACAAACAATGAGAAAATAGTGATCTAAAACTGGCATTTTCTGCTCACATAAAATCCTAACGCTGCCTTAAATGTTGGCAACCAGAGTTTCCTGGCCCCCTGAGCTGTGGATGGTGACGGAGGCCTCTCCCTGAGACTCCCACAGCCCAGGCCACACAGTAAGATGCTCGTTTGCTTTCATTGCTGTTCTTTTCCACTGAACTTTTTTGCACCACCATTTCCCCTGCCTAAGGCTGGCCCTCCACGTCCAGTCTCAGAACCCAGGAATTTGAGGTGTCACAAAGAGTACTACATGGGAAGATTCTGACCAGAGACCCGAGGGAGGGAGCTGTGTTTAAGGAAAGATAGAAAGGGAAAGCCCGTTTGTGGGGTGCCTGTGGTTTGCTTGTGTGTTTTCCATATGCCAGTTCATTTAATTCTCACAGCTTCCCTGAGAAGCAGGCTTTTTACCCTTTCACCGATGAGAAAATCAAGACTCAGAGAGGTTTGGAAACTGGCAAAAAGCCACACATCCTGTTGCAAAGCCAGGACTCCAACCTGCTCTGCCTCATTCCAAAGCGCATTTCCACTGTAGCGTCTAAATTGAGTTGTAAGAAACCTGGATCCTCTGTAATACAAGCTGATGATCTCAAACCAACTGGCCCAAGACCACATCGAGAGGCCCTGATAGATCAGGACCAGTCCAGGAGGTTGAAATGAGGGGGACCCATATGTTGCCCTCTCTTTGGGGGACTTTGTAAATGGCAAATCAAGGGCCGGATTCAGCAAAAGTTAAAAAAACACTAGAGCTCCAAGAATAGCAGTGCAGGACACTTTGCTAAGAAATTATCCAGGCCACTGAGGCTGTAACAACCTACAGAGTCCCTGATATTCCCATTTTAGGGATGGAGAAACTGAGGCCCACACAGGCTAAGCAGCTGCCAATGACAGGGGATCTGGGGTCCAACTCACCCTGAGTGCCCAGCTCCCCACCAGCTGCCCCAACAAAGGGGCTTCCTTTAGAAAAGACCCTCATTCTCAGGTAACCAGCCCCACGGCTGGCTTCTCTGGAAGCCCTCGTGGGTGCCCCTCCCACCCAGCCCACTCTACACGCAAAACCCAGTTCAACAACTCTCCATGATGCCGGCTGGGTTTGTGCTGCCTGTGGAGCTGGGAACCTAAGGGGCGTCACTAATAACCTGGTGCTGAGATATAGGGACAGGGATCGCTCTTGTCCTGTGGTCTCGGCATGGCTCTGTGGGAATAAAAGGCGGACGGTAGTACCCAAAGCAACACCCATTCCCTATGAGATGGGACAGGTCCTGTTAACACTAATAAGGCACCATTCACTTCATGAGTAATATTCCAGCATGCCGGCTGAAGAGGTGCATTTATCCACTTCTACATTAATATTCTATTATATAGTAAAAAGACTTGGCCGGGCATGGTGGCTCATGTCTGTAATCCCAGCACTTTGGGAGGCCAAGGCGAGCAGGTCACCTGAGGTCAGGAATTCGAGACCAGCCTGGCCAACATGGCGAAAGCCTGTCTTTACTAAAAATACAAAAATTAGCCAGACGTGGTGGTGCACGCTTGTGGTCCCAGCTACTCGGGAGGCTGAGGCAGGAGAATCGCTTGAATCTGGGAGGCGGAGATTGCAGTGAGCTGAGATCACGCCACTGCAATCCAGCCTGGGCAACAGAGTGAGATTCTGTCTCAAAAAAGGAAAGAAAAGACCAAAAAATGCTGAGATATATTTTGAGATTGTAATCAGTTATAATTAAATGTCTGTAAACTCATTTAGATACCATCATTCTGCCATTATTCTGAGCTCTTTTTTATTTTTTTTTAATGAAATCTTGAATTCTGGGGCTCTATCATTCATGGAAGGAGTGGGTGGTGGGGTCAGAAGTGTCCATCCTCCAGCAGGGAGAGTGCACCCTGGGAGGGTCCCCAGACACCGGGCAGCCAGCGTGAGGGTGAGGAGCTGCCAGTTCTGTTTCTCTTCTTGCCTGTTCTTCACACTTGTATGTGCCTTCTTCTTCCTTTTTCTGCCCATACTTATACTTTCTGCTCCTAAATGTTTGGGAGGCAACCCAAAAAGCAGCCTGGCCGCAGGTGAGGAAGGACGGTTAACAAGTCCGGAGAGATCGGTGGTAACCAGAGTGTGCTCAGCCCTTAGTGTGGGGCCAAGAACTAAGGACTTTTTCTCATGTTTGTTGAGGAGGTGAGGAGAAAAGCAACACAAAAAACATTCTGTTCTAAAAGCCTTCATGGAAAGAAGACAAGGCCTGTAAGGAGAGAAGAGAGGGGGGCAGGAAGTTGTAAGGAGGCCATAGAATGGTCCAGAGTGGCAACTAGTAGGGGCAAGAGCTGTTAGGGAGACAGTGGGGCTGAGAAGGAATGGCCAGTGCATGGAAGACCAGGAGTGGGGAAAAGGTGAGACGTGGCAGTGAGTCCGGAGGACAGCGGTGAGCCCCTCCCATAGGGACCCTCCTGCGTAAAGGTGGTCTTGTAGAATCATAGACTGCTGGGCCTGGAAGGGATGCTGCCTGGGGGAGAGCTGGCATCTCAACTGGACACAGGGAAGTCCAGGAAGCAACTGACCTGAGGCTGAAGTTGATGAATTAGGTAGACACAAACCTACAGGACCCATGAAGGCATGACTGCAAAGGATCCTGGGAATCACCTTGATGACTGGCTTTTGGCAGTACTGGAATCCCCAGGGATCTCAACCATGAAATTAGGCATCCCCATCCCACTCAAAACACCCCCAGTTTTTATTCATTTCAATAAAGGGCTTGTAGATAACAAAAAGGTTTGAAAACCACAATAAGGTTTAAAGGCAGGAAATGGAGGCCCGGAGAGGACAATACCTGCCTAATGCCACAGGGGTCCAATGCCACATAAGTGCAATGCCCCATGGGTCCAACGTCACATGGGTCCAATACCACACAGGTCCAAGGCTCTCTCCTCTCATACAACTGGTCTGGAAGAATTCTAGAACACACAATGGGAGCACCCAACGGTCAGCTGGAAATGCGAGGACCAATGTCTTGCTCATCTCTTTAGCAAGCAGCGTTTGTGGACCTACTGTGTACCTGCCGCTGCTCAGAGCCAGCAGGGCCAGCTGTGCAAACCCTAAGAGGGGGCAATCAGCAAAAATCGGTGACTGCAGAAGAGTAAAGAGGAAGGAGAAAAGGAAAGCGAGAATGAGGAAGGGGGTTTGAGAAAGATTAAGGAGGAAGTGGGGCATGCAGGAGTGGTTTTAACTCACTTGTTCTAGTCTTGAGTCATGTTTGTATTTCAGCTTTCCATGAATTTGCAGACTATTCTTTTCAGGAGAAAACTGAAAAGGAGAGCAATGTTTCTAAGCACAGTCGGTCCAGTCAAAGAAGGCCACTTGACTTGACTCCTTTGAAAACCTGTACATGCAACAAGTGGCAAATCCTGGCAGAAGGTCACCTGTCAAACCCATGTGCGTCCCCCCAATGCCCCGCCCTGCAGGCTGCTCTGTATGGCCCAGGTCAACTGAGCTTCTTCGGGACCCTGGAAACAGAGATTTTCCTTTATGAAGCCAACGGAGCATTCACATTGATTTACTGTTTGGCATTGAAACTAATAACTTTTGGTTTTAATAATGATGGGTTGCTGAGCTCTGAAAAGCCCTGGCCTTGATTTAGCTGCCGTAAAAATGCACAACTAAACAGCCCCCCACCAGTTGCCTAAGAGCAATTTATGAAATCTCCTTCTGTGTTTACAGAGGAAATCGCCTTGTAGGAGTGTCATCATGATGAAGACAACTCCAGAACAGTCATTTTAGCTGCAGCTGCCTCTCACCTGATCGCTCCCAGTCTAGAATTAATGCTGCCTTCAGGTTGTAAGAGGTTTCCTGTTGCAAAACAGAGGGGTTTTAACTCCAGGAGAGTAAGCTCCTGCTCCCTTCTGTGCCACAAACCCTCCATGGCGCTCAGACAGGAAACTGCGTGCATGACAGCCTCCTCCATCATCACCTGCTTTGCTATTACCCATCACCCGAGCAACTAGGAGCAAGTGAGGGCCGGGCTGCCCAGCCAGAGAAATGTAAACTTTCATGAACAAGAGGGAGGCAGCTTCTGAAATGGAATGTCATTTCCATAACAGATGACAATCCAGCAGGCATCTCCCTCCAGAGTGATTGGTGGAGCCTGCTTCCCACTTGTTAAACTCCAAAGCCAGGGCCAAAATAGGGCCTGTGATGGGCCACAGACTGGGGCATGGGACAAGCAGATAGGAATGGCCGTGCTTCCAAAAGCACCCCTATGCTCACCTGCCAGCTTCTGGTTTCAAAGGAAAGGGAAAGGAGGCGATCAGGTAGCAAGACAAGAGACCCAGGAAGAATGAAGAAGATGACTTATAGGAAAGTTTAAAGCCAAAGCTTATCACCACCACACCCCAAATCTCCAGAGCCCCTTCTTTAGACCCAAGCTCCTTGGCTGAGCTCAAGGGTTTCCTCGAACATCATCAGCCCTGACCTCCTCTACAGCATCCCTCTCCCCACAATGTTCCCTTTGCAAGTTCAAGGAGCACTGGGCTTTGTGCATCCCCAACAGGGCAGTGATCTCTCCCTCAGCTCCTGGCTGGGCCCCGAGCCACCCTCCACCCTCAGCTGTCCTACCTCCTTTGGGCTGCCCCGCTCACTCTACCTCCAGCTGTCCCAGGGTCTCTCCAAAGACATCGGGTCTGTTAGTGGCTGAACTGTGTCCTGGCAAAACTCATATGTGGAAGCCTTAGCCCCAAGACCTCACACTGTGAACCTATTTGGAGACAGCACCTTTGAAGAGGTAATTAAGTTTAAGGGGGGTCAATAGTTGATTATCATGACTTAATCATGACTGGTGTGACATGACCACAGAGACATGTGCACACAGAGGAATGGCCATGAGGACATAGAGAGAAGACAGCCGTCTACAAGCCAAGGAGAAGCCTCAGAAGAAATCAACCCTGCAACACCTTCACCCTGGACTCCTGGCCTCCAGAACTAAGAGAGAATAAATGTCTGCTATTTGAGCCACCCAGCCTGTGGCACTTTGACATGGCAGCCCCAGCAAACTAACAGAGGGTTGATACCCCTCACCCAGCTTTCAAGACTCCCCAGCTTCTGGTCCCCTCCATTTCCAGTCCCCCCTCACTCCCCTGGGCCACCCTCCATTTCCCCTTTGCCCTGCTCTCCCACACCCTGCCCCTCTCCAAGCCCCACCCACGCCCCACAGAGCTTTCCAGAACATAGAGAAAGGCTACCCACTCCACTGCTGAACTGTGTAAAGTCTGTACAGGTGCTTTTTTTTTATTTAATCTAATTATTGTCTCCCAAACTAAATGTTGAATTCCTTAAGTACTGAAATCATGTGTCCATGGCACCTTATACAAATAGGCATTACATTAAAGGTCAATTGAATAATTTATTCAATAACTAGGAAAATTTGATCTGCACAGAGACAATGGATCTGCTATAAGAACATTCAAATATGTCAATAGTAACACTATTTATTGGTGTCCACCACATGGGCACCTCTATTCTAAATGCTTTACATGTATTAACTCATTTAAGAGCCAATGAATTACATCCCACTATTAGCCTCTTTTACAGACAAGGAACCTTAGGTTGGCGCACCTGCCCAGCTGGCTCAGCCAGGACATGAAGGAGCGAAGAAGATAATGGCCTTTTCTTTCCTGAGTCATAAAGACCCAGAGTATAGAGAACCCTAAAAGGTTAGTGGTCTCAGGTCCCCCAGCCTGACAGCAAGTTAAATTCCAACCTTCTAAAATGAAGTGCTGTCCACTTGCGATTATTTTGCATATCTCCACAGTTGTGAATTTAATTTGCCCATTCGTCACTTTTTTCCTGTCCTTATTGTTAAAGTATTCAATGTAAAAAAGTTAATTTATAAAATATTTTGTACGTGATATTAGGTAGATGGATATAGATAAATTTCTTATGGCCTATGTTTTTCTTCTTCCATTTATTGCCCCCTTCCTTGAATAAATGTTTCCTAATGTGTCCAGGCTGTTGAACCAGAAGCTTCAGGAAATGAACTGAAGAATGTGGAGTTCGCTCAATGATTCCTGTGCTCAGCCAAGTTGAAGAAGCAAGAGAGGATGGGTGGTGAGGAGCGCGCCTCCTGCGGCACCTGCAGGTGACTGCACTGGCTGTCTGGGGGCCCTGCTTCGAGAGGAAAGTTCAGGCTGGGTGATCTCAGCAGGAAAGGGTGCTGTTATCTACTGATGATGACTGTCACAGGACCATCTACTGATGATGTCTGTCACAGGAGCAGGATTGGAGAGTGGTGGCCCACATGTCACAGGGGAACACTAAGCCATCAGTCAGTGGTGCACACTGTCATAGTTCTGCATTCCTGCTGTCTCTAAGATTTTAACTCCAACAGGTTAGGCTTATTCTTCCATCTCCCACTGGAAATACTTTATATGCCTTTAAAAAACTTCTCCATGTCGTTCCTAAACCATATTAAGGACAGACTATTCAAACCTTAACTCTGATGCTTCTCAACTGTTTCCATGCCACAGCAAACATAGATGGCCATGAAGCTGGTGTGCCACAGTGCAGCAAATAGGCACAGCTGGCCCCCAAAGAAAGCTCTGCTGGGAGCCCTGCTCCTTTAGGCCTCATGGACCATCACAAGGGCCAGAAGAACCAATGTCTCAGCTCACCTGTGTCACTGAAAGCCTGCAGATGAGCAACTGCCCCTGTGGACCTTAATATCAACGTGGAGCTCAACAGCAGAAGAGCTCTTTCTGCTTGCTGTGGTTCATGCTTCTTTGAATACCTGCCAGTTAAAGGTTGGCTTAGTGGAGCAGCTGCTGATGACTAGCCTCGCATCTCTCCCATCACGACTAGGCTGCCCTCCCTGATGCTGATCCCCTGCCCCCACTGAACTCCAGCCAAGCAGAGTCACTCCTGCAGTTTGAGTTCGGGTTCACTGGACTATTTCTATTCATCATCCACAAAGAGCTGAATTCTACATTTCTGACCTTACCACTGAGACTTCCTAATCCGTTTACTCTTGGTTCTGCCTAGCTCGATGCTCTGTCCTCCAGATGTCTGGCTTCTTGTCACCCTTGTGCCTCCTTGGCATTGACCCTAGTGTCTCTCTCTTGTCCTGCCTCCCAGCAGCTAGGTGTACACAATTGGCCTCCCTCTCACTGTTCTCCTGCACAGCCCCTGCCCCTCACCCGCTACTAGCCTTGCCTGCAAGAGTTGCTGGAGCAGCACAGCTCATGGTTCAAAGTCCCAGGGGTGGTGTCCACAAGAGGCAGGCTTTGTGATGAAATCACCAAAGGTTAAATATAAGCACACCAGGATATCGGAAAACAGGCTGAGCATGGGGAGGGAGTAATGTTCCAGGAGAAGAGCATTATAGTCGAATTGGGAAGAAAAGGGTCATACATAAATTAAAAGCATAAATTACAGACTCAGGATGAAATAAATGGAAAGGGCAGCAGCTTTTCTTGAAGACACAAGGCCCAAGAACTGAGGATTTGCAAAAAAGTCATGCAGCTTATAAATCTAAGAGCAGGTATTAGCAACCATTGGCCTAAGGATGGGGCAGGAGCATTTCTGAACGGGTGCAACTGTGAAGGATGCACATTTTCAGGCTAAAAGCAAAACAACATAAAACACAACAAAAGGCTGGGTGTGAAAATGAGACACATGAAAGAAAAAGTTAACAAGCTGGACTTTGTTAATATTAAAGAACTTCTGCTCTGCAAAAGACACTATCAAGTGAATGAGAAGACAAGCCACAGACATGGAGGAAATACTTGCAAAACGCATATCTGATAAGGAACTGGTATCCAAAATATACGAAGAACTCTTGAAACTCAACAATAAGAGAATGAACGACCCAATTTAAAAAATGGGCAAAAGGCCTGAATAAACATCTCTCTAAAGAAGATTTACAAGTGAGAAATAAGTATATGAAAAGCTGCTTAACATCATCTATCATTAGAGAACTGAGCCTTAACACAATCATGAGACAGCACACACACTTATTAGATGGCTAAAATCCAAACACCAACAACACCAAATGCTGGTGAGGATGTGGAGCGACAGGAACTCTCATTCATGGCTGATGAGGATGCAAAATGGTATAGCCACTTTGAAGACAGTTTGGCAGTTTCTTGTAAAACAAAAACATAGTCTCCCCATACAACCCAGCAATCACAATCCTTGGCATTTCATCAAATGAGGTGAAAACCTTATGTCCACACAAATACCTACAGGTGACAGTTTACAGCAGCTTTATTAATAATTGCCAAAACTTGAAAGCAGCCAATATGTCCTTCAATAGGTGAATAGATAAATACGATGGTATATCCATACAATGAAATGTAAGTCAGTGATAAGAAGAAATGAGATACCAAGCCACAAGAAGACATGAAGAAATCTTAGATGCATATTGCTAAGTGAAAGAAGCCAATGTGAAAAGGTGACATACTGTGTGATCCCACCTATAAGACATCCTAGAAAAGACAAAACTGTGGAGACAGTAAATATATCAGGGACTCTGGGATTGGAGAAGGGAAGGGAGGGTTGAATAGGAAGAGCACAGAGGACTTTTAGGGCAGAGAATCTATTCTGTATGATACTGTGATATGGACACGTGATGTTAGACATTCATCAAAACCCACAGAATGCACAGCACGAAGAGTCAACCCTACCGTAAACTATGGACTTCAGTTAATAATGATATCTCAAGGCCGGGTGCGGTGGCTCACGCCTGTAATCCCAGCACTTTGGGAGGCCAAGGTGGGCGGATCAACTGAAGTTGGGAGTTCGCAACCAGCCTGACCAACATGGAGAAACCCCGTCTCTACGAAAAATACAAAATTAGCCAGGCCTGGTGGTGCATGCCTGTAATCCCAGCTACTCGGGAGGCTGAGGCAGGAGAGTCACTTGAACCCAAGAGGCGGAGGTGTGGTGAGCCGAGATTGCACCATTGCACTCCAGCCTGGGCAACAAGAGCGAAACTCCGTCTCAAAAAAATAATAATAATAATAATAACATCTCAGTACTGGCTCATCAATTACAACCAAAGAAATGTACCGAAGAAACTGGCGAGGGGGATTCTCAGAGATATATGGACACTGTACTTTCCACTTGATGTTTCTGTAAACCCATAACTGCCCATAAAAATAAAGCTGATTAATGAAAAAAAAAAAGCTTGATATGAGAACAAGAATGGAATTCAAAGTTTGGAGATGCAGACTTGAGTTTAACAACAACAAAAGAAAAGATACAAAACTGTGCTTGTCCTAATGGAAGGGTCAAGCACTGCAAAGGAAAGTGCAAATCCACCAGAAGACCCTGGCGTCACGAGCCACAGCAAAGTCTGCAGCACAAAGTCTGCCACGAGTCATGGGAAGGTTTGGGGAAATTCTCTTCATTTCATATCCATCACTGAGCATCCACAGGGTCAGGAACTGCCGTGGAGAACAACAAATAATTGATTAAGGCAAAGAAAATGTGTAAAACTTCTCACAGGTAGCACCTGCTGTGTGTTTAATTCCAAGCCATTTCTCTGAGATCCCTGTTATGGTAAATGGAACAAAACCTCCAACTCCCAGAGGAGGGGGCTGGGAGTAGGCATGGGGTCTCCATCATAAGAGGGGAGCCCACCCTGCGGAGGGGTTTTTCTAATTACAATCAGTTTCCCCAACACGCTGTCCCCAAGTCTGCCTGCATCAAAGAGACAGCTAGCAATGGAGACACCCAACTGCTCAGAGCCAGGGGCTGCATCCAGCTACCGTTTTCATTGCTCTGAGGTTATCTGCGTGTGCTGATGGCCTGGAGAAGCCATAGGAAACCATCAGGATGTACACGCAGCAGTGAGGATGCAGGAATCAGGGCTTCCTAGGACCGTGCGCATCGTTTGGGAGGAGTTGGGAGCATCTAAAACTGGGACCTTCATGCAGATTTCTTAAAGATGCTTCTGCGATGTCCAGTTGGATTTGGGTCTGGAATAAGGCGTGCCAAGTCACAAAGCTCCTGAGCCACAGGGTGTCACTCCTGATGTTCTCCCTGAGTGGGTGTGTTCTCAGGGGTCTGGGGACAGGAGCTGCATCCATGAATCCCAGCTGGAACTCTGTTACTAGAGAATCTGAATACAGTCACTCGTCAACTGAGCTTGTCATGTCAGTCGCCCTCCCTCACAGGGTGCTGTGGATTCAGGTAAATGTCTACTAATACTTCTCATTCCTGAATAAAGAAAAAAATGTGAGGCTCAAAGGGAGAGATGAGCTTAAAGCCTCAGAAACTTGGAGTTCTTCCTGGGGAAAGGGGGCCTCTGAAACACATGCCTCCAAAACACCTCAGACTACAGTATGAGGATTATAGAGTTTAACTAAAATGAAAATAAAACAAACAAGCAAAACTCTCACAAAAATGTGAAGAATAAGAGGAGACAATTCCAGCTGGGCATGGTGGCTCACACCTGTAATCCCAGCACTTTGGGAAGTCATGTCAGGTGGGTTGCTTAAGCTCAGGAGTTTGAGACCAGTCTGGGCAACACGGTGATACTCCATTTCTACCAAAAAAAAAAAAAATAGAAAAAATTGGCTGGGTGTGGTGGCACACACCTGTAGTCCCAGCTACTCAGGAGGCTAAGGTGGGAGGATGGCTTGAGCCTGGGAGATGGAGGTTGCAGTGAGCGGAGATCATGCCGCTGAACTCCAACCTGGGTGACAAAGCGAGATCCTGTCTCAAAAAAAACAAAAAAGGAGACAATTACAAGAACATTTTGAAAGCCAAGGGCTGATAGACAAGTAGTAGCTGACTGAGTGGCCCCTGAATGTGGAACTTTAACTTGGCCAGAGAAAACCAACACTGACCTGGCTTACCTAGGGAAGAGAGGCTGGGGACATGGTGGCAGGAGCCACAGGAGGTGGGGAGGAGGCACCAGAGATAAGCACGTGAAGAGCTGCTTAGCATTCTCTGAGGGGTGGTCTCAAGTGGGATGGGATTGGACGCCTGTTACAAGATGGTGACAGCCCCTGGCTCCTCCCCCACTCCCCTTGGCACCGGATTGGACGGCTGTTGCAAAGTGGCGAGAGCCCCGGCTCCTCTCCCACTCCCCTCGGCCAGATGCTGCTGTCCCTTTCCGCTCCAGAGGAAGGCCAGAGGCTATGAAAGAGGTCCCTGGGCTGAGAGACCCTGGACACAGTTGAGGACTGGGAATTCCTGTAGAAACAGAGGGGCTCAGTGCATACCAGCAGCCTGTTTCCCAACTGGGCTCTCAGAAAACTGACGACAGGGCTGTGCCCTCCAGGCAGGAGAGCAGGGATGTCTTCCCCAGGGAATCCAACCACCTGAAAGGGAGGAAAGAGCTACAAAGACTGACATGGGGGTGGGTGCTCCAACCAACCTCCCAGACCACCCACCCCACTGCCCAGCTCCCAGGCCACAGCCCCAGGCACTGAGAGATGTCTGTCGGCTTTGTGTCAGTGTTTAACGGCAAATGATCAGGAAGCACTGGACAGCAGAGGAAAGGAAACCACGTGGAAGACAGTGACCAAAACAGATGGACAGAAACATGCAACTCAAGGCAAACGGAAACTGTATATGGAAAAGGAAAAAAAATCATTAATATCCACAGAGAGCTGGGAGCAGATACTAAAACCATACAACAAGGACAGAGATTCATCAAAAGGAATATTTAGAGAGCAAAAAAGTATTCCTGAGAATTAAAAATACTATAACAAAGGTTAAAAAATTAACAAAAAGATTGGAACAAAAAAAAAAATCAAGGCGATCTCCCAGACACCCAAAAGAAAAAGAAATTGATAATAGGAAAGAAAGGACAAGCAAATGAAAGATTCAGCCCAGGAAGTCAAATATCCAAATCACAGGAGTGTCCAGAAAGAAAGAGTAGTGAAGACCAAGGGGAGGAAATTAACTCATAAAATCATCCTAGAAAACACCCCAGATCATGAAATTCTAGCTTAAAGGGCCTCACAAGCAGCCTGAATGCAACTGATGAAAGTAGGCCCATGGAAATGCACACTATGGTGAAAACTCAGAGCTCTCAGAACAAGCAGACGACCCCTCCAATTTCCAGAGAGGAAAAAGGCAAACGAAAAACAGGCCACAGGTGAGGATCAGGGATCAGGGATCAGGCTGGCTTCAGGCCTCTTGACAACAAAACCAGGAGCCAAAAAACAAGGGACTGAAGCCTCCGAAATTCTAAAGGAAAATCAAGAACAGAGCAGGTGTAAAGTAGAATAATAGCATTTTCCGACAAGCAGGTTTTTTGTTTGTTTGTTTGTTTGTTTGTTTTTAGGAGGAGTTTCACTCTTGTTGCCCAGGCTGGAGTATAATGGCGTGATCTCGACTCACTGCAATCTCCACCTAATAGGTTCAAGCAATTCTCCTGCCTCAGCCTCCTGAGTTGCTGGGATCACAGGCGCCCACTACCATGACCAGCTAATTTTTTGTATTTTTAGTAGAGACAGGGTCTCGCCATATTGGCCAGGCTGGTCTCAAACTCCCAACCTCAGGTGATCCGCCTGCCTCAGCCTCCCAAAGTGCTGGGATTACAGGCGTGAGCCACCGCACCCGGCCCAGACACGCATGTTCTTTAAACTCCTTCCCATGCACTGCTTCTTAGGAGATGGCCAGTGGGGGTGCTCAATAGCAAACCAAGAAAGAAGAACATTTCTCAGGAATGCAGGCCCTCTAGGGTCAAGCACCAGGAAGAGAAGAGAATCCCAGGGCAATGGTCGGGAGAAGCCAGGCCCCATGAGGCACAGGCTCTGGGAAGTAAAGGGTGCAGGCCGGATGCCCCGTCAGAAGCTCTGGGAGAGGCTTCCTCAAGTAGACATCTGGAAGGTCAAGACAAATGACTCTGTGATGAATGCATAAAACTGAGCAACGGGAAAAAAAAATTAAAGAAAATTGACTCCAGGAAAAAAAAATAAATGTTCAATCAAGTAAATGGTAACCATCATTTACTACATGGCTTAGCTTCAAACAGCATTTACATAGCTGTAATAATGTACACTGTTGTAGTCAAAATCACAATATAAGTACATGAGAAGCATGCATGGATAGGAAAGGCATGAGTGGGGGTTGCGGGCGGTGACAGGGAAGAACCCGGTGTGCTTTATCATCTCCCCAGTGGGAAGGGTGCTCAACCATGAGACAGCAAGAAGGACTGCACCAACACAGAATCCGTCGCTGCACCGCTGGTTAGCTAAAAGGATCCAAAGCAGTTGCCTCCTGGGAAAGGAATAACAGCAGGTGGGCCGAACAGGGTTGCTCTGAGTTACGGGGGTGTGTGATTTGTAACAAGCCTTCTAAACCTATTTTGTTTTTTAAATCAGGTGTAAGTACAGCTTTGATTTTAAAAGAAAACAAAAGTTAAACTGTTGCTCCATGAACTCTTAGTTGGGTAACCACCAGCAAGGGGATCTTTATGATACTGATTATAGACGTCTAGGAAGGAATGTTCCTTAGTTTTTAGTTTTTTGTGTTTTGGTGGGGGAGAACTTTTAAGTTCAGGGGTACAAGCACAGGTTTGCTATATAGGGAAATTTGTGTCATGGGAGTTCCATCTCCGAGGGGTGGTGGCGGAGCTCCCTAGGCGGCTGTGGACAGCGGGCGCCCCCCGGGACGCGCAGGGCCACGCGCTCGAGGCCCCTCCGTGCGCCCCGCAGGCTACGTGCCCCTGGACAACTCCAGCTGCCCGGTTCATCCTTTTCAGCACGCTGCCTGAGATCAAACGGACCAGAGATGAATGCCTAAAACACAGAGTGGCTGATTGGGCAGATATGTCTTAAGTTTCCAAATTAATAAATATATCGTTGTAGGCTAAAGTTTCCAAATAATAACAATACTAACAATAGTAAGCTAATAGAAAGGAATGGCTCAACAGGGTAACGCCGGCCCACTGGCGTCCAGAAACAGTTGAAAGGCGTTTGTCCCACAACGTTTGGTAAGCGAACGCTGCACCGCGCACTCGCTGGTTCTGGGCTCCCAGGTGACCGCTGTTTCCGTTCCCACCAATCCCGTCCCGCTGCGCCTCGCCTGTGTCCGCTGCGAGTGGGATTCGCCATTCCCAGACTCCAGGTAGCCAGGAACGCGCCGCGCGGGCCGCGTCCCCATCCCCTCGGGCCCGCGCATCCTTGGGAAACGGCCTCGGGAGCGCGCTGTGGGGGGTGCAGGGTGGAGTCCCTTCCCCTCCCCCTTCCGAGGACGCAAGGGCGCGGGGGCCCTGATCCGCCGCCAGGTGGCGCTACGGGCCCAGCCACCGCGCTCCAGGGCCGCGTGGGCTCCGCTCCTGTGACCGACGTGCGGGGGCGCTGCGGGGCGCCGGCTGGTGTCGCGGGCCGGGGACACAGGCTGGGGGCGCTGCAGGTGGGGCGGGCTGGGGGCGCTGCGGGGGGCGCTGCGGGGGGCGCTGCGAGGAGGCGGGCTGGGGGCACTGCGGAGGGGGCGCTGCGGAGGGGGCACTGCGGGAACCCGGGCAGGGGGCGCGGGCTGGGGTGCGGGCGGGAACGCGGGCTGTGGGCGCTTCGGAGGGGGCGCTTCGGAAGGGGCGCTGCGGGGACGCGGGCTGGGGCCGCTGCGGAGGGGCCGCTGCGCAGGGGGCGCGGGCGCCCGAGCCTCCTCTGTGGGCTCCGTCGGCGGCAGCTGACGGTGGAGTCTGGGCCTGCGAAGGTGACCTGATCCTTTGCTCTTTCAAGAGAAGCCAGAAAGCTAGATTTTTGTTTGAAATGTTGGCAATTGATGTACTTTAAATGTTAAGGGAAGTTCCTTTTCTGAGAGGGGTCGGACGGCTGTCACCGGACGCGGGGTCGTCCTGACTGTGCGGGAAGCCGGCGGCGGGTGACACTACAATGCTGAGGCCGCCCAGAGCCAGAGGCCTTGAAGCTGTCGGGACCCAGGAACTCCCCAGGACGGGGTCCCCAGACGTAGGGCGCGCCCCGGCACCAGGGCCTGGCACCTCTCCCTGCCAGCTCCACCCCTGTCACGGAACCCCATGCCCGCCACGACTGACTTCCTAATGTTCTTCATGGCTGAAACACTTAATTGTAAAACCTTGTTCTCGTGCAAAATTTTAACCATACACAGAAGTAGAAAGAATCACAAACTGGCCGGGCGTGGTGGCTCATGCCTGTAATTCAGCACTTTGGAAGGCGGAGGCGGGCGGTTTACTTGAGGTGGAAAGTTCGAGACCAGCCAACATGGTGAAACCCTGTCTCTACTAAAAATACAAAAATTAGCTGGGCGTGGTGGCACGGTCCTGCAATCACAGCTACTGGGGAGGCAGAGGCAGGAGAATCCTTGAACCCAGGAGGCGGAGGTTGCCGTGAGCCGAGATCGCGTCACTGCACTCCAGCCTGGGCCACAGAGAGAGACTCCATCTCAAAAAAAGAAAAGAAAATACACAAACCCCGTGTACCCATCACCTAGCTTCAGAGATTGATGTTCATAGCTAGGTGTCACCTATTAATCCCCACCCCCAGGACACTTAACCACACTGTACCCCACCCCTGTGGGGTTATTTTGGAGCAAATGTGAGAAATCATCTCTCTTTCTCCATAAATATTCCAGGGTGTGTCACTAACAGTTAAAGACTCTTTTTAATATAACAATGCCATTGCCACACTAATAATAAAATCATCACACCAAAAAGTATTTCCTGGATGCCATCAAATTTCAATGTTCAAATTTCTCCAACTGCTTCATAAAAGTGTAGTTAAGAGTTGTAACAGTTGATTTTTCCAATTCAGGTCCCAATAAGCCCCATGAATTGTATCTGGTTGGTTTGTTTTTTTTTTTTTTTTTTTTTGAGACGGAGTCTCGCTCTGTCGCCCAGGCCGTACTGCGGACTGCAGTGGCGCAATCTCGGCTCACTGCAAGCTCCGCTTCCCGGGTTCACGCCATTCTCCTGCCTCAGCCTCCCGAGTAGCTGGGACTACAGGCGCCCGCCACCGCGCCCGGCTAATTTTTTGTATTTTTAGTAGAGACGGGGTTTCACCTTGTTAGCCAGGATGGTCTCGATCTCCTGACCTCATGATCCACCCGCCTCGGCCTCCCAAAGTGCTGGGATTACAGGCGTGAGCCACCGCGCCCGGCCCGGTTGGTTTTTAAAGTTTCTTTAATTAAGGTAAAAAATGTATGCATAGTAAAATGAACAGACCTTAAGTGTAGAGTTCTGAGAGTTTTGGCAAATGTGAACCACCTGTGTGATCCACACATCAATCAAAATATGAAAGTTTCTATTACCTCTGAAAATTCCCTCCCCTCTCCCCATGAACCCAGCCCAGAGGAAACCGCTGATCTGGTTTCCATTATCATAGAATACTTTTGCTGTTTTGGAAATTCACATAAATAAAATTAAACAATATATTGTTTTATCTGCCACATTTCTTTCACCCCATATAATGTTTTTGAGATTCATCCACAGCGTTGCACATACCAATATTATGTGTATGTTCATTCCTTTGTAGTATTTCACCATCTGAATATAATGCAATTTATATTGTAATTTATTCTGTTAGGAAATATCCTGTTGATGGCTATTTGGATTGTTCCCAAGTTTTGGATGTAGTGAGTAAAGTTGCTTATCCAAGTCTCTTGTGGCAACATGCCTTCGTTTTCTCTTCAGCAAATTCCTCATAGTGGAATTGCTGGATCATAGGGAAGAAGTCTATTTAACTTTGTAAGAAACTGCCCAGAGTTTTCACAGCACAGTTTTACCATTAATGTTCCCACCAGCCAAGTATGAGAGTTCCACTGTCCCCACCTCCTCCCCGTTTGCTCTTTGCCATCTATTTTGTCTGAGCCATCAAGGTGGGTGTGACTTTTCTAATTGTGGGTTTAAATGGCATTTCCCTGATGTGATGGGAATGAGTTCCGTTTTTATTTCTCTGAAAGTGCCTTTATTTCACCCTTATTTTAACAAGACATGTTCTTTGGTGCATTTTCACGCTGTTGATAAAGACATACCCGAGACTCAGTAATTTATAAAGAAAAAGAGGTTTAATGGACTCAGTTCCACATGGCTGGAGGCCTCACAATCATGGCAGAAGGCGGAAGGCAAAAGGCACTCTTGCATGGCAGCAGGCAAGAGAGAATTGAGAACTAAGCAAAAGGGGTTTCCCCTTATAAAACCATCAGATCTGGTGAGATGTAATCACTACCACGAGAATAGTGTGGAGGAAACCACCCCCATGATTCAATTCCCTCCCACTGGGTCCCTGCCACAACATGTGGGAATTATGGGAGCTACAATTCAAGATGAGATTTGGGTGGAGACACAGCCAAACCATATCCCTTTTATATGAAAATCCAGGTGGGCAGATTTTTCTCTCAGCAGCTGTTCCCTGCAGAGTCTCCTTGCAGAGCCTTTCCTTGGACTTTCCAAATCCAGCCCTTGGCTAAGGACTGACAGCATCTCTCAGGCAGACCACTGCCTGCCCCTACCCTGTGCAGCTTCCTCCCACACAGCCTCACCCACAAACCCACCTTTCTCCACAGCCACAAACTCCGATCTCTGCCTTCTTAGAGCAGAGAGGCCATTCCTCTCCACGTGGTCTCACCTCCCTGCACCCTAACTGAAACCTGGGAGTGAGGGGAAAGAGGAGCTCAGGTCATGTGCCTCCCGCCTCTCAAGGATGGCAGCCTTGCGCTGGCTGTAGCAGAATACCGGAAAAGATCTGCCTAAGGTATGTTGTCCAGTTTTAAAGTTGTTGGTGGGAGGAAAGTGAGTCGAAGTCCTTTGATCTGCTTTAAAATATGTTGGTTCTTGGTCAGGCGTGGTGGCTCATGCCTGTAATCCCAACACTTTGGGAGGCCAAGGTGGGCAGATCACTTGAGGTCAGGAGTTCAAGACCAACGTGGCCAACATGGTGAAACCCCGTCTCTACTAAAAATACAAAAATTAGCTGGGCACGGTGGCAAGTGCCTGTAATCCCAGCTACTCGGGAGGTTGAGGCAGAAGAATTGCTTGAACCCAGGAGGCAGAGGTTGCAGTGAGTTGAGATTGTGCCATTGCACTCTATCCTGGACGACAGAGCAAGACTCCATCTTAAAGTAACATTAAAAAGTTGGTTCCCTTGCCCTCTTTTTTTTGTTTCCTTTCAGTGTTTTGAAGAAATCACATTCTTCGTCCTCTGGAGTCACCCACATTCTGGATTTTGTTTACTACACCCCACTGGTGAAGTTTCCCAGTTTCTCTCTTCCCCACGGTTCTTGTAAACTGGCAGATCCTTCAGGGTGATTTTTTTCCAGACTACTCAGAGGCCAAGGTGGACACTTCCTGCAGGGTGCATGCCACGCTCTGTCTCCTTTTGTGCTGTGAGCAGCCTTTGAGTTATACAATTGCCTAGATTTATTTTTTCATTAAGGCTGTACATAGTTATGATATTCTACGTCCATTTTCCTTCTCCATTCATTTACTCAATACATCTATAGAGAGAAACTCCCTGAGGATCAACTGCCTGATAACAGTGGAGTCCAGTCCCAACAGCATGGGCAGATGAAAGCTTGGTCCTGTCCCTTTTTTTTGCCTAAATGGCTGGTTTCCTTTTGTATTAGTCCATTCTTGCATTGCTATAAAGAAATACCTGAAACTGAGTAATTTACAAAGAAAAAAGGTTTAATTGACTCATGGTTCTGCTGGCTGTACAGGAAGCATAGTGGCTTCTGCTTCTGGGGAGGCCTCAGGAAGCTTCCAGTCATGGCAGAAGGCAGAGGTGCAGCAAGGCACTTCACGTGGCCAGAGTAGGAAGAAGAGAGAAGGGCGAGGCCCCACACACTGTTCAACAGCCAGATTTTAGGAGAGCTCACTACTCTCCTAATGATAGCACCAAGAGGGATGGCGTTCAACCATAAGAAGCTGCCCCAAGATCCAATCACTCCCCAACAGGTGCCACCTCCAACATGGGGGATGATAATTCGACATGAGATTTGGGCAGGGACACGGATCCAAACCATATCACCTTGCATGGTCCAAAGATACTTAACGAGCTTCTCTTCCTCCCTTCTTTCTTCCATTCTTCCTTTTTGAAAAGTATCATTGTGAGTTTGAGGAACTTAAACATATTTGATGTGTTTCAAATTACGGCAGACATTATTTTTACTGAAGATCACAGCTTCCCAATGTTAAGCAGAGGAGAGTCTCTTCAGATTGGCTCCTGGGTCCTTCAGACATGATCACAGTAGGTTTTTATTTTTATGTTTTTAGAGCATCCTTGCTTGTTGATGTGACAAAATGCTCCAGGGTCATCCTGTAGGTTTCTTGCTCCGGATCTGGAATCCACCATTTCTACAAGGAAACTTAACTCCTTTTAATGGAAAATGGTTTTCAAGGTCATAATCTAGGATGTAAGGACACTCATAACTATGGGGTAAATTCAAGGCCTCTTCAGTGGATATACAAGGAAATCTGTTTTATTTTAAATTTTGAAAGATAATACACCATGAGTTCATCCTGACATTCTCAGTACAGAATTTACTGAATGCCATAAGGAGTCAGACTCCATTTCTGATGTTTGATGTTCGACTGCTGGTGGCCTTAAAGCCTCATCCTTCCCTCTCCCCACTCCCCAACCCCACATCTGGGCAAACTAATAAGAAAGCTTCAGCTTCTTCCTCAACCCACAGAGGCCCTGCCACCAGCTCTCAACAGGCCCCAGCCCTAACCACAAGCCAGATCCTTCCCTGCTTTCTCAGGCCATTTCACACCCTCTTGGGAGGCCTATCTGTTGCCCCAAAGAGCTCAATTATGTGAGTAATAACCCTTCCCATACCCTCTGGGTGGATGTGTGGCACCATCAGTCCTGATACCCAAACCAAATTTTGGGTGGGGACCCCCTTCTGCTTTTGCACAGTGGCCACAAAACACAACTTTTTGACTTTATATTCCTTTTTTCTTAGGCTAAAAAAATCCTATTCCTAGTGATGTTCAAATAATCGCTTATTTGCCTCATCCTATCATAATATATAGGTTCAGAAAAACATCAATATCACTACCAACACAATTCTTGGAAACTGATTAATCTTGGTTTTCAGTTCATTTTATCCTCAGAGAATGTCTGTCTAGAGAAGTACCCTTACATTGGTGTGTTTAAAATAACTAAATTATTCCTCTCTATGGAGCTATATTGCTGCATGATACACAGTTGTATTTTAATTTCTACTTTTAGGGTTTCTTCTTTTTGTCTTTATTGATTTAATTGGTTTTATATTTATGTAAATATTTATAAGGCTCAAAAGTCAAGTCTACCAAAGAAGACAGTTCAGAGAAACTGGGCTTCTATCCCTATCCCCTCCCTTCTCCATATTTACGTTGTATGGTTTATCTTCCTGTAGCTTCTTTTTAATAAAAGCAGATGTGCATATATACTCATAAGCCCATACTTTTTGATGTTATGTTTTGTTTCACTGCCTTTCTCTAAAGTTGGAGAGTTGAGATCTATGCCCTGGTTCCCTTTTGTCCAGGTGGTTAATCTGTGTGCGGGCAGGTGGGCTGATGCAGAACCCCCTGTGGCTGGAGCAGGTCTTCACCGGTCAAGGCACATCCAGGTTGATTCCTCTTCTGGAGGCTTCACAATACCTGCTCCAGGAGTGGCTCATCCAGTCACAAAGCTCACCTCCTCTCCCTCCTCCAGGAAGAATTCCAGTGTAAGAAACAGCAGAATCAACAGCCCTGAGGCACAAGGAGCTTGGCACCTTCCAGGAAGGAAGAAGCCCAGGGGGCTGAGCATGGGGACTGGATCAAGAGATCAAAAGAGGCCAGGAGGCAGGAAGGCCACAGCCTCAGACAGCCAGGCAGGAATTCAGATGCTATTCTAAAAGCTACTGGGATTGTGTTTTTGGCCAGGCACAGTGGCTCACACCTGTAATCCCAGCACTTTGGGAGGCCAAGGTGGGCAGATCACTGGACATCAGGAGTTTGAGACCAGCCTGGCCAACATGGTGAAACCCTGTCTCTACTAAAAATACAAAAATTAGCCAGGTGTGGTGGCGCACACCTATAGTCTCAGCTACTTGAGAGGCTGGGGCAGGAGACTCGCTTGAACCTGGGAGGCGGAGGTTGCAGTGAGCTGAGATTGCACCACTGCACTCCAGGCTGGGCAACAGAGTGATACTCTGTCTCCAAAAGATAAATACATAAATAAAATAAAAGCAACTGGAACCCTCTGAATGGAGTAAGCTGGGAAGCAACATGGCCTGGTGTGGATTTGCAGGCATTCACTGAGTCTATGCTGACTGTACAGAGGCACCTACGTTGAGGTGCCAGATGTCAGCAGGACCACATCCCATCCTCTTCAGAGGTGAGACACACAGAATGAAGAAGCACTAACAGAATTCATGGCGGATCAAAGATGCGGGTCCATAGGTGCTTTACAAAATTTGCCTGGATAGAGGCAGCATCCCAGACACTTGAGTCTTTCTTTCATTTATTTATTTATTTTTTTTGAGATGGAGTTTTTTTTTTTGCACTCTGTCACCCAGGCTGGAGTGCAGTGGCGCCATCTCGGCTCACTGCAAGCTCCGCCTGCCAGGTTCACACTATTCTCCTGCCTCAGCCTCCTGAGTGGTTGGGACTACAGGCATGTGCCACCACACCTGGCTAATTTTTGTATTTTTAGTAGAGACAGGGTTTCACCATGTTGGCCAGGCTAGTCTCAAACTCCTGATGTCAAGTGATCTGCCCACCTTGGCCTCCCAAAGTGCTGGGATTACAGGTGTGAGCCACCTTGCCTGGCCAAAAACACAATTTTTAGTAGAGACGGGGTTTCACCTTGTTAGCCAGGATGGTCTCGATCTCCTGACCTCGTGATCTGCCTGCCTCGGTCTCCCAAAGTGCTGGAATTACAGGCATGAGCCACTGCTCCCCGGCCACACTTGAGTCTTTCAGTGGACAAAAAAAATGATACTATGTTTCCTTATTGGTGAAAGAGAAAAACATAGCTCGAACAGAGGAGATGGCAATTTAAGAATATACATAACAATTTTACATGTACACACCCTCTGACTTAATAGATTAACGATTATGAGGTGACCATGCGTATTTCCCAAAGCCTGCCAGATGGCGTGTACAGGGTGGTTGGTTTTGTTTTGTTTTTTTGTTTGGGTTTTTTTTTGTTGTTGTTGGTTTGTTTTGGTTTTGGTTTGCTTATTTTTTTAAGCACAATTTTATTAAGGTCTAATTGGAATACAGAAAACTTTGTATGTGTTCAAAGTGTAAAATTTAATAAAGTTGAATGCTCTTGAAACCATCACCAGAATCAAGAGAGTGTTTAGGACCAAATGTAATTTTTAAAATAATGCTTACAGTTACAAAGTTTTCTTTCTTTTTTTCCCCCACCCTCTGTGTATGATTGTTTAAATCAAGCCAAAATTTTAACATTGATTTGATTAAAAAAAAAATCTTGCAACGGAAAAAGAGGTAGATAACGTTAAACCTAATTGGCTATAGGCGGCTTCAGAGGACAGCGTATTTACCTGGATCTCTCCTCACTGGGCACCACCGGCTACTTAGGGCCACTACGAGAATGAAGAGAGGAGGCCTTGAAAGGCTCTCAGCTCTTTGTGGAAATAAGAAAATGGGAGGACAAGTCCCCCTCTTTGTGATTTGGGAAGGTTTCCTCTTCTCTTGCCTTCCTGCTTGGTGGTGGTAATAACCCTGTGTCTGCATAACAGGCACAGTTACTAACAGTGCTGCTGTCAGCCTGTTAACGTGTGCCCCTCCAGAGGCCTGACAAGGGGTCCCTCCCTGTGTGGTCTAGGCCCTGAAACCCATCCTGGCCTTGCCTCATCCTCCCAACCCCATCCCCTACCTTGTTCCTCCCATCCAAAGCATTCCAAGTCCTTGTTCACCTTGGCATTTTTACACTGTTTGAACTTCATCACTGGAAAGTTCTCCCCACCCTCCTACTTGAGTGATTTATTTCTCTTCTTCAGATTTTAGTGAAATTCCACCTCACATCTGCACAGCTGTAGCCCCTACTGGGGAGGCTGAGGCTGTAGGATCCCTTGAACCCAGAGCATTTTGAGTTCGGCCTGGGTAAAAAAGCAAGATCCCATTTATAAAAATAAAATAAGGCCAGGTACGGTGTCTCATGCCTATAATCCATTCCAGCACTTTGGGAAGCTGAGGCAGGTGGATCATTTGAGGTCAGGAGTTGAAGACCAGCCTGGCCAACATGGTGAATCCCCATCTCTACTAAAAATGCAAAAATTAGCCAGGTGTCATGGCCTGTGCCTATAATCCCACCTACTTGGGGGACTGAGGCAGGAGAATTGCCTGAACCCAGGAGGCAGAGGTTGCAGTGAGCCGAGATCACACCACTGCTCTCCAGCCTGGGCAACAGAGTAACATTCTGTCTCAAAAAAATAAAAACAAAAAATAGCAACAAAATGAATGTCAACTCAGATGAACCCATTAATGAAAACTTGTCTTTCTTAACATACAACATCAGGAATGAATTTTGAGTTTGTTTCTCCCACCAGACTCAGTTCCCCAAGGGCAAGGACAATCTTGTTCCTATGTATGCGGGGCCAGGTTTGGTGTTCTATATATAAGATATGATCAGTACTCAGCGTTCTGGTAACTAACTGTCCAGCAGAAATGTGAGCTGGAGACTTGGTTTTGAAACCAGCAGATGGAACTGGTTCCTAACCAAGGGCCATATTGCCCCCCAGGAGAGATTTGCAAGGACAGTAGATTTTTTTCTTTGTCAGGATGAGGCAGAGGCTGGCCACTGTCTTCAGTGAGCAGAGGTCAGGGATGCTAAGTGCCCGGCAGTGAATAAGACTCTGCCCCCCACGGTGAGGCACTGTTTGGTGGGAAATGTCAATAACAGTGGCTAAGAAGCACTGATGTATAATGACCCCCTGCCAAACAATTTCTCAGTTCTATTAAGACAGTCTCTCTTTTGCTGACACGTCCTGATACCTAAAAATTAAATTACCTCCCTGGGTTTTAAAAAGCTGTTCATTTTCTCTAGCTTCCTTTCTCTTGGAAAACAACAACAACACATTTTGGTCTCAAATGGTAATCATTTTAGTTATTAGACAGTGACACTTTTGTATATTTCTATTCAAGATTTTATAATTTAGAAACCAATTTCGAAGTGTTTGGTCAGGTGACATGGTTAGGAGGAGACATTCTTCTAATCCCAAGATTTTTATAGAGAAGAGATTATACAGTTTCCTCAAACTTTTTTTTTTTTTTTTTGAGATGGAGTTTTGCTCTTGTTGCCAGGCTGGAGTGCAGTGGCATAGTCTTGGCTCACTGCAACCTTCCCTCCCAGTTTCAAGCAATTCTCCTGCCTCAGCCTCCCCAGTAGCTGGGATTACAGGCACCCACCACCACACCCCGCTAATTTTGTATTTTTGTAGAGACAGGGTTTCACCATGTTGGCCAGACTGGTCTCGAACTCCTGACCTCAGGTGATCCACCTGCCTCGGCCTTCCAAAGTGCTGGGATTACAGGCGTGAGCCACTGCGCTGGCCCATCCTGTGATTTTAAAAGTGTGAGGAAACTGGCCAGGCATGGTGGCTCACGCCTGTAATCCCAGCACTTTGGGAGGCCAAGGCAGGTGGATCATCTGAGGTCAGGAGTTCGAGACCAGTCTGGCCAACATGGTGAAACCCTGTCTCTACTAAAAATACAAAAAATTAGCCTGGTGTGGTGGCGGGCGCCTGTAATCCCAGCTCCTAAGGAGGCTGACGCAGGAGAATTGCGTGAACCCGGGAGGTGGAGGTTGCAGTGAGCCGAGATTGCAGCATTACACTCAGCCTAGATGACAGTGCAAGACTCTGTCACCAAAAAAAAAATAAATAAAATAAAAAATCACAGGATGGAACAGGCACAACAAAGACACAAGGAATCTTACTATAAACTCTTAGTGAATTTAGTGTGGTCTTAGGAATTTTCTCTTCTGGTGGAACTGCTACTGTTATCTCTTTGTGGAATGAGGAGATTAATCTAGGTAACACTTTCTCATACCCAACAGAATAGTAACTTAAAAGTTAGGAGACTATAGAGGCTGTCAGTGTGGGTTTAAACAACAATCGCAAGCTACCATACAAGTGCATTTCTGGGTGCCGAGACAAGAAGGACATGAATAACTCATTTATTTGAACAATACTTTGAGGCATTAATTGATCCTGTTTTTTGTAAAAGAAGATACTAAGGCACAGTAAAGTGCTAGCATAAAACACAGCACTTGTAGAGTTAACTTTAAACCTACAGTGGTTTTTAGGACAAAAGCAGAAAATATTAACAATAATTTCTCTTTCTCCACACTGACCTCAAGTACTCCTTATCTGTCATTTAGCATAGCTGTTTTCATAAAAGGCAATTCAATTTTGTATTTTTTGTATTTTATTGTGATTTTTTATTTAAGTACTCTTAGTTTTTAATGTTTAAGGAGTTACTGATAAAATATTTACAAAAGTCATTTGCACAGTGAAAAATCACTTACATTGCCCAATAAGTTATTGATTTATATCATTATATTTACCGTTCAAACATACTAGTCAATTTTTTTTTTTTTAGGCCTGGCGCAGTGGCTCATGCCTCTAATCCCAGCACTCTGGGAGGCCGAGGCAGGCGGATCACCTGAGATCAGAAGTTCGAGACTAGCTTGTCCAACATGGTGAAACCCCATCTCTACTAAAAATACAAAAAAAAAAAAAAAATGAGCCAGACATGGTAGCCGGTGCATGTAATTCCAGCTACTCAGGAGGCTGAGGCAGGAGAATCACTTGAACCAAGGGGGCAGAGGTTGTAGTAAGCCAAGATTGCGCCATTGCATTCCAGGCTGGGCGACGTGAGTGAAACTCCGTCTCAAAAAACAAAAAAAAAATCTAGTGAATTTTTTTTTTTTTAGTTTGAAAAATTCATGCAAGGGTAGGCGCAGTGGCTCACCCCTGTAATCCCAGCACTTTGGGAGGCCGAGGTGGGCAGATCACCTGAGGTCGGGAGTTCAAAACCAGCCTGACCAATGTGGAGAAACCCTGTCTCTACTAAAAAAATACAAAATTAGCTAGGCATGGTGGCACATGCCTGTAATCCCAGCTACTCGGGAGGCCGAGGCAGGAGAATCGCTTGAACCCGGGAGGCAGAAGTTGCGGTGAGCCAAGATCAGGCCATTGCACTCCAGCCTGGGCAATAAGAGTGAAACTCCATCTTGAAAAAAAAAAAAAAAGAAAGAAAAAGAAAAATTCATGTATTTGGTTTAGAAGGTGCAATAACCAGACAAAAATCTCCATTCTTTTGGAATAAGGGGAGTGGAATGTGACATCTGCAGCCAGCTTCCTGTAGTGATACATCAACGTTGCAAAGTGCAGATGAAAGAGCAGGGCTTTTGAAAGCCCATTTTTAAAGCTTTTCCTTTCACTTTCTACCTATTGATTAGTTACCAGTTGTTCTCTTCTTTCTACTTGTAGGCCATATTATTTCATTTCCACTCCACAAATCCAACATAGTTAATTGGGTTTGATATTAATGAGCTTGTACAGCTAAAACATGGAAATATAATAACTACTGTTGATCGATCTTTCAGGTAGGTAAAAGCTAATTTTGCAAACAATTAATGTCATATTGTGATTTATCATAAACCACTGAAACAGTTCAACAGTGATCCATCTTTAATGTTGATGAATGTTAACAGATTTCAGATTGTAATTCTCAATACATTTTCCAAATGGAATAGCATATAGACCTAGAATTTGTCAAAAAGAAATAATTTTTCCTCTAGCCTCTTAGAATCAGTGTTTGGAGTCTTGTAAATTAAAATGACAAAAAACTGGCCTGGCCGGGCGCGGTGGCTCACGCCTGTAATCCCAGCACTTTGGGAGGCCGAGGCGGGCGGATCACGAGGTCAGGAGATCGAGACCATCCCGGCTAAAATGGTGAAACCCCATCTCTACTAAAAATACAAAAAATTAGCCGGGCGCGGTGGCGGGCGCCTGTAGTCCCAGCTACTCGGGAGGCTGAGGCAGGAGAATGGCGTGAACCCCAGGGGGCGGAGCCTGCAGTGAGCCGAGATCGCGCCACTGCACTCCAGCCTGGGCGACAGCGAGACTCCGTCTCAAAAAAAAAAAAAAAAAAAAAAAAACTGGCCTAGCACTGTGGCTCACACCTGTAATCCTAGCACTTTGGGAGAAGGAGGTGGGTGGATTGCTTGAGCCTGGAAGATGGAGACCAGCCTGGGCCATATGGTGAATCCCTGTCTCTGGAAAAAAAAAAAAAAAAAAAAGCAAAAATTAGCCCAGCATGATGGCGTGCACCTATAGTCCCAGTTACTTAGGATGCTGAGCTTGGGCCCAGAAGGTTAAGGTTGCAGTGAGCTGAAATCTCACCACTGCACTCCACTCTGGGTGACAGAGTGAGACCCTGACTCAAAAAATAAAATAAATGACAAAAACCAGATTAACAAGAGATTAACAAGAGAAAAGACAAAGTGTATTCATTTTGTTTGTTAATATCCATTCTCAGAAGAGCACAAAGAAAGCAGCCAATAGCTGAAGATAGGGGCTTATCTGTAAACTTCGTAGTCTGATAATGGGGTGAGGATAGGGCATAATTCAGACAAAGCTTCTGTCTGCATTTCTTGATTCTAAAATGTTTTCAGCTCAAAAAATTTTATGCCACTGTGGTATAATTTGGATCCATTCAAAAAATGAGAAATTGGACTTAAATATCAAATTCAAGGATTTGAGTACAGATAACCAGGCCAAAGAGGTGATCTGGTCCTAAAAGAACTTACTTTGTGGAGAAGGCTGAATGTAAAACTCTGCATGAGTCTTATAGTTTCAATTATCAGGAAGCAAACACTCACGTAACTAAACCAAGTCATGAAATAGAACATTTCTTCCAGAGGCTTCTTCCATCCTGTCTTCTAACCGCGACTTCTTTCTCTCATCACAGAGTCTGTCACTGTGGCTTTTATAACATTATAAAAATACTTTGAGTTTTATTTTTATTTTTAAATTTATTTATTTATTTTTTGAGATGGAGTCTCGCTCTGTCACCCAGGCTGGAGTACAGTGGTGCAATCTCCGCTCACTGCAAGCTCCGCCTCCCGGATTCACGCCGTTCTCCTGCCTCAGCCTCCCGAGTAGCTGGGACTACAGGCGCACGCCACCATGCCCGGCTAATTTTTGTATTTTTAGTAGAGACGGGTTTTCACCATGTTAGCCAGGATGGTCTCGATCTCCTAACCTCGTGATACACCCACCTTGGCCTCCCAAAGTGTTGGGATTACAGGCGTGAGCCACCATGCCAGACCTTAAATATTTTTAAATTATTATTATTATTATTTGAGTCTCACTCTGTCACCCAGGCTGGAGTGCAGTGGCACGATCTTGGCTCACTGAAACTTCTTCCTCCTGGGTTCAAGCAGTTCTCCTGCCTCAGCCTTGTGGAGGAATAGTTAAATATTAAATGTGAACTCATTTGGTTGTGGACAGAAACAATGGTCACCAAGTCTCGGAACAGGTTGTGTGAGCCCCTTAAGGCGTTCATCCAGCACTGTTTCAAAGAAATCCCTATTTCAATCTATTCCTATACGTTAGTTATTGAAAAACAATAGATAATTGCAAAAACAAGTTGACCTTTTTGTGTTCCTTGAGCCCCGTCACGAAGGGCCCTCGTAACTGGACCTCATGCCAAACAACTCGTTACAAAAAGAGCTAGGGTCTCAGACCACGCAGAAGCTTCATGAGACCCCTCCTTGTCTGCATGGACAAGTGGTCGACTCTGGATCCCAAGATGTTGCTTCCCAGTTTGGTGGTGAATCCTCCATAGTCTGGTGAGTGTAAGTATCTTTTTCCCTTCTCTTCCCATTGCAATTTGCTTATTGTAACAATATCCTTATTATATTGATTTTCTTATTATATCATTTGCTTATTATGTCATTTCCTTATTATATCTGCATTGCCATTTACATGGGGTAAAGCTTGTTTACCCTTTAAAGTATTGTGTGTGTGCCATTTCTTCTCCCCTCATGCATTTCCTGCACAGAACATCAGCCTTCCCAGTAGCTGGGACTACAGATGCCCGCCACCACAGCTGGCTAATTTTTGTATTTTTAGTAGAGACGGGGTTTCACCATGTTGGCCAGGCTGGTCTCAAACTCCTGACCTCAAGTGATCCTCCTGCCTCAGCCTCCCAAACTGCTGGGATTACAGATGTGAGCCACTGTGCCCAGCCTGAGTTTTATTTTTAAACATGCATCTTTGAACACTATATTTTGTCTGACATTACTAAACTTCACAAAAATTAAATAATAAAGTATGTAATTATGTCCGATGTCTCTAGTCCTTATGAGAATCATAAAATATTGATTGTAGTTGTCATTTGTTTACATTAACTATTTGATTGAAATAATATACCTGCCTGGTGCAGTGGCATATGCCTGTCATCCCAACACTTTGGAAGGCCAAGGATAGGAGGATCACTTGAGGCCCAGGGCTCAAGACCAGCCTGGGCAACACAGTGAGACTCCATCTCTTCAAAAAATTTAAAAATTAGCCAGTCATGATGGTGTGTATTTGTGGTCCCAGCCACTCAGAGGCTGAGGTGGGAGGATCACTTGAGCCCGGGAGTTTGAGGTTGCAGTGGTCTATGATTGTGCCAATGCACTCCAACCTTGGCAACAGAGCAAGACCTTGTCTCTGAAAAAAAAGAAAGGAAGAAAAATAAATAATACACATAATTATACACAATTTTATCGTTCTGGATGGACATTTCAATAGCTTCTAGTTGTTGAAATGTGTTGGCATTTGCTTTGTGATCAGATATGGCTGCAATGTTTACTAATCTGTGTATTATGTGTTTGAAAAGAATGTGTGTTCTACAACTGTTGGTTGCAGTCTTCAATCTATATATGTCAATTAGATTCAAATCTATATTAGTTTTATTTATTTATTATTTCTATTTAGAAGGTACGAGTACTTTGTTTTCAACAAAATTTTTACAATGAATATCGTTCATTTGAAAACATAGCCTTTGTCTCACAAATCATAACCCTTTGTTATTTTTACTATTTGTTATTTTTACTATTTGTGACTGTGTTGCTGTGTGCTACATCTGTCTGTCTGCTGTGAGAGGGATAGTGGTATAAATAAGCCAGGCAACTTCCTGGGGTTTTAATATCCAAGGAACAGAAGGCTGGTCTGGGGTACAAGAAAAACGCTCTGACAGTTTCTCGGGATCGCGTGTCCTGCATATAATAGGTATGGAAATGTCAAATGCACATCTTTACTCTGGAAAGCAGAAGATATGTAGAAACCGGGCAGCTGCCTTATGGTGAGGAAAGCTGTTGCTATTATACCTGCCTGTCTTACTGACTTTATAATAATAGATTGTCCCAGTGTTAAGTAATTGGTTTTGACCACTATTTTGTGTTGTTAAGACGTACTTTCCTTCCAGGGGGCATAGCTGTTTCTGGAAACAACACACTGTAAGATGCTTTTCTTAAACCATTAATAGTCGAGGAAATGTTGCCACTTGAATCTCCATCTCAGTAAAAGTGGGAATTGACGTGGTGATGGTTGTACTGGATTAGAACCATGCCAGGCACCCAGGGTTTGATCTTCCTGGGTTGTATAAATCGAGCGGTTGTTTGTACTGCGATGCTTTGGGAGACTTTTTTATTTATTTATTTATTTAGTTAGTTAGTTAGTTAGTTAGTTATTGAGAAGCTTTGGGAAGCTTTGAGATTAAACTGCTGAAAAGGAATCTTGTTTGATTTCATGGCTGATGTTAAAATGGAAGAGTTGCTGTGCTTCTCATTGTAGCCCATGGAAGCTACTTACCAAACAGCCACATAAAGATAAACACATTTAGCTAAAAAGAAAGAAGAAAGAAAGAAAGAAAGAAAGAAAGAAAGAAAGAAAGAAAGAAAGAAAGAAAGAAAGAAAGAAGGAAAGAGAGAGAGAGAGAGAGAGAAAGAAAGAAGGAAAGAAAGAAAGAAAAGAAAGAAAGAAAGAAAGAGGAGGTAGCAAAGTTTTTCACAGAATGTCTCATCCAGCAAAATATTTTGAGTACATACGACCTGTTATGCACATCTACTGAGGCATTCATATATGTGTAACTTTATACATTACTGTGATTATTATTACTACCATAATATCAAAGTATTTTTCAGGTAAAATAAATGGACATTTAAATACTCAGCACATGGAACGCTGAATTATTTCAAGCATTTCTTTTTTGAAGACACTTTCCTAGGAATTCAAACAATGCTAAACCCTAATATAAGTAACTTTTGATACAAATACACCAATATCTGCTGAAGACTATCTGGGGTATTTAAATAAGGCCTGAAAGGCTGTGGTAGAAGAAATATTAAAAGTGAGATGGAGGCTGGGTGCGGGGGCTCACACATGTAATTTCAGCACTTTAGGAGGCCGAGGCAGGCGGATCACGAGGTCAGGAGTTCAAGACCAGCCTAGCCAACATGGTGAAACCCCATCTCTACTAAAAATACAAAAATTAGCTGGGCATGGTGGTTCACGCCTGTAATCCCATCTACTTGGGAGGCTGAGGCAGGAGAATCTCTTGAACCCAGGAGGCGGAGGTTGCAGTGAGCCAAGATTGTGCCCCTGCACTCCAGACTGGGGGACAGAGCGAGATTCCATCTCAAAAAAAAAAAAAAAGTGAGATGGATAGATTGGTAGGATTGAGTGGGACCTTCACAAACAGGGATTCCCAGAAACATCTTGTAGATGGACTCCAGCTGTAGAAAGTGTTTCATCCATCCCTGTCACGATGAAAAAATAAGAACATGGATTAATATCGATGTTTCAGAAACTTAAATGTTCCACTTACAGTTCTTTATTTGGTGTTCTTTTTTTTTCCTGACATTATGTCAATACTATTTTTTTGGTGTTAAAATAGAAACATGATGATACTAGCTGTTTTTCTAATACATGTTTACTTGACAACACTAAATATGAACAGCCCTCTGTGATTTTATAAAATGCAGGAGCATTTTCTTTTTATATTAAATCCAGAACTTTAGGACCCGAGATGTTTAGAAGAGAGCCCAAGGGCACTAGGATTCTAGAACCTGGAGAGGAGGCAGGACGTGAAAGCACCGATGGCCAAGTCCTATCCTCCCGCCAGAGCTCCACCTGGGGATTGGTTGGTAGATGACTGAGGTCAACTGCTTTCATTTGATTTATTTTCAAACAGGAAAGGGAAAGATGAGAAGATATATTGTGTATCTTCTCAATGAACTCTAAAAAAATTGAGTACGATATTCATGGAATCACCTTATTTCAGGACCAGCCCAGCAGAAATCTAGGCAGTGATCTGATGTTTATTCCCAATCGTTTGGTTTTTATATGTAGGGATTGGGATGGTCCTTTGCATTTATAGGCAATACGTTAATTCCTTTTCAAATATCTTCATTTAACACAGCTAACTGAAAGGCTCAACACTCCAGTGAAGAAGAAACCACAAATGATGAACAAATGTTTTGTCACTCTTTCAGATTCAGAAATTTTGCTTGAAAAAAGTCTGAAGAAACTAATTTAGGAAAGAAACCTCTGCCAATAACTCTAAAGAGTTTGAATTGGTTGCCTTTATTCCTAACACTATGATGTTTTGGGATAGGAACTAGTAGATGGTATTTTTTCTTTCCCATTGGCAGTATATCATTTACAACAGATGTTCCCGACTCAGGATAAAATGTAACTGGCAGCCAGAGTCACCCACCAGCCCCTGAGGAAAGGGCTCAACCTTGAGAACATCTGGCTGGCTTCAAGAAGGTCACACAAATACAAGATGATGCTGAGGATAAGACAAGTGGTTTTGAGAGAGGAAAACCTTTAAAAATATTTGGAAGAGTCCTGAAGACCAATAAAATAAAGACACTGCAATACTTCATGGACACCAGAGAGCAATTTAACACTGAAATGAAAGCAACATGTTGCACCTGAACACTGAAAAAAGCCCATGTGTTAAGAGGAAGAAGAAATATGCAATTCACTGCAATAAATATTGAACCTTTAAAAAACAGAAGGAACATGAAAACTAAAGGACACTGGGCCACAGCAAATAAGGTGGCGGCAGCCATCCCATAATGATTACATGATCTCCATGATTGTAAAATGTATATGCCACCTGAATTTATTCTTAGACCTTCTCTCAAAGATGTCTGCATTCAACACAGGCAATAACTGCAGGTAATAGTGAAGAATCCTTCAGGCATGATAGAGGAACAGACTAAGTGTGGGAAAAGGAAGAACTAGGCCGGGCGCGGTGGCTCACGCCTGTAATCCCAGCACTTTGGGAGGCCGAGGCGGGCGGATCACGAGGTCAGGAGATCGAGACCATCCCGGCTAAAACGGTGAAACCCCGTCTCTACTAAAAATACAAAAAATTAGCCGGGCGTAGTGGCGGGCGCCTGTAGTCCCAGCTACTTGGGAGGCTGAGGCAGGAGAATGGCGGGAACCCGGGAGGCGGAGCTTGCAGTGAGCCGAGATCCCGCCACTGCACTCCAGCCTGGGCGACAGAGCGAGACTCCGTCTCAAAAAAAAAAAAAAAAAAAAAGGAAGAACTAGTCAAAATTGCTAATAAGGCCGGGTGCGGTGGCTCATGTCTGTAATCCCAGCACTTTGGGAGGCTGAGGCAGGCCGATCACCTAAGGTCAGGATTTTGAGACCAGCCTGATCAATAGGATGAAACCCCATCTCTACCCAAAATACAAAAATTAGCTGGGCGTGGTGGCATATGCCTATAGTCCCAGTGACTCGGGAGGGTGAGGCAGGAGAATTGCTTGAACCCAGGAGGTGGAGGTTGCAGTGAGCCGAGATCATGCCCATTGCACTCCAGCCTAGGCAACAGAGCGAGACTCCATCTCAACAACAACAAACAACAACAATAACAGCAAAAACTGCTAATAAAAATTTTAACGAGAATATTTCAGGAAGTGAATGAGTTGTGTTCATCTTCAAATGTGTGAAAAATTATTCAGTGAAAAGATGGGCAGCTTAGTCTTATGTTGCTCTAGACACTATCATCAGGAGCATTGGGTACAAATAGGAAAACAATCAGAGCAGTACATACAGGGAATGTGTATTCTGCAGTCAACATAATTGTTGGAGTTGTTAGAGAGGTTACTAGTGTGTGGAGAGAAGTATGACGAAAGTCCAGTCATGAAGAGTTTTGTTTTGTTTTAGCAGAGATGACTAAGTGATAAGAAATTCATTTGATGCCTGTGTAATGGGGCATTTTGCTATAATGTAAGCTGTTATAATCAGACTTTTCTTGTTCATAGATTGGCAAAGCATCATATTGGATATCTTAGATTACTGACATCTTAAAAAATTAATCAGCCTAATATTTTTAAATGCATTTCTTTTTGAGTTTACTTTTAGTTGAATTTTGAGATTTGTTTCAATCATTATTGGAATTTTGTAGATGTCTTCTGATTTCCCTAGGGAATGCCTTTGTGTCCAAGAACAAGAAACATAACCAATAAAGAACAATACATCCGTAGTTTTCCTATATTAGTAGAAACTATTTAAAGGAGATGAAAATGGAAAGAAGATCATGAAAAAAATAAAACTCCAAAAATGGAGCTACAAAACCGACTTGTAGGTCCAAGATCAATGAAAGTAGAATACGGAAGTCTGGAAGGAACTATACATTGTCCCTGACTTACGTAACAGAGAAGAAAGTTGGGAAGAAAAGTGTGGGCAACCTCCCCACAAGAGACCAGATTAAAAGCCAGGAAGAAGTCTGGGCACGGTGGTTCACGCCTGTAAACCCAGCACTTTGGGAGGCCGAGGCGGACGGATTGCTTGAGGTCAGGCGTTCGAGACCAGCTGGCCAACATGTGAAAACCTGATTCTACTAAAATTACTATATATATATATATATATATAGTAATATATATACTAATTATATATAGTATATATACTCTATATATAATTGTTATATATAGTATATATACTATATATAATTACTATATATACAGTATACTATATATATACACACATACTATATACTATATATAGAGACAGTATACTATATATATACACACATATATATACATATATACATATATATAGCGACAGTATACTATATATATACACACACACACACACACACATACATATATATACACACACACATAATATATATATATATATAAACTGTGCGTGGTGGCTCACACCTGTAGTCCTAGCTACTCAGGGGGCCGAGGCAGGAGAATTGCTTGAACTCAGGAGCCAGAGGTTGCAGTGAGCCAAGACTGTGCCACTGCACTCCAGCCTGGGTGACAGAGTGAGACTCAGTCTCAAAAAAAAAAAAGTGAAACCCCATCTCCACTAAAAATACAAAAAAAAAAAATAGCTGGGCTTAGCAGCAGACACCTGTAATCCCAGCTACTTGGGAGGCTGAGGCAGGAGAATCGCTTGAACCTGGGAGGCGGAGGTTGCAGTAAGCAGAGATTGCACCACTGCACTCCAGCCCGGGGGACAGAGTGAGACTTCATCTCAAAAAAGAAAAACAACAACAGCAACAACAGAAAAGAAGTAACTCAAAATGTTTCAAAGAAGTAACTCAAAATGTTTTTCTTTCTTTCTTCCTTTTTCTTCTCTCTTTCTTTCTTTTTCTCCTCTCTTTTTCTTCTCTCTCTCTTTCTTTCTTTCTTTTTCTTTCTTTCTTTCCTTCGTTCTTTCTTTCTGTCTCTCTCTCTTTTCTATTTTTTTTTTTTGATGGAGTCTCGCTCTGTTGCCCAGGCTGAAGCGCAGTGGCGTGACCTTGGCTTACTGCAACCACTGCCTCCCGGGTTCAAGTGATTCTCCTGCCTCAGCCTTCCGAGTAGCTGGGACTACAGGCGTGTGCCACTACACCCGACTAATTTTTGTATTTTTAGTAGAGATGGGGTTTCACCATATTGGTCAGTCTGGTCTTGAATTCCTGACCTCATGATCCACCCACCTTGGCCTCCCAAAGTGCTGGGATTACAAGCATGAGCCCCTGCGCCTGGCCTAGCACCTTCTAGTTCTAATTAGGCTGCATCCATGAGGGTGGAAGAACTGTCTCTGGAAACAAGCAGTAATTAGGATGAGAAAAGTTGTGTTTTATGGGGTTATGCAGTGGTGGGCTTTGTTTGATCGTTTAATGGGGGAAAACATGGAAACTCATGCCCCCTAAAACGTTTATATAATAGTATCCCCGCACTGAATTTTTCTACGTCAGACTTGGCCCATACAATTTAGAGTTGCTGTCCTGTGCTTTTATGTTGCTTTCCCAGTTTCTCTATTTCCATCAGCAGCTGATATCTTTGTAGTTGCTCTAGAGCAGAGGGCTCAGTCTTTTCAATCTTGTGGTCCCTTTACACTCTTAAGAATTATTGAGAACCACCAGGAATTTTTGTTAATGTGGATGGGTTATATCTAGCTATATTTATATATTTTAAGTTAAGGCTAAGGAATTTAAAAATATTCATTTATTGATTCATTTTAAGATAGTGATGCACCTATTTCATGCTAACACCAATAACTTATTTTTATGGAAAAAAAACAACAAAATGAAAACAGCGCTTTAGTTCACATTTTTGCAAATCTCTGTAATACCTGGTTGAAACGGAGACAGTGGGAGTCTCCTCACTGCTTCTGCATTTGCAGAACCACACCCCACACTCTTGGGAGCATGAGAATGAGAAGGGCAAGTAACACAGAGGGTCATTAGATAAATGGTTTTGACCTTATGGACTCTCTGAAAGGAATAGGAAGTCCTCAGGGGTCCCCTGCATCGAGGCCTCCCTGATCAAGGGAGCCAAGCTCCAAGGGTTGCTGGGGAGCTGGAGGAGGTGAGATGGGGCAGAGAGGCCGTTGTCACCAAAAGCGTGTTTAGGCTCCATTCACTTCACCCCAGGTGGCCTACTGAGCCCACATGGCCACCAGCGCAACTGAAGCAGACCCCGATAGAATCCTGTGTAGAATTATTTTAGGATTCACCCATCTTGGCATGCACAAGCCATTTCAATTGAAGAATGTTTTCTAATAACAAAACATTGTAAACCTAAGTATGTGGCAATAGTAATGATTAAGTAAATTATGGTTTCCCGAAGCCCAGTGCTCTGCAGCCATCAGAGAGTAAAAGCGAGAATGTGTTCAGTGGAGATAGCCTCAGGATATTTAAAAGCAGAGAGCACAAAGTATAGAATCGTGTTGTGTATGTTATGACCTTTTTTTCTGTGCTTTTGAAAAAGAGAATACACGTATAGCAGGAAAAGACACACCAAACTACTTTATATAATTGGTTGTTTTTGTGTTTGGTAAGATGTATGCACTGAAGAGGAAGGTTTCGATTTTTTTTTTTTTTTTTTTTTTTTTTTTGAGACAGGGCTTTGCTCTGTCGCCCAGGCTGGAGTGCAGTGGCGCGATCTCAGCTCACTGCAGCCTCGACCGCCCCGGCTCAAGCGATCCTCCCACCTCAGCTGTCCCAGTAGCTAGAACTACAGGGGCGCCACCACGCCTGGCGAATTTTTTGTAGAGATGGGTTCTCTCCAGGTGGCCCAGGCTGGTTCTGAACTCCCGGGCTCAAGGGATCTTCCTGCTTCAGCTTCCCAAAGTGCGGGGATTACCGGCGTGAGCCACCGCGTCCCGCCTGTTTTTAATTTTTAGCAGTTTTAAATCTTCTGGCAATGAGTAATGTTATAGTGTCCCAGATGTTTGGTCCTTTAAGAAAAGGATAGCAGGACGGGTTATCTCGGTGGGAGCGTGTTCCACCTCTGCCCTCCGCCAGCCGCCCTCGCCGGGGATGCACCCAGGTATTTTCCTCCGGATGCGTGAGTGGCTCGCCCGCGGACACGCCAGCCCCGCCCCGCGAGCCCGGTTTCCCCGCCCCCTCCCCGCCCACGCCCTGCGCTCCCTTCCTATTGGTCCCATGCCGCGCTTTCCCGTTCAATCGCAGCGCTTAGCGCCAGAATTTGAATCTTCGTTTTCGTTTGAATTGGGCGGGCGCGCCGGGCTGGAAGAAGGAAGTGGAGGGCTGACGCTGCGGGCGGGCGGGCGGGCGGGAGGACTCGACTCGGTGGGAGCCGCTAGAGCCGGGCGCCCGGGGACGTAGCCTGTAGGGCCACCGGGTCCCCGTCAGAGGCGGCGGCGGGAGCAGCGGGGACTGCAGGCCGGGGTGCAGCGAACGCGACCCCGCGGGCTGCGGCCCGGTGTGTGCGGAGCGTGGCGGGCGCAGCTTACCGGGCGGAGGTGAGCGCGGCGCCGGCTCCTCCTGCGGCGGACTTTGGGTGCGACTTGACGAGCGGTGGTTCGACAAGTGGCCTTGCGGGCCGGATCGTCCCAGGTGAGCTGCGGCCGGGACTCCTGGGAGCTGTCCGGGGTCGAGGGCTGAGCCGCGGGGACCCCCCGAGCTCTGCGGGGACGGGCAGGGGACAGACGCGCGGCCTGGGCCCGACTCCTCCTGGGCTCTGGCGAGGGCGTCTCGGTGGAAGCTCCCAGGAGGCGCAGGCGCTGGCGACAACACCCCAGCTGCCGGACTTTGGGGCGCCGGGGGCTGCGGTCGGATCGTCCTGGGGTCCCCGCTAGCTAGCTGCGGTGTGCGCTTCTGTGGCCGGGGATAGGTGAATTGGGCACGGGGCCCTTCTTAGCTCCTTTGCTATCAGAGTAACTCGCACCTCTTTTGCAGTGGAAGAGTTGTAAATTTGCTTCTGGCCTTCCCCTACGGATTATACCTGGCCTTCCCCTACGGATTATACTCAACTTACTGTTTAGAAAATGTGGCCCACGAGACGCCTGGTTACTATCAAAAGGAGCGGGGTCGACGGTCCCCACTTTCCCCTGAGCCTCAGCACCTGCTTGTTTGGAAGGTGAGCCCCGCGGGCGCGCGCGGACGTTTTAGCTGAGAAAGAGGAAAATACCTTAGTCACAGAATAAAGTCCAGAAACGCGCTCTAGGATTGGGTCCTGCCGTCACTTTTCCTTGGTGCTTCTCCCATTCGTTACTAAGTTGACATAGTTGTGTTTTTTTGTTTTGTAAGTATAAATTTGATGCTAGTTTGTATGTTTAAGTGGTTTTAAAAATCAAGCCAATTAAAAAAATCGATTTGCTAATGTTGCGGTAAAGAAAGATGTAGATGATCTTCATATGTCACTGGCTGCAGGCAGGCGTCTGAAGACACTGTGCGCCCCCGGGTGCCTCCACAGTGGGCATCCCTGGCCACTGGGGACACAGAGAATGAAGGAAGGAAGCCATACACTTGTCTCTTGGCTCCTTGTGGCAATAGGAAAATGGGACAGAAAGTCTTCCTGCCTGGAATTCGAGAACGTTTCCTCTTATATTGCTGTCCTGTTTGGTGGTGGTAATAACCCTGTCCCTGTATAACAGGTATAGTTGCTGACAGTGCCCCATCAGCCTCTGACATGTGTCCCACTAGAGGCCTGAGAAGGGGGGTCATTTCCCGTGTGGTCATTTCCCAGACCACACGGGATTCAGGCCTCACCCTGTCCTCCCAACCCCATCCCGGCCTCACCCTGTCCTCCCAACCCCATCCCCTACCTTGTTCCTCCCGCCTAAGGCATTCCAAGCCTTTGTTCACCTTGGTACTTCTTACACACTTGGAAGTTTACAATGGGAAAGTTCTCCCCTTCCTCAAGCTTGTGTGATTTCCATCATTCAGGCATCAGGTGAAATGTCACCTCTGAGGAAGCCTTGCATGAAAACTTGTATTTCCAACCCCACAGCTTCAGGGGTGAGTTGTGGGTTTGTCTCCCACTAGGCTGAGCTCCCCAAAGGCAAAGACTGTCTTGTTACTAATCACGTGTGTAGGGCCAGGGATGGTGTCTGGCATAGGGGGTGTGATCAATACCTAGCATTCTGGCAAGGGTCAGTAGAAACATGGGCTGGAGCCATGGATTTGCAATCTCTTGAGAACAGTGGTTCTCACAGGAGGGTCATCTAACCTTCCAGGATTCATTTGAATTTCCATGTCACAATATAGGACAGGGGCATGCGCTGTCATCGCGGAGGAGAGGTCAGGGTGGGCATCCTACCAGGCTCAGGGCAGCCCCCACAATACAGAAGCATCTGGCCCAAGATGTCAACAGTGCCAAAGCTCAGAAACACCCATCTATAGTCGTCCTCCTGCCAAACAAATTCTCAGTTGTAAGGGATAGTCTTTCCTTTGCTCTGATGTCCTGTTACCTTAAAATCAAATTATTTTATTGGGGTTAAGGAAGCTTTTCACTTTCCATAGATACCTTTCTCTTGAAAAGGAAAAATATAAACATTTCATCTCCAGTGGCAGTCCTTTTGCTTTTTTATACAGTACTCCTTGAATATATCTTCATGCAAGATTTTATAATTTAGAAATAATTCCTAAGTGTTTGGTCACATGACCTGGGTAGGAAGAGAGATTCTTAGACTCCAAAGGTTCAGATGGAGAACAGACAGGCCATTGCATAGTTTATTCAAATTTTTAAGATCACAGGCTAGAACAGGAACACTGAAGACTCCAAGAACCTACTAACAAACTCTTCTGATTATTAGTTTGTATAGGTTTAGGAATTGTCTCTTCTGCTACTTTGCCATGGTGTTAGCTTTCTGTGGAAAAACAAGTTGAATTTAGATTTTTTTTTTGTGTCGCTTGCAAATTAGTATTTTTATTGTTTAGAGACTTGAATCTGTCAGTAAATTCAGTGTAGTTTTAAAACAACAATGAAAAGCTTACCCATAATGAGCATTTACTATGTGCTAGGCAAATTAGTGACATGTACAACCATTTAATTGAACATCACATGATGTAGGTTCTAATGTAATTTCTTTATTGTATATGAAGAAACTGATGCACAGAAGTGCTAGCATCAAATAAGCACATTTGGGGATGATTAAACCTCTAAACATATTTAACATTACAAACAAACGTTTTTGAAAAAGCACAGAGTATTAAAAATAGTCATTATCCAAAATTGATGTAAGTATTCCTTTGTGTCTTTTAAGTATAGCTTTTCATATAAAAGGTAATTCGATTTGTGTTCTAGTGTTTTCCCTTGTTTTTACATACTCTCTGTTTTAAAGATCTAATAGTTACATGTTTAATACTTCCAAAAGTTCTTTGCAAAATGCAAGATCGTTTACATTGCCCATTTTGTTTGTTACTCCTTTATGTCATATTTACAGATCAAACATTCTAGTCAAATTGTGTTTTATTTTGGGAAATTGAGGTAATCTTTTAAAAAGTTGCAGCAACCAAAAAAACCTTCTTCTTTTGCATGAAGGGGTATTGAATGTGACATCCGTATCCAGCTTCCTGTTGTGTCAAAACAACATTGCAAAATTGAAATCCATGAGCAGGAGGTGAGTGGGTTTTTTGAAGATCTACTTTTAAAGCTTTTTAGTTCACTTTTAATCTGTTCATTAGTTACATATTTCCCCTTCTTTTCACTTGCAGGCAATATTACATAATTTCAGTTCCACAAATCCAACACAAGTAAATGGGTCTGTTATTGATGAGCCTGTACGGCTAAAACATGGAGATGTAATAACTATTATTGATCGTTCCTTCAGGTAGGTAAAAGCTGATTGGTCTAACAGTAAATGTCATCTTCTGATTAACCATAAACTAGTGTCAAAGTCAACTGTCATTCTTCTTTAATGTTCATGGATGTCAAAGTATTTCAGGTTTTCATTCTCAACACTAATCTTAATTTAAAAGGATATGGATCTAGGAAGATGACTAATTGGGACAAAATGTGATGGAATTCAAGGATTTGGGTGCAAATAATTATGCAGAGGGAGGTTGACCTTGTCCTAAAGGAGTTTGTTATTTTCTTCCAAGTGTTTTGAAACTGCATGAGATTTTTCTATTCTTTTTTATTTTAAAGCAAAATATACACAGAGAAAAAGGTACAAAACAAGATGGACAGGTCAATTTATCATGTGAACACCCTTTTGATCACCACCTATTATGGACTGATTTGTGCTCTCCCGAAATTCATATTTTGAATTCCTAACCCCTCGTACCTTAGGATGTAACTGTATTTGGAAAGAGGGCATTTAAAAAGGCAATGAAGGCTTTTTGAGCTATTAGTATGGGCCCTAATCTGATGATTGGTGTCATTATAAGTGGAGATTAGGGAACACGTGCACAGAGGAAAGCCCATGAGAAGAGGCAGCAAGAAGGCAGCCATCTTCAAGTCAAGGAGAGAGGCACAGAGAAATCCAATCCAGCTGACACCTTGCTCTTGGACTTCCAGCCTCCAGCACTGAGAAGGGCATGTCTGTTTTTCAAGGCATTCAGTCTGTGGGACTTTATTATGGTGGCCCTAGCAGACTAATACATCCTCAGCTCATATAGAACATTTCCAGAAGCTTTTTAAAAATGCTGTTGTCTAATCACTACTTCATTCCCTCAGCAAGTAAACCACCGTTTTGGCTTTTAGGATATCATAAACGTCTCGAGTTTCACTACCTAAGCATGGATCTCTGAACACGATAGTTTTGTCTGTTCTTATAAAAGTCCTTAACAGTGATACAAGAATGTATACATTTGTGCCTGGCTTGTGCTTTTCTGTGTGTGAGATTCATAGCATGTTGGACATCTCTGTAGTTTGTTCCTTCTCATGGCATAAGTATTTCACTGAAAAAAAAATGTTTAATATATACAATAATATACATAACTATACAGAATTCATTCATTCTTGATGGACATTTGACTAATGTCTAGTCTTTGAAATGTGTCAAGGTTTGCTTTATGAGCAGATATGGCTAATTATCTTACTAATCTGCCTTGTGTAATTGAAAACTGTATTCTACAGTGTCTCATATATATGTAATATATAATTATTATATATATCACTTATATAATATATAATTATAATATATTATATATAATCATATATAATTATAATATAATATATAATATTATATAGTATATACTATATGTTATATAGTAATATATAATATAATAATATATATTATATATACCATATAGTATATACTGTATACAGTATATACTATATGGTATATATAATACATATACAATATATATACAATATATTTATATTATATAATATATAATATATACATATATAATATGTAATATATATACACATATACAGATACACACACTCCCGTTAGATTCAAATCTATAATCTTAGTAAATTTTCCCCTACTATTATTCTAAGAGATATGTTCAAATCACCTACTGAGGATTGATTGATTGATTTGTTTTTATCTCTATCAGTTTTTGCTTTGTATATTTTGAGGCTGTACTATGGTGTACAAACTTAGAATGATGTCTTGGTGCATGGAACTCTGTCATTTAGAGATGTCCTCTGTTTTTAGTAGTGCTTTCTTTTCTGCTTAATGTTTCCTTTGGATGATGAGTATGGTTAAACTAATTTCCTTTTGATGAGTGCTTGTGTAGTATAACTTTTCCACCCCCTTAATTTTAACTTTTCATAATTGTTATGGTTTAAGTTGTCTCTTGGAACCTGTTGTCAGGTGACCTCTTGTGTTTAACTGGAATATCTTCTTGCTGGATTGATCCTTATATAAAATGTCCTTTTTCTCTATGAATAACTTTTGTCTGAGATGATTTTGTCTCATGTTAGTACAGTACTCCAGTTCCCCTCTGCTTGCTGTTTGCATGGTATATCTTTTCCCATGCTTTTATTTTAAAAGATTGTGTCTTTGAATCAAAATTGCGTCTCTTGTAGACAACGTATTAGTTGGGTCATTTAAAAATCCATTCTGCTAAATGAATCTCTGTTATTGTCTTCATTTGTATTAGCTGTTTTTTAATGCACCACTTAAATTCCCTAGTCATTTCTTTTACTGTGCTTCTGGGAAGTTTGCCTTCATTTTTAAAGAGTATTTTTATTGAATACAGACTTCTATGTAGGAAGTTTTTCTTTTTTTCTTTTTCTTTTTGTTTGTTTGTTTGTTTGTTTTTGAGACAGAGTCTTGCTCTGTCACCCAGGCTGGAGTGCAGTGGTGTGATCTTGGCTCACTGCAACCTCCGCCTCCCGGGTTCAAGTGATTCTCATGCCTCAGCCTACCAAGTAGCTGGGATTACAGGCACGCGCCACAACACCCGGCTAATTTTTGCAATTTTTAGTAGAGACGGCGTTTCACCATGATGGCCAGGCTGGTCTTGAACTCTTGGTCTCAAGTGATCCACCTGCTTCAGCCTCCCAAAATGCTGAGATTACAGGCATGAGCCACTGCGCCCGGCCTATAGGTAGGAAGCTTTTGATGTTTATTGGAGGGCTGAACTATTTTTCAAAACAAGATATTATCCAAATTGAGATAAATTCAGATGATTAAAGACATCCAACAAAGATTTGAAAGTGAATCTTAGAAAGAGAGACTTGATTCCAAACTCTCTACCATGAGAAATAATATCAGATGTGTGACTGCTTCAGATCTTACTTAGGTTGCCTATAAATTCAAATCAGGTCATTTCACTGAGGCCAAAAGTTTTCATTATGCAAAATAAAGGATTGCTTCTATGACTTGATCACTGAGGTTTGCCAGGACAATTATGTATCTTGCTAAAGGTGATCTTCTTAAGATGTACCTGTCTTGTTCAGATACAGACTGAATGTGTGGGAAACTGAAGTGATCATAGTGTTCTAAAATATAGGTTTGTAGTTACCCTGTAGTGTAAGTGTAGCTTTTTATTTACCCTGAAGTATGTAACTTCACAACGTGAGAAAGATTCAGTTACCTACAGGCTTCCTGGCTGGCCTTCCAAGCCATCCGATGATTTCCATGGACTTAAACTAGAAGAAACTTGACTTTGCTCTCATGTGCATTAGCTTATGTCATAGAAGGTGCTTGGTAATATTGTCAAATCATACCTGGGCTGTTCGTCAGTGATCAGAAGTTAATCTGGGTCCCCAGCCTCTGACAGTGGTATTTCAAAACAAACTCGATGCAACTAATCCTAGTTTTTAGTGTAAAAGCACTTTTCTAACTCTAAATTTATTTCTTTGTATAAGGTGATGTCTTGAACTAAACCCAAAGTTTGTTCGTTGATCCTTGGACATTAAGTGGATATGGAGACTTCCGCCCCAGGGTATAAATTTTTAATCAGGATCTTTGTCGTTCTATAAACTGCAGGTATGAAAATGAAAGTCTTCAGAATGGAAGGAAGTCAACTGAATTTCCAAGAAAAATACGTGAACAGGTGATAGAAAATATCCAAGTTTGGGCTGATTCGTTTCGATGATATGAAATCATTTATGTATGCTTTAATGATTTCTTACTTGAAATCAGTTACAAAGAGGGTGGTTACTGTTATAGTAGGAAAATGTAACTAAAGTATAAAAACGAGTTGAACTTAGACGTATTAAAATAATCTAAAATGATATTTCCTCTTTATTGTTCAAAATCAGAGCACTAAGTTGGTCTTACACTTTTAGCCAAAAAGTCTATTAGAGCATGTTGCGAGCTTTTTGCAAACCCATGATTAGGATAACCCCAACACGTAGAGCTAACATTTGGGAATTGCATTATCTGGTGGCTCATTTTGTCGCCCAGTCATTGTACTCATCCGTCTTTATGTGTCTGAAATAATCACATTATGAAAATCATGAGTGCCAAAGATGCTTCTCTATTTTGATAGATAGACGACCCATGAAACAGGAAAAGGGATCCTGTGCTTTGTCTTGTGAGAGAATCCTATAGTTTGAGTGTATCAGTGTGGAACAGGTATTCCAATTGTACAGCTTATGAAAACATAATTGTCGACACGTGCTTCGCAATTTAGATAGTTTGAGTATATCAGTGTGGAAGAGGTATTTTAGTTGTACAGCTTATTAAAACACAGTTGTCGGCATGTGCTTGGAAATTTAGTGGGATTTAGGCTTAGGATGAGCCCTGAGAATTCATATTTTTCCTACATTTTAGAGTGCTCCTAAAGCTAGTTTCAGATGAGCTCCTTGGAATATCTTGGCTTAGGAGAGTTATCTTAGGTGCACCTGAAATTAGCAGTAGGTACTCTTGAATTTCAACATTTCTGCCTTTTTTTTTTTTTTTTTTTCTGAGACGGAGTCTCACTCCGTCACCCAGGCTGGAGTGCAGTGGTGCGATCTTGGCTCACTGCAACCTCCGCCTCCTGGGTTCAAGCAATTCTCCTGCCTCAGCCTCCCGAGTAGCTGGGACTACAGGTGCACACCACCATGCCTGGCTAATTTTTGTATTTTTAGTAGAGACAGGGTTTCACCATATTGACCAGGCTGGTCTTGAACTCCTAACCTCGTGATCCACCCACCTGGGCCTCCCAAAGTGCTGGGATTACAGGCTTGAGCCACCATGCCCAGTCCATTTCTGCCATTTAAGTACTGCCTTCTTCCCTAGAGGAGCAGCCTTAATGTTGAATCTGATGGTCATCAGTTCCCGTGCTGGAAGCCAGTTTCTGAGGCATCCCACACTGTAGCCACCAGGCAACTTGCTAGTCTATGGGAGTAAATAAACCAAAAAGCCAGTTGAACTGTGGGTTAGATATGTGCCACTCAGCAGTCTAGGAACTGTTTGTTCTGTTACTGGTCTGTGATATAGTGAGTACTGAAATGGAGTATGTAGTAAATATGACAGCAATTCGACAGCAATTTTGTGGCTATTGAATGTAATCGTACAACAAAAGTGAGATTATATACTTTACATATTCATAATTTTATTAGTGGTTCATTTATATTGTTTAGTCATAAGATTCTTGTTCCACTTCAGATTGGAAATAAAAAACCATCCCTCACATAGATAGTTTTAGAAGCAAGGTGTTACGTATCAAGAAACCTAAAATTGATTAAGGAAGTTAGATTCTTTGCCTTTGTTAATATTTTTTAGATATTTTCTTAATAATCCAGATGATAAGCTTTTCTTCCTTTGGGGCATCAGACTTTTATAAAAGTTATATATATATGTTATTCTTTAGTTCTTCCACCCTTCCGGAAATAATTCCATATGAAGGAAAGTTAGGGCGCTGTCTCTGGGGAGCCAGGTGGGGGCGCTGCGCCTGCTCCCAGGCTGTGAGGTTGCAGAATCTGTGAATATACCATGTGTGCCTGTACCATGAATTTACCTAGGGTGAATCTAGGCTCTCAGATCCACCCTAAGTATCCACCAGCCAAGAGGGCGCACATGCCAAGTGGAGCCTCAGTTCATCGACAGGTCCTATGGCCCATTTATGAGAAAACTGATGACGCAGTCAGTAGTTCTGAGCTCGTGGGGGGTTACAGATCTTCAGTATAGGTGATGTTTAATATTGACTTTGGTTCTTCCGCAATAGGATGTTGGGAAATATCTTTAAAGGAAGTTATAAAAACACACCGAGGTTTGATTTTAGTAATTTTAAGCCTCGAATTTGTTTCCTATTAATCACTCACTATTTTTTAATGAGTCAGCTAATAAGTACTTTTATCCTGACCACTAGCTCCCAACTGACTTGAGCTCATTTCTCAAACAGTCTTTAAAAGTCATATACGAGTGGTTTGGTAAAGAAAACAATTTTTTATTGTTTTTATTTTTATTTTTTGAGACAGAGTCTCGCTTTATTGCCCAGGCTAGAGTGCAGTGGTGCAATCTCTGCTCACTGCAACCTCTGCCTCCCGGGTTCCAGCAATTCTCCTGCCTCGGCCACCTGAGTAGCTGGGACTACAGGCACCTGCCACCACATCCAGCTAATGTTTGTATTTGCAGTAGAGATGAGGTTACATCATGTTGGCCAGGCTGTTCTCAAACTCCTGACCTCAAGTGATCCGCCCACCTTGGCCTCCCAAAGTGCTGGGATTACAGGCATGAGCCATCATGCCCAGCCAGAAAACAATAAATAATATTTTCACTGTTGTGACTGTCATCATTTAGAAAGACCTGCAAATAACTGTTCTTATTTTCCCAACTTACAGGAGCCAGCACGTCGTGTCTCAAGATCTAGCTTCTCTTCTGACCCTGGTGAGTAGTGGTTGGGTTTTGTTCCAGAATCCTGAAAGATCAGGTCTTTGCGAAGCATATTGGCAAAGAAGGGGCAACAAGAATGCAAGTGCTAAATGTCTAGCCTGTCAGAAATGGAGGAGGTGTCATTTAACATGTCAACGACAGACAGATGCCTAACTTTCCCTTGGTGACTGATGGTATGCTATGCTTAGGAGAGACTCTAGATATGAGAAAATTGCCTGTTCAGCTGTCAACTCAGTTCTCAGTAGTTAGATAGCATGTGCTATTTCATACTGGTTATTGGAGCTGATATGATTTATATATTTGTATCATAATACTAGTATCATAAGACTTGCAAGTTTTAGGCATTAAATAATTTGTAGGCCAAGTAAAAGCTAGCTTATAAGACAACCTGAAACAATTAAAATATTGAATTCCACAAATGTTAATCATTGAGAAAATGCTGAACTTCTGTTTCTTATTTCATAATTCATTGCCAAGATGAGAAAGCTCAAGATTCCAAGGCCTATTCAAAAATCACTGAAGGAAAAGTTTCAGGAAATCCTCAGGTACATATCAAGAATGTCAAAGAAGACAGTACCGCAGATGACTCAAAAGACAGTGTTGCTCAGGGAACAACTAATGTTCATTCCTCAGAACATGCTGGACGTAATGGCAGAAATGCAGCTGATCCCATTTCTGGGGATTTTAAAGAAATTTCCAGCGTTAAATTAGTGAGCCGTTATGGAGAATTGAAGTCTGTTCCCACTACACAATGTCTTGACAATAGCAAAAAAAATGAATCTCCCTTTTGGAAGCTTTATGAGTCAGTGAAGAAAGAGTTGGATGTAAAATCACAAAAAGAAAATGTCCTACAGTATTGTAGAAAATCTGGATTACAAACTGATTACGCAACAGAGAAAGAAAGTGCTGATGGTTTACAGGGGGAGACCCAACTGTTGGTCTCGCGTAAGTCAAGACCAAAATCTGGTGGGAGCGGCCACGCTGTGGCAGAGCCTGCTTCACCTGAACAAGAGCTTGACCAGAACAAGGGGAAGGGAAGAGACGTGGAGTCTGTTCAGACTCCCAGCAAGGCTGTGGGCGCCAGCTTTCCTCTCTATGAGCCGGCTAAAATGAAGACCCCTGTACAATATTCACAGCAACAAAATTCTCCACAAAAACATAAGAACAAAGACCTGTATACTACTGGTAGAAGAGAATCTGTGAATCTGGGTAAAAGTGAAGGCTTCAAGGCTGGTGATAAAACTCTTACTCCCAGGAAGCTTTCAACTAGAAATCGAACACCAGCTAAAGTTGAAGATGCAGCTGACTCTGCCACTAAGCCAGAAAATCTCTCTTCCAAAACCAGAGGAAGTATTCCTACAGATGTGGAAGTTCTGCCTACGGAAACTGAAATTCACAATGAGCCATTTTTAACTCTGTGGCTCACTCAAGTTGAGAGGAAGATCCAAAAGGATTCCCTCAGCAAGCCTGAGAAATTGGGCACTACAGCTGGACAGATGTGCTCTGGGTTACCTGGTCTTAGTTCAGTTGATATCAACAACTTTGGTGATTCCATTAGTAAGTTTATTTAATTGTAAATTTATTTTTCTAAAAGATGAACACCTTCTATGTAGCTGTGAGACCTTCATTCTTTCAGTAGTGATTAGCTTTGTGGAAGAGAATGTAAGCACATAAGGCACAGGGATAAGACAGACACGCACGCTGTTTTCGCTAATAGATGAATACTGAAGGCCTAGGTAATTGTAACAAGGAATGACAGAAGAGATGGAAGTTGTCAGGCAATCATGAAGCAGGGGTTATTGAAGGAGATAGGGTGGCCCCAAAAATATTTGATTCTCCTCCATCTATCACAAAATAGAAAAGAGAATAATCATAATTGCTTTTCACATGGAGTTTAATTCTGAACTACAATCAACTGTATCATATGAGTTTGGTCATGTGGAATAAATCACTGGTAATCATTAAACATAGCGGTAGTTCTCAGGTGTTGATACTCTGTTTTCAGAGTGTCCTACAAACAATTTGCTGTAAACACTGGACTGTACCCATGAGTCCATATGCCACATGAACACTTGATCCTTGGTGCAATAGCAGTGCCCGTGGCTAGGTTGTCTTTTTAGAGCTATGTCACACATGAGGAAACGCACAACCCAAGGCCAGTCAGGAAGTGGCAGAGGTAGGACCTTTATAGCAGGTGTGGTAGCTCCTCGGGAGCTTCCTACACTCCTAGGGACTGGCTATTAGAAGAAAAGTTGTCTGGGCCACAGACGCAGTATTCGTACTCCAGGCTGTGTTTCTGCAGGTGGCCTATAGCGGTGGGGCATGAGGCTGTCGATAAAATAAGGTTTGTAACATCAGTCTCAGTATTCCACCAAGCTTCCTAGTGGGGAAGCATCACTTAGGCAAGGGATTTACATTAACTGGTGGCTCAGGAAAATGTGTGGCCGGGACTGGGCTCCTGTGAATTGACTCAGAACCACCTGGAGGAGTTTTTACAGCTCATGCATTCTGGTCACTGGGTGGCTCAGGCTGAGACCCAAGTGCATGTCTTTAGAGAGTTCTCTGGCTGTCGTCCCCCTACTCTAAGGTGAAATCTGCTGCTGCAGACTCCTCCTTTCTATGTCCACACATAATGTTTCAATGTTTTAAAGAAAGCCTCTGTACTGTCCAGTGGCAACTTGACGTCTTAGTGGCCACTCCCGCAATCCTTTAGGAACTCTTAGTAGCTTAGCTTCACCAGGATTGCAAGAATAGAGGCGTGCTGTAGGTACTGTGTTTCGATGACTTTTCACTTGGTTTGTCTTTAATGCTAACGTGAAATAAATCACTAGTCTTGGTATGTTTTTTCATTGCTCTTTCCACATTTGTATCCGTTACTTTAGATGAGAGTGAGGGAATACCTTTGAAAAGAAGGCGTGTGTCCTTTGGTGGGCACCTAAGACCTGAACTATTTGATGAAAACTTGCCTCCTAATACGCCTCTCAAAAGGGGAGAAGCCCCAACCAAAAGAAAGTCTCTGGTAATGCACACTCCACCTGTCCTGAAGAAAATCATCAAGGTGAGTTGAACAAGCAGCATCCCATTCACGCCCAGTGGCTCACACACCGGGTACCTATTCCTTTCCAAATACTGACACAAGTAGAATTATGATGAAGACCTTTATTTATTTATTAAAGAAACAAGTTTTTAAAAAGACGAATGAAAGCTCATTGATGTGGGCACCAGCAAAGGAGCCCCTGGGTCCCTGACCGTGGTGCTGATGCGACCGAGTCGGGGGAGTCCTTGATGTTGTCCTTTTCGTGCAGAAGTTCCCAGACACCCACGCTTACAGCACTGCGTAATCACCTGCAGGCACCGTCAGAATAGCCAATTACAAAGATTCTGGATACATTACCACGTCGACCCATAAGGATTGTTTTATTTTCTTTTAGAGTTACAAGGCTATAGTTAAGGCATTTACCTGGTGTGAAGGAAAATCAATGGCACATCTTCCTTTTACACCTTCAGCTCTTTAGAATATTTGCTTGCCTGTTCCTTTGCTGTGTTGTCCTTCCTGGGTTTCACACCTCTGGGAAGTCATGGCCCTATAGCTCATAACCTTTGTAATAGGGCCTGGGCGGTCTTTCTTTCCTTCTCTTCCCAGCAGGAGTGGAAAGTGATGTCTGGCTCCCTTTCCATTTTACACTGGCTCCCAGGGGCAAGCAGTCCTCCCTCCATGTGGACTGCCGGGGGCTGGGTGCTCACAGCTGGTATTTACTGGGACTGAGATCAGACCCTGCTTGTCTTTCACTGATCAGGATGTTCCTTCCACCTTTTTACCTGAAATGACCTCACTTCAGACTTGGCTTGCTTCTCTTTCCTTTTCCTTAAATGACTGAGACAGTCTCACCTCTACCATAGTCTTCAAAGACAGTGGCTTAAGCATTTGATGCTTCAAGATTTAAACAGCTGAAATTCTTAACTGAATAGGTTTTTATCAGTCATTCCAGAGATGTTAGATCCTTGTTAAGGCTTCTTGTAAACAATTTTGTCTTGTCAGGAACAGCCTCAACCATCAGGAAAACAAGAGTCAGGTTCAGAAATCCATGTGGAAGTGAAGGCACAAAGCTTGGTTATAAGCCCTCCAGCTCCTAGTCCTAGGAAAACTCCAGTTGCCAGTGATCAACGCCGTAGGTCCTGCAAAACAGCCCCTGCTTCCAGCAGCAAATCTCAGACAGAGGTTCCTAAGAGAGGAGGGAGAAAGAGTGGCAACCTGCCTTCAAAGAGAGTGTCTATCAGCCGAAGTCAACATGATATTTTACAGATGATATGTTCCAAAAGAAGAAGTGGTGCTTCGGAAGCAAATCTGATTGGTTAGTCTGACATTAGAATACATATATTAAGGTGAATTTTTTCATGAATGCTAATTTTTGAAAAGTTTCGTCTTTTCCCTTTGACAGTTGCAAAATCATGGGCAGATGTAGTAAAACTTGGTGCAAAACAAACACAAACTAAAGTCATAAAACATGGTCCTCAAAGGTCAATGAACAAAAGGCAAAGAAGACCTGCTACTCCAAAGGTAGGGGCCTCACTGAATGGCTGCTTTACACATACCGGTGTCATCGAAGCTTGCATTCAGTGTGGATTTATGCTTTAATGTCCTGTTTACCTCCTTCCTGTTTTCTACAGAAGCCTGTGGGCGAAGTTCACAGTCAATTTAGTACAGGCCACGCAAACTCTCCTTGTACCATAATAATAGGGAAAGCTCATACTGAAAAAGTACATGTGCCTGCTCGACCCTACAGAGTGCTCAACAACTTCATTTCCAACCAAAAAATGGACTTTAAGGAAGATCTTTCAGGTAAAAACGTAGTCTTAGATCTTATAAATCTTTTGACTCTACTGTTTTTTACTGTGTTAATGTTTGTTTTGCTAACTTTGTTTATCTGCTGTGAAAGAGATTATAAAATAAACGACTCAATCACCCTTCTGGGGTCTTAGTGTTCAGGGAAGATAAAGCTGTTTTGGCTTGCAAAGACAAGTCTCTGCTAATTTTTGGGATCACATGTCCTGCATGAAATAGGTGTGGAAATGTCAAATGCATGTCTTTACCCTGGAGAGCAGCGTATACATAGAAAGCTGGAAGGTGCTTTACAGTGAAGAGAGTTAACTTGTTAATCTGCAGGTACAATAATAGTTTATCCCAGGTGTGGGCCAGTTGTTGTTGAGCAACATTTTGCTTCTTCAGGATTGACTTTCTAGGTAGCTTAACTTTCTTGAAAGAAAGCCCTATGAGAAGATTCCCATAAACGATTGTTGAAGAAATATTTCCATTCAATTCCCACTCTCAGTAAATTGTGGCCTGACTTGTGTAATTTAAAGTGGGGATGGCCGGCGCAGTGGCTCACGCCTGTAATCCCAACACTTTGGGAGGCTGAGGCCTCCTATCATTCCAAACAGAATGATAATGATATTAGATTTTCAAAAATATATATTATTACTTGACAGTACTAAAAATGGGCAGCTCTTTGTCATTTTCTAAAATGTGGGTACGTGTTATTTGTACTTAAAATCTAGAACTGAGCACCCAAGACTTTGAGAAGCATGAAGGCATTTGGCCTCTAGATCCTAGCAGGGAGGCCTATGGGTCTCAGGAGCCCGTCACCAGCCTCCGTGCTCCAGAGCTCACGTGTGGGGTCTTGTTAGGAGGACCCAGAGGTCAGCTAACTTCATTTGTTTCCTTTCCAAGAAAAGCAAAGCGAAGAGCATAACATATCTTCTCTGTGCTCTCTTTTTTACAAAATGAGTACATTATTAATGGAATCACTCTTTTTATGAGGCCTATGTACCAGGATTTCAAGGGAGGAATCTACTGTTATTTCCCACCATTTGCACGTTACATGTGAGGGCTGGGATGGTTGTCTGCATGTTAGCAATATGTCAATCACTTTTCAAATATTTTCATTTAACAGGAATAGCTGAAATGTTCAAGACCCCAGTGAAGGAGCAACCGCAGTTGACAAGCACATGTCACATCGCTATTTCAAATTCAGAGAATTTGCTTGGAAAACAGTTTCAAGGAACTGATTCAGGAGAAGAACCTCTGCTCCCCACCTCAGAGAGTTTTGGTTGGTTTCCTTGTTTCCTAACACTGTGATGTTTTGGGATAGGAACATACAGTATTATTTTTTTACAAGCAGTATGATATTACTTCTCTAAAACAAATGTTCCTGGCACAAAATACCATTTCCGTCTTCTCTGTTCTAATTGAAAGGGAGATTTCAATCAGCAGTTGAACTAACATTGGCATTCATTGACTTATATAGAAAGAAAGACTCCGTTAATGTGTGTAAATGACCTGTGTACACTTTTGGCTTCTTTATTGTAAGTAACCAGGGTGACATAGCAAAAAAATACAATGGTGTCTCACCATATTTACATATAAATTACTCATATTCAAAATTACTGCCAATTACAAAACAGAAAGATAACAGTTTGTATACTGTGCAATTATTCCTGCTAACCTTTTAGGTGGGAGCAGGCCCGGGGTAAGTGTGAGATGGGAGATGAGAATCTGTCTAATCTCTCATTTGGCACTGGTCACTGTATTCCTGTCACAGAGGGAACAGCTTGCTACCCTGAAGATGTTTGCGGTAGGTAAATATTTCCTGTGTAATATGGACCCTAACCACATAAGGATAATCCATGTTATTTTATTGGCGATTTAAGGCAAGAAACAGCTGTTTGTTTCTAATGTTTGAAGGAAAAAATGCCTATATTTACGTCAATGACACAGGGCATGGCAACCTTTGGAGGAACCTTCTGAAGCAGTATTTTTACCTTCTATGATCATTTCAGCATCTAACTTTGCTTAATGATGACCCCACTATAGCACCAAATAACATTATTCTTAATTGTGCATGGCTCTTATAAGACAGATTTATAGACACATAAGTAGCCTCATGTCGTTCAGTGAATACGAAGCTAAATATTTAGTTTTTTACCATATTTTATGAGGCTGTAATACTCGATTGACATGAGACACTAATAGAATGTTTTTATTGTGTATGTTTTTATTTCAGGAGGAAATGTGTTCTTCAGTGCACAGAATGCAGCAAAACAGCCATCTGATAAATGCTCTGCAAGCCCTCCCTTAAGACGGCAGTGTATTAGAGAAAATGGAAACGTAGCAAAAACGCCCAGGAACACCTACAAAATGACTTCTCTGGAGACAAAAACTTCAGATACTGAGACAGAGCCTTCAAAAACAGTATCCACTGCAAACAGGTCAGGAAGGTCTACAGAGTTCAGGAATATACAGAAGCTACCTGTGGAAAGTAAGAGTGAAGAAACAAATACAGAAATTGTTGAGTGCATCCTAAAAAGAGGTCAGAAGGCAACACTACTACAACAAAGGAGAGAAGGAGAGATGAAGGAAATAGAAAGACCTTTTGAGACATATAAGGAAAATATTGAATTAAAAGAAAACGATGAAAAGATGAAAGCAATGAAGAGATCAAGAACTTGGGGGCAGAAATGTGCACCAATGTCTGACCTGACAGACCTCAAGAGCTTGCCTGATACAGAACTCATGAAAGACACGGCACGTGGCCAGAATCTCCTCCAAACCCAAGATCATGCCAAGGCACCAAAGAGTGAGAAAGGCAAAATCACTAAAATGCCCTGCCAGTCATTACAACCAGAACCAATAAACACCCCAACACACACAAAACAACAGTTGAAGGCATCCCTGGGGAAAGTAGGTGTGAAAGAAGAGCTCCTAGCAGTCGGCAAGTTCACACGGACGTCAGGGGAGACCACGCACACGCACAGAGAGCCAGCAGGAGATGGCAAGAGCATCAGAACGTTTAAGGAGTCTCCAAAGCAGATCCTGGACCCAGCAGCCCGTGTAACTGGAATGAAGAAGTGGCCAAGAACGCCTAAGGAAGAGGCCCAGTCACTAGAAGACCTGGCTGGCTTCAAAGAGCTCTTCCAGACACCAGGTCCCTCTGAGGAATCAATGACTGATGAGAAAACTACCAAAATAGCCTGCAAATCTCCACCACCAGAATCAGTGGACACTCCAACAAGCACAAAGCAATGGCCTAAGAGAAGTCTCAGGAAAGCAGATGTAGAGGAAGAATTCTTAGCACTCAGGAAACTAACACCATCAGCAGGGAAAGCCATGCTTACGCCCAAACCAGCAGGAGGTGATGAGAAAGACATTAAAGCATTTATGGGAACTCCAGTGCAGAAACTGGACCTGGCAGGAACTTTACCTGGCAGCAAAAGACAGCTACAGACTCCTAAGGAAAAGGCCCAGGCTCTAGAAGACCTGGCTGGCTTTAAAGAGCTCTTCCAGACTCCTGGTCACACCGAGGAATTAGTGGCTGCTGGTAAAACCACTAAAATACCCTGCGACTCTCCACAGTCAGACCCAGTGGACACCCCAACAAGCACAAAGCAACGACCCAAGAGAAGTATCAGGAAAGCAGATGTAGAGGGAGAACTCTTAGCGTGCAGGAATCTAATGCCATCAGCAGGCAAAGCCATGCACACGCCTAAACCATCAGTAGGTGAAGAGAAAGACATCATCATATTTGTGGGAACTCCAGTGCAGAAACTGGACCTGACAGAGAACTTAACCGGCAGCAAGAGACGGCCACAAACTCCTAAGGAAGAGGCCCAGGCTCTGGAAGACCTGACTGGCTTTAAAGAGCTCTTCCAGACCCCTGGTCATACTGAAGAAGCAGTGGCTGCTGGCAAAACTACTAAAATGCCCTGCGAATCTTCTCCACCAGAATCAGCAGACACCCCAACAAGCACAAGAAGGCAGCCCAAGACACCTTTGGAGAAAAGGGACGTACAGAAGGAGCTCTCAGCCCTGAAGAAGCTCACACAGACATCAGGGGAAACCACACACACAGATAAAGTACCAGGAGGTGAGGATAAAAGCATCAACGCGTTTAGGGAAACTGCAAAACAGAAACTGGACCCAGCAGCAAGTGTAACTGGTAGCAAGAGGCACCCAAAAACTAAGGAAAAGGCCCAACCCCTAGAAGACCTGGCTGGCTTGAAAGAGCTCTTCCAGACACCAGTATGCACTGACAAGCCCACGACTCACGAGAAAACTACCAAAATAGCCTGCAGATCACAACCAGACCCAGTGGACACACCAACAAGCTCCAAGCCACAGTCCAAGAGAAGTCTCAGGAAAGTGGACGTAGAAGAAGAATTCTTCGCACTCAGGAAACGAACACCATCAGCAGGCAAAGCCATGCACACACCCAAACCAGCAGTAAGTGGTGAGAAAAACATCTACGCATTTATGGGAACTCCAGTGCAGAAACTGGACCTGACAGAGAACTTAACTGGCAGCAAGAGACGGCTACAAACTCCTAAGGAAAAGGCCCAGGCTCTAGAAGACCTGGCTGGCTTTAAAGAGCTCTTCCAGACACGAGGTCACACTGAGGAATCAATGACTAACGATAAAACTGCCAAAGTAGCCTGCAAATCTTCACAACCAGACCCAGACAAAAACCCAGCAAGCTCCAAGCGACGGCTCAAGACATCCCTGGGGAAAGTGGGCGTGAAAGAAGAGCTCCTAGCAGTTGGCAAGCTCACACAGACATCAGGAGAGACTACACACACACACACAGAGCCAACAGGAGATGGTAAGAGCATGAAAGCATTTATGGAGTCTCCAAAGCAGATCTTAGACTCAGCAGCAAGTCTAACTGGCAGCAAGAGGCAGCTGAGAACTCCTAAGGGAAAGTCTGAAGTCCCTGAAGACCTGGCCGGCTTCATCGAGCTCTTCCAGACACCAAGTCACACTAAGGAATCAATGACTAACGAAAAAACTACCAAAGTATCCTACAGAGCTTCACAGCCAGACCTAGTGGACACCCCAACAAGCTCCAAGCCACAGCCCAAGAGAAGTCTCAGGAAAGCAGACACTGAAGAAGAATTTTTAGCATTTAGGAAACAAACGCCATCAGCAGGCAAAGCCATGCACACACCCAAACCAGCAGTAGGTGAAGAGAAAGACATCAACACGTTTTTGGGAACTCCAGTGCAGAAACTGGACCAGCCAGGAAATTTACCTGGCAGCAATAGACGGCTACAAACTCGTAAGGAAAAGGCCCAGGCTCTAGAAGAACTGACTGGCTTCAGAGAGCTTTTCCAGACACCATGCACTGATAACCCCACGACTGATGAGAAAACTACCAAAAAAATACTCTGCAAATCTCCGCAATCAGACCCAGCGGACACCCCAACAAACACAAAGCAACGGCCCAAGAGAAGCCTCAAGAAAGCAGACGTAGAGGAAGAATTTTTAGCATTCAGGAAACTAACACCATCAGCAGGCAAAGCCATGCACACGCCTAAAGCAGCAGTAGGTGAAGAGAAAGACATCAACACATTTGTGGGGACTCCAGTGGAGAAACTGGACCTGCTAGGAAATTTACCTGGCAGCAAGAGACGGCCACAAACTCCTAAAGAAAAGGCCAAGGCTCTAGAAGATCTGGCTGGCTTCAAAGAGCTCTTCCAGACACCAGGTCACACTGAGGAATCAATGACCGATGACAAAATCACAGAAGTATCCTGCAAATCTCCACAACCAGACCCAGTCAAAACCCCAACAAGCTCCAAGCAACGACTCAAGATATCCTTGGGGAAAGTAGGTGTGAAAGAAGAGGTCCTACCAGTCGGCAAGCTCACACAGACGTCAGGGAAGACCACACAGACACACAGAGAGACAGCAGGAGATGGAAAGAGCATCAAAGCGTTTAAGGAATCTGCAAAGCAGATGCTGGACCCAGCAAACTATGGAACTGGGATGGAGAGGTGGCCAAGAACACCTAAGGAAGAGGCCCAATCACTAGAAGACCTGGCCGGCTTCAAAGAGCTCTTCCAGACACCAGACCACACTGAGGAATCAACAACTGATGACAAAACTACCAAAATAGCCTGCAAATCTCCACCACCAGAATCAATGGACACTCCAACAAGCACAAGGAGGCGGCCCAAAACACCTTTGGGGAAAAGGGATATAGTGGAAGAGCTCTCAGCCCTGAAGCAGCTCACACAGACCACACACACAGACAAAGTACCAGGAGATGAGGATAAAGGCATCAACGTGTTCAGGGAAACTGCAAAACAGAAACTGGACCCAGCAGCAAGTGTAACTGGTAGCAAGAGGCAGCCAAGAACTCCTAAGGGAAAAGCCCAACCCCTAGAAGACTTGGCTGGCTTGAAAGAGCTCTTCCAGACACCAATATGCACTGACAAGCCCACGACTCATGAGAAAACTACCAAAATAGCCTGCAGATCTCCACAACCAGACCCAGTGGGTACCCCAACAATCTTCAAGCCACAGTCCAAGAGAAGTCTCAGGAAAGCAGACGTAGAGGAAGAATCCTTAGCACTCAGGAAACGAACACCATCAGTAGGGAAAGCTATGGACACACCCAAACCAGCAGGAGGTGATGAGAAAGACATGAAAGCATTTATGGGAACTCCAGTGCAGAAATTGGACCTGCCAGGAAATTTACCTGGCAGCAAAAGATGGCCACAAACTCCTAAGGAAAAGGCCCAGGCTCTAGAAGACCTGGCTGGCTTCAAAGAGCTCTTCCAGACACCAGGCACTGACAAGCCCACGACTGATGAGAAAACTACCAAAATAGCCTGCAAATCTCCACAACCAGACCCAGTGGACACCCCAGCAAGCACAAAGCAACGGCCCAAGAGAAACCTCAGGAAAGCAGACGTAGAGGAAGAATTTTTAGCACTCAGGAAACGAACACCATCAGCAGGCAAAGCCATGGACACACCAAAACCAGCAGTAAGTGATGAGAAAAATATCAACACATTTGTGGAAACTCCAGTGCAGAAACTGGACCTGCTAGGAAATTTACCTGGCAGCAAGAGACAGCCACAGACTCCTAAGGAAAAGGCTGAGGCTCTAGAGGACCTGGTTGGCTTCAAAGAACTCTTCCAGACACCAGGTCACACTGAGGAATCAATGACTGATGACAAAATCACAGAAGTATCCTGTAAATCTCCACAGCCAGAGTCATTCAAAACCTCAAGAAGCTCCAAGCAAAGGCTCAAGATACCCCTGGTGAAAGTGGACATGAAAGAAGAGCCCCTAGCAGTCAGCAAGCTCACACGGACATCAGGGGAGACTACGCAAACACACACAGAGCCAACAGGAGATAGTAAGAGCATCAAAGCGTTTAAGGAGTCTCCAAAGCAGATCCTGGACCCAGCAGCAAGTGTAACTGGTAGCAGGAGGCAGCTGAGAACTCGTAAGGAAAAGGCCCGTGCTCTAGAAGACCTGGTTGACTTCAAAGAGCTCTTCTCAGCACCAGGTCACACTGAAGAGTCAATGACTATTGACAAAAACACAAAAATTCCCTGCAAATCTCCCCCACCAGAACTAACAGACACTGCCACGAGCACAAAGAGATGCCCCAAGACACGTCCCAGGAAAGAAGTAAAAGAGGAGCTCTCAGCAGTTGAGAGGCTCACGCAAACATCAGGGCAAAGCACACACACACACAAAGAACCAGCAAGCGGTGATGAGGGCATCAAAGTATTGAAGCAACGTGCAAAGAAGAAACCAAACCCAGTAGAAGAGGAACCCAGCAGGAGAAGGCCAAGAGCACCTAAGGAAAAGGCCCAACCCCTGGAAGACCTGGCCGGCTTCACAGAGCTCTCTGAAACATCAGGTCACACTCAGGAATCACTGACTGCTGGCAAAGCCACTAAAATACCCTGCGAATCTCCCCCACTAGAAGTGGTAGACACCACAGCAAGCACAAAGAGGCATCTCAGGACACGTGTGCAGAAGGTACAAGTAAAAGAAGAGCCTTCAGCAGTCAAGTTCACACAAACATCAGGGGAAACCACGGATGCAGACAAAGAACCAGCAGGTGAAGATAAAGGCATCAAAGCATTGAAGGAATCTGCAAAACAGACACCGGCTCCAGCAGCAAGTGTAACTGGCAGCAGGAGACGGCCAAGAGCACCCAGGGAAAGTGCCCAAGCCATAGAAGACCTAGCTGGCTTCAAAGACCCAGCAGCAGGTCACACTGAAGAATCAATGACTGATGACAAAACCACTAAAATACCCTGCAAATCATCACCAGAACTAGAAGACACCGCAACAAGCTCAAAGAGACGGCCCAGGACACGTGCCCAGAAAGTAGAAGTGAAGGAGGAGCTGTTAGCAGTTGGCAAGCTCACACAAACCTCAGGGGAGACCACGCACACCGACAAAGAGCCGGTAGGTGAGGGCAAAGGCACGAAAGCATTTAAGCAACCTGCAAAGCGGAAGCTGGACGCAGAAGATGTAATTGGCAGCAGGAGACAGCCAAGAGCACCTAAGGAAAAGGCCCAACCCCTGGAAGATCTGGCCAGCTTCCAAGAGCTCTCTCAAACACCAGGCCACACTGAGGAACTGGCAAATGGTGCTGCTGATAGCTTTACAAGCGCTCCAAAGCAAACACCTGACAGTGGAAAACCTCTAAAAATATCCAGAAGAGTTCTTCGGGCCCCTAAAGTAGAACCCGTGGGAGACGTGGTAAGCACCAGAGACCCTGTAAAATCACAAAGCAAAAGCAACACTTCCCTGCCCCCACTGCCCTTCAAGAGGGGAGGTGGCAAAGATGGAAGCGTCACGGGAACCAAGAGGCTGCGCTGCATGCCAGCACCAGAGGAAATTGTGGAGGAGCTGCCAGCCAGCAAGAAGCAGAGGGTTGCTCCCAGGGCAAGAGGCAAATCATCCGAACCCGTGGTCATCATGAAGAGAAGTTTGAGGACTTCTGCAAAAAGAATTGAACCTGCGGAAGAGCTGAACAGCAACGACATGAAAACCAACAAAGAGGAACACAAATTACAAGACTCGGTCCCTGAAAATAAGGTGAGAGGAAGTATTACAGCATCACTCAATATCGTCTTGGATAGTTGTGAATTTCTGTGTTATACTTTGCATGTAACCTGACGTTATAAGTGGTTATCCTTTCCCCAGAGGGTTTCCTTTAACACTGAATAACTGCAGGCCATGGTAAAGAATCTTCTTGGGACCTATAGAGGGAATAGACTAATATGGGAAAAGAACTAGTCAAACATGATTAATGCAAACTTAGAAGAGTTTCTCAAAAGCCAAATGAGTAATGTTCATCTTCAAATGTTTAAAAAATTGATCAGAGGATAGGTGGGTGGTTCAGTTCTATGTTCTGGATACTGTCACCAAGACCAGGACTGGGTTAAAAATCCTATCTATGTCACTATTTTAACTATCAGAACAATATCAATAAGGAATGTGTATTCTTGAGAAGGGGAAACTGTCTGGACTGTTAGATAGAGAGGCTCCCACTGCATGCAGAGAAGTTTGGGGAAACTCCAGAAATGGCAATTTCCTGTTCTGCCTTAGCAGTGATGGTTAAAGGAATAGGAATTCATTTACTCCCTGTAAATGAATGAATAACGGACCTTCTTTCTATAATGTAAACTGTAAAAATTAGATTTGATATATATCTTATTAGGCATTGTTATTGAAATTTATCCTGAATTCCTTATTTATAATTTGTCAGCAGAGACAGTCATTTCTCCATAGGAGCAAAGTACCAAGGCATTACCTTGACTATCCTAGATGACAAGTCTCTTAGACAATTCATCAGTGTGTGATTTTCAAATGATTTCTCCTTTTAGGTTACTGTTGATTGTGCTCCCTGTTGAATTTTGAAGTTTGTTTTACTAATTATTGGAATTTTGTGGATGTCTTCTCATTTCTTTAGGGAATATCCCTGCGCTCCAGACGCCAAAATAAGACTGAGGCAGAACAGCAAATAACTGAGGTCTTTGTATTAGCAGAAAGAATAGAAATAAACAGAAATGAAAAGAAGCCCATGAAGACCTCCCCAGAGATGGACATTCAGAATCCAGATGATGGAGCCCGGAAACCCATACCTAGAGACAAAGTCACTGAGAACAAAAGGTGCTTGAGGTCTGCTAGACAGAATGAGAGCTCCCAGCCTAAGGTGGCAGAGGAGAGCGGAGGGCAGAAGAGTGCGAAGGTTCTCATGCAGAATCAGAAAGGGAAAGGAGAAGCAGGAAATTCAGACTCCATGTGCCTGAGATCAAGAAAGACAAAAAGCCAGCCTGCAGCAAGCACTTTGGAGAGCAAATCTGTGCAGAGAGTAACGCGGAGTGTCAAGAGGTGTGCAGAAAATCCAAAGAAGGTAAGCCATTTACTGTTTCCCTGTTTTAAAAGACACAGAATGTTTTGATGTATTTTTTGCCCAAGGTTGCAAAGGCAAACAAAAAGCATTATCTTCAACAGCACTCTGCCAGCTCCCAGTTACATTAATGGAAGGAGCATTATGCTAAGACATAAATTTGGTCATTTTAGTTATATTTTGTTGTGTCTACTTTGGGAATTTCACTTCAAATAGCAAATTCACGTTATGAAGACTTTCTTCAGAAAGAAAAGGAATTTGTCTAGTGGCTAATTTCTGACTGCTTATGATGTACCTCATGATACAATTGTAGGTAGATGTCTTCAGCCTTTCTGTAGTTCAAAATCACCTCTTGAAACAGGAAAATTCTTTTTCCAAAAAAAACTATTGAAACAGAAAAATTTCCAAGGCATTCTTTGGAAAGGCAGAAGGAACAGAAGTTGGGATGTCCCTGAGACACATGCTCACTATGTGAGAGTTCCTGGTCAGTGGGGGATGCGTCTGCCCTCCAACCCTCCTCCAGCCAGAGACTATCTAAGCTAATGAACTTTAAGTGCTACTGAAATCACATCAAGTTGAGCCACTCATAATTACAAGCATGTGGACAAATCCATAAGAATGATTAGATTCCATTAGTGTTCTTCTGGGGAATACTTGGTTTAGCTAAAATAAAAATAGGTTGAATTGCTCCCTTTTTGTGAGCAATTCACAAAAATATAATATAAATTTAATTCTTAGCACACACAAAATTTGGACCTAAAACTACCATATTCTGAGTTCAGCAAACGAAACTCATGTAGCAATAACCTCTTCAGATACAGAATTCTGGCAAGTACAGCTGTCCAGACAGACCCTCTTCGGCACAAACTAGGAAGCTTCAACTGCCAAGAAAAGGAAAGATTCCCAGGTGTCCCCAGTACCTGCTGCATAGCCAGGCAGCCAGTGGAGGGGGAGGGCTTGTGTGTCTGGATGGTGGGCAGGAAGTCCTAGTGGGGAGATGCCCATAGACTGTTCCAGAGAGGGAAGAGGAGAGGCTCAAGAAGGGCACTGATGCCCACACAGGTGTCCTAAGTCAGAGACTGTACTTCTGGGGCAGGCTGGAAGCAGAAGACACCCGACAGTGCCAGACAAGGTCCTAGAAACCACAGGCACACCAGGGACGCAACAGCTGACGTGGGTCAGCACGTTCACCCGTCGAGTCTTACAATAAAACGCAGGCTCCAGGCGCTTACCGAATTCACAGTCTGGAAGGTGCTGCTTCCTCAGAATGAAACCAAAGAAGGGTGAAAGCGAATCTTTTAACTAGGATGATTCCTAAACACAGAGCAACCAGGCCCAAGGCTGAGCCAGGCCTGGTGTGTTCTGCCGGGGGCGTTCCAGCCTCTTCTCACACACAAGCACCCAGGAGACGCCCAACACACACATGCTCCTCTTTGCCGAGCTCTTCGGTGGGTGTCGGTAGTCCTAGAAAATGCATATATAAGATAGATTTTTTCCAGTAAGAAGCTTGTAGCCATGCTTTTCACCATGGTTCCTCTCCCTTAGCCAAGGGGTGAGAACTACTGCAAGAGTAAAGGCCAAGGCAGGTCTCCTGCATGCAAGTTGGGCATGCTTCTGTCTACAGGGGTTCCTTGGTTTAGGAGACCCAAAAGACTTAATCCTGGTTGGATTCACTTTTTCTGAGTGACATTTTTTAGTTTGTGAAAATGTGTGCATCGATGAAGAAATTTTATTATGAATTAGCTTAAAAATGCATTAGGAACTTCTGTATGAAAAGATCACATTATTTAAGTGTAAAAAAACTGCATAATAAAAGCAGTTCAAGTCAAGAAAAACAATGTTAATGGAATATATTTTAAAACTTATTTCCAACCTCAAAATTAATTTTCTGCAACTAAGGACCTGCATAATACCTAGTAAGCCTTTGGGGTTTTGCAGAGGAGGTCGATTCTAAAAATGGGTGTTTAAATTACTTAAGAGTTCTATTTTTTTTCTTCCCACACAGGCTGAGGACAATGTGTGTGTCAAGAAAATAAGAACCAGAAGTCATAGGGACAGTGAAGATATTTGACAGAAAAATCGAACTGGGAAAAATATAATAAAGTTAGTTTTGTGATAAGTTCTAGTGCAGTTTTTGTCATAAATTACAAGTGAATTCTGTAAGTAAGGCTGTCAGTCTGCTTAAGGGAAGAAAACTTTGGATTTGCTGGGTCTGAATCGGCTTCATAAACTCCACTGGGAGCACTGCTGGGCTCCTGGACTGAGAATAGTTGAACACCGGGGGCTTTGTGAAGGAGTCTGGGCCAAGGTTTGCCCTCAGCTTTGCAGAATGAAGCCTTGAGGTCTGTCACCACCCACAGCCACCCTACAGCAGCCTTAACTGTGACACTTGCCACACTGTGTCGTCGTTTGTTTGCCTATGTCCTCCAGGGCACGGTGGCAGGAACAACTATCCTCGTCTGTCCCAACACTGAGCAGGCACTCGGTAAACACGAATGAATGGATGAGCGCACGGATGAATGGAGCTTACAAGATCTGTCTTTCCAATGGCCGGGGGCATTTGGTCCCCAAATTAAGGCTATTGGACATCTGCACAGGACAGTCCTATTTTTGATGTCCTTTCCTTTCTGAAAATAAAGTTTTGTGCTTTGGAGAATGACTCGTGAGCACATCTTTAGGGACCAAGAGTGACTTTCTGTAAGGAGTGACTCGTGGCTTGCCTTGGTCTCTTGGGAATACTTTTCTAACTAGGGTTGCTCTCACCTGAGACATTCTCCACCCGCGGAATCTCAGGGTCCCAGGCTGTGGGCCATCACGACCTCAAACTGGCTCCTAATCTCCAGCTTTCCTGTCATTGAAAGCTTCGGAAGTTTACTGGCTCTGCTCCCGCCTGTTTTCTTTCTGACTCTATCTGGCAGCCCGATGCCACCCAGTACAGGAAGTGACACCAGTACTCTGTAAAGCATCATCATCCTTGGAGAGACTGAGCACTCAGCACCTTCAGCCACGATTTCAGGATCGCTTCCTTGTGAGCCGCTGCCTCCGAAATCTCCTTTGAAGCCCAGACATCTTTCTCCAGCTTCAGACTTGTAGATATAACTCGTTCATCTTCATTTACTTTCCACTTTGCCCCCTGTCCTCTCTGTGTTCCCCAAATCAGAGAATAGCCCGCCATCCCCCAGGTCACCTGTCTGGATTCCTCCCCATTCACCCACCTTGCCAGGTGCAGGTGAGGATGGTGCACCAGACAGGGTAGCTGTCCCCCAAAATGTGCCCTGTGCGGGCAGTGCCCTGTCTCCACGTTTGTTTCCCCAGTGTCTGGCGGGGAGCCAGGTGACATCATAAATACTTGCTGAATGAATGCAGAAATCAGCGGTACTGACTTGTACTATATTGGCTGCCATGATAGGGTTCTCACAGCGTCATCCATGATCGTAAGGGAGAATGACATTCTGCTTGAGGGAGGGAATAGAAAGGGGCAGGGAGGGGACATCTGAGGGCTTCACAGGGCTGCAAAGGGTACAGGGATTGCACCAGGGCAGAACAGGGGAGGGTGTTCAAGGAAGAGTGGCTCTTAGCAGAGGCACTTTGGAAGGTGTGAGGCATAAATGCTTCCTTCTACGTAGGCCAACCTCAAAACTTTCAGTAGGAATGTTGCTATGATCAAGTTGTTCTAACACTTTAGACTTAGTAGTAATTATGAACCTCACATAGAAAAATTTCATCCAGCCATATGCCTGTGGAGTGGAATATTCTGTTTAGTAGAAAAATCCTTTAGAGTTCAGCTCTAACCAGAAATCTTGCTGAAGTATGTCAGCACCTTTTCTCACCCTGGTAAGTACAGTATTTCAAGAGCACGCTAAGGGTGGTTTTCATTTTACAGGGCTGTTGATGATGGGTTAAAAATGTTCATTTAAGGGCTACCCCCGTGTTTAATAGATGAACACCACTTCTACACAACCCTCCTTGGTACTGGGGGAGGGAGAGATCTGACAAATACTGCCCATTCCCCTAGGCTGACTGGATTTGAGAACAAATACCCACCCATTTCCACCATGGTATGGTAACTTCTCTGAGCTTCAGTTTCCAAGTGAATTTCCATGTAATAGGACATTCCCATTAAATACAAGCTGTTTTTACTTTTTCGCCTCCCAGGGCCTGTGGGATCTGGTCCCCCAGCCTCTCTTGGGCTTTCTTACACTAACTCTGTACCTACCATCTCCTGCCTCCCTTAGGCAGGCACCTCCAACCACCACACACTCCCTGCTGTTTTCCCTGCCTGGAACTTTCCCTCCTGCCCCACCAAGATCATTTCATCCAGTCCTGAGCTCAGCTTAAGGGAGGCTTCTTGCCTGTGGGTTCCCTCACCCCCATGCCTGTCCTCCAGGCTGGGGCAGGTTCTTAGTTTGCCTGGAATTGTTCTGTACCTCTTTGTAGCACGTAGTGTTGTGGAAACTAAGCCACTAATTGAGTTTCTGGCTCCCCTCCTGGGGTTGTAAGTTTTGTTCATTCATGAGGGCCGACTGCATTTCCTGGTTACTCTATCCCAGTGACCAGCCACAGGAGATGTCCAATAAAGTATGTGATGAAATGGTCTTAAAACCCATGGTATTTTTATTATAGGGAGAGTGGGGAAAGAAACTAAGTGTGGGTGGGGCAGACAGGCCAGTGTAAGAGAGACTGGTTCATTACGTTCCATTTTCATTTCTACAAGGACTTGGCTGGATGGTCATTTTCTCTCTTGGCCAATAAGTCATCGCAGCTGCTTTTAGTCCTGCAGGAATGGCCTGCTGTATCTCGAGAACTACCTGCAACCGCAGCTGTGCCTGCTTTGTTGCAACAGAGGTGCTGAGTTGAGGGATGGGGATTTGACCCAGGGCTGCCCCAAGTCAGCAGATGAAAATACATGCCCTGACTTTCCTCTGGCAACCCTGATTTGACATGGATCCCGGGAGTGAATTTGCTGGCAAGTTCCAGGGGCAGTAGCCTGCGGTAGGTCAGTTAGTCCTGAAGAAGAGGCCTTTCTGTCGGAGAGAAAAGTTTGCAGGTGGGTGCATCTACCATCTTGAGAGGCTGAGGAGGGAGGGAGAGCCGTGCTCGGTGGTCAGTCTGGTGAAGGAAGTGGGTTCAGTCTGCAGCCCACATCCTGGGCTGTCATCAAGAATTAACATGGCAAACGGCGACTCCATAAAGTAAACTGTAGCTACTTAACTAAATGATTTCGTGTGGCTGAGATCCTACTGTTTGCTGGGTTTCCTGGAAAAGTCCTCTAGATGAACTGCAGGAATCTCCTGGCACTCTGGTTACAGCTGGAGAAACTGATTTCTGTGCTGTCCAGGTGCTCCCAGACCCCCAAGGCATCTCCAGGACACAGTCACCAAACCCCCATCCTGGTATTACTGGCATTGAGTGCCACGTAGGCACACAGCACTCCATAATTTGGAAATGTGGATTTCATTGCTATTGCTCTTCATGAGGGAACAAATAATACCCATGATGTATTGGCAGGAAGCCACGCCCCCCCTCCCCCGCTGCCACCCCCACAGCGCGCACAGTGATTTCAGGAAGGAGGTTTGATTGGTTTGTTGTGTGTTGCCCTGCAAGGGCCCCAATCAGCTTCCTGCTCATCAGCCCCATCTCAGGCAAGTCCCACATCTGTGATGTCAAGCCCTGAGCCGGGTAATTGGACTTGGATACCTGCTTGACTCATCTTTCCAGTGAGGTTCCTAAGGAGCATCCCCAACCCCACCTCCCAGGGGGAGCTCTCGATGTCACCTGAAGAACAAACAAACAAAAACTGTGTTGATGGTACAGTCCCAGGGCTCCGTGACTGGACAGGCTCCCTGCGTGATACACCTGTGTATGTCACTACAGAAATACAGCTGGTGCAGGCCTGTCCGCCTCTCTCACAGGTCAGAGTGTTCTAAAATCCATCCTGGCCCTTGTTGTCTGTCTGCTTGGGGTTAGGGCAGGTGCTCCTTTATCATTTGTAAAGTTTATGTGATGTCTGGTATGTGTTCCACACCCTTGCAGAGTGTAAATTCCTAGAGAGAGTTCAGACTTCGGAGTCAAATGCACAGGTGCAAATTCCAGCTTGTCTAATTTGCTGCTGTGTGAACGTGGACAGTCTTTCAACTTTGCTAGTTTCCCATCTGTAAAATGAGGCTGTTCAGTACCTGAGCACATAGCATTGTTGAGAAGATTAAATGAGACAATATGTGTAAAACACTTAGCATTTTACCCAGAGCTTGGTAAGCATCAATACATGCTAATTATCATCATCATCAGAAGATGAATATATTTATTAGATGCCTAAAACTCCAAGATATTTCCCTTGGCTCATAAATTCTTTATCACTAGGGATTTCTCTATGGAAGTGAAGGAAGAATCTGGAACGTAACAGGCCTGAATAACCAGGGGCAGTGGCTCACACCTGTAATCCCAGCACATTGGGAGGCCAAGGCTGGAGGATCGCTTGAGGCCAGGAGTTCAAGATCAGCCTGGGCAACATAGCGAGACCCCATCTCTACAAAAAAAAAAAAAAAAGAAAAAAGAAAAGAAAAAATTAGCGGGCATTGTGGCACATACCTGTAGTCCCAGCTACTTGGGAGGCTGATGTGGGAGGACTGCTTGAGCTCAGGAGTTCAAGGCTGCAGTGAGCTATGATTGTATCACTGCACTCCAGCTTGGTCAACAGAGCAAGACCCTGTCTCAAAAAAGAAAAATAAAAATCCTGAATAATATGTCTATGTCTTCATCGAGCCCACGTATTGAAAACTACCCAAACCACCAACAATGCAAAGAAACATTATTTAACTAAGAGTCGAGTAACCAAATTTCAGGGTTATCCAAACTGAATATGGCCTCTGCAGGAGAAAAGAATATGTGTGATGTGGCAGCCACAATCTGATACCATATTAACACTGTCTTTTATTTTTTTTTTTTTGAGACGGTCTCACTCTGTTGCACAGGTTGGAGTGTAGTGGCACAATCTTGGCTCACTGCAACCTCTGCCTTCAAGGTTCAAGAGATTCTCCTGCCTCAGCCTCTGAGGAGCTGGGATTACAGGCATGCACCACACATACCTGGCTAATATTTGTAATTTTTTTTTTAGGAGAGACAGGGTTTCACCATGTTGGCCAGGCTGGTCTCAAACTCCAGACCTCAGGTGATCCAGCCACCTTGGCCTCCCAAAGTGTTGAGATTACAGGCGTGAGCCACCATGCCCAGTCAACAGTGTCTTTAAATGACATCAGATCGCAGAACTTTGCTGAGCTTGGCCCAGACACAGGTCTGGCTAAAACAGGTGGTGCTGGGACCAGGCATGGCCAGGACATAGGGAAGCACATCCCTGCATAGAAAAGGTTCTGTGGATTTTAATCCAGGTCAGCAATTAGCAAACTTTTTCTGTCAAGGACCAGGCAGTAAATATGGCGGCTTCGTGGGCCATACTGTCTGTTATGCTGACTCACCTCTGCTGTTAAAGAACAGAAGCGGCTGTAGGCAACACGCAAGCAAACAGGCATGTCCAAAAAATGGCTAATAAAAACAGGCTGTGGGGCTGGGCACGGTGGCTCACGCCTGTAATCCCAGCACTTTGGGAGGCTGAGGCGGGTGGATCACTTGAGGCCAGGAGTTCGAGACCAGCCTGGTCAACATGGCGAAACCCAGTTTCTACTAAAAATACAAAAATTAGCCAGGTGTGGTGGTGGGCCCCTGAAATCCCAGCTACTCAGAAGACTGAGGCAGGAGAATTGCTTGAACCAGGGAGGCGGAGGGTGCAGTCAGCTGAGATCCAGCCCACTGTACTCCAGCCTGGGTGACAGAGTGAGATTCCATCTTAAGCAAAACAAAACAAAACAAAACAAGCAAGAAAACAACAACAACAACAAAAACCAGGCTGTGGGCCCATTTTGACTGAGGACCTTGGTTTGCATATCCCTGATCTAGAGAAATGAGTGATTTAACATATATGCCTCCTAGGACATATCACATTGAAATTAGCAGCCCTTGCAATATAACGGGTCATGAGCAGAGGGTGCATTTCACTTTGGGCTTTGGGGTCTTCCCGGGCCCTGGAACCCCCACCGGCTCCCAGCCCCAGGACGTTGGAAGCTGAGAGGCCTGGCTTCCAATCCCAGCCCTGTCCCTTGCTCGCTGCATGACTTGGGCCCATTGCTTGGCCTTTCTGAGCCTCAGTTTCCCTAGCTGGGAGAGTGAAGATGGCAATTTCTTGCCTCGTAGGGTTGTGAGGACAAAAGAAGAAAACTCGGGTGGATTGTGTAGCCTGGCCCCCATTCTCAGAAGGTCTCCAAGCGGTGCCGTCTTCCTCTTATCCCAGCGTGGCCTCAGCCTTCGAGAGGCCTAGAACTCTGGGAAAGGAGCAGTCAGGACTGGACACGACTCCAGGCTTTTCTTATTTCTTGTGTGGGGTCTGGAAAAGGAGAAGTGCAATTATATCCAAGGCCCCTCTTGGGCAGGGGTCTCAGATCCAGGCCAGGCTGATATGAGCAAGGGGAGGCGGGTCAGGCCAGGCAGCACTGTCAATTTTGATGTTGGGAGGGAGGAGGGGCATGACTGTGTATCAGCAAATTCCTAAATTTCCACCCTGGCTCGGGAGATGCAGCTTGTGCTGAAGTGAGTCACTTATTCCTGGGCCCCTCATCTGCCTGCTTGCTTCCATGTCCCCTAGAGCCAAAAACAACTATAGGAGCAACTTAGGGGAAAAGTTACCTATATTTATATATAAGCGTATGTATTTATATATAAATATGATAACTATAGATATAATCTAATATATTGTGTATAATATAAATTAAATATATTTAATGTAATGTATATAACTTAAGTATATTATATATTCATAACTATATAAAATATATAAATATACTAAATATTATTCACTAGGTTTTCATCATTGGCAACCTAAGTTCTATATAAATATATAAATATTATCTATGAAAATTTATACACAAATATGTATATAAAATGTTATAAATATATACATACATATTTAAGTAAAAATAATATATACATAAAATATATTATATGTTTATATAGATTTAGGTTGGCAATGATAAAAACTTAATGAAGAATTTTTAGTGTAATAAAAACTAGTCTCGTGGTAGCTCTTTGTGTTTCAGAATCCAGCTATTTGGCTCTGGGCCCGCCCTCTGTTACTCCGAGAAAGCACTGCTTTGGAGGTAACACAACGCTAGGTGGCCCCTGAGGCTCCCTGAGCACCGTCCGATACCCCTCTCAGAAGCACCTCTGCCCCCTCCTCTGTACAGCCCGCTTTGCTCGCCTGCCTCTTCCTTTGGATTCCAGGTTGGTCGGGGAAGCAATGGGCCATGTGTGTGCACCGTCTGTGCCTGCCTTCACCCACACGAGCCTGTTGGAAGACGACAGCCATATGGAAGACCGCTGAGCTACCCCGGCCCCCCAGCCCAGGCTAGTTGGGGTTACCCAACTACCAGCCAATCCCCAGACGTGAATGTGAATAAGCCCAGCCAGCATCACAGAGCTGCCTCGTCAATGTCTAGCTGACCCCAGATGCCACCTAAACAATTTGGGTTTCTCACGGCAGTTCTCTTCCCAACCTCTGTTCCCCTGGGTTCCTAAGAACTAAGGGTTGTGCCCACCAATCAAAGCAAGAGGGAAACGGGCCTTGGATTTTAAGGCGTTGCACTGCTGTGACTTGAAAAGGGATATGGTTTAAAATCATTCATTTAGGCCGGGCATGGTGGCTCACGCCTGTAATCCCAGCACTTTGGGAGGCCGAGGCAGGTGGATCATGAGGTCAAGAGATCGAGACCATCCTGGCCAACATGGTGAAACCCTGTCTCTACTAAAAATACGAAAATTAGCTGGGTGTGGTGGCTGGTGCCTGTAGTCCCGGCTACTCAGGAGGCTGAGGCAGGAGAATCGCTTGAACCCGGGAGGCGGAGGTTGCAGTGAGCCGAGATCGTGCCATTGCACTCCAGCCTGGCGACTGAGCGAGACTCCATCTCAATAAATAAATAAACAAACAAATAAGTAAATGATTAAAAATCAGTCACTTAAAGACATATTCTAAGATGAGACCCTCTTGCTCTATAAAACTGAAGGTCGTGTCCACTAAGAAGAGTGGATCTGACCTCAGCCCTGCACTGTGACGCCACATTCCATTAGGGCAGAGGAACAGCATCTGGCAAGAGAGGTCGTCCCAGAATTCTAAAGAGGCAGGATGGCCCTAGTATTCAAACTTGGACCACACAGATCTGCACGTCTCTCATCCCAGAAAGGAGAACCCAAAGTATGTGTCTCGGTTCATGATTCTGAGGATGAGGGAATTATGGAAGGCACCAAGTCCATTCATAAAACACACCACCCCCTCCCTGTCCCGGTTAATGACAGTGGGTGGTGGCTTGAGCATCAAAGTGGCCCATGATGTCTTGGTTTTGCTATCTGGTTATGCCATCTGGCTTTCTTGGTCTTCGTCCATTCATTTCCCTGGAGTCCTGGCCATGCTTTGCTTCTTACTAACCTTATGCAGAAGCCAAGGCAAGCGAGGACGAGGCATACTTGGAGTATTCCCACTGGAGTAACTTCTGCAACTAGAAGCTTTAGAGCTGTGACTGCCATACAGAGCCAAAGAAATGTAAGGTGCAGGGCGAGTGAGGGTCTTGGGAATTGCTGGAGATAATGGTGCTCTGTGCTTGCGGCGAGAGCAGTGAAGTGGTGAGACCAGTTTCTGAATGTAAACTTTTTATGACAACGGCTGCGAAGATGCCCAAAGTGGGCCCCTGTTGCCTATCATTGAGGTTTTGAGGCCACTTTTTAGGGAGTAATGCTAGGCGATACAGCCCCTCCCTAACCAGGCTTGCAATGGATTGCATGCCTGTTACATTTTGAGTGCCCAGGTTTCTGGTGGATTCTATTTGCCAGTCACTGTTGGTTTCAAATGTGAAGCATCTTTGCTATAAATAGACTCTACTGAGAGCTGCATGATTTGAAGAAACATTATACCTGTAATTACATTATTTTACTTGAAATATTAGTAAACACAACATGAACTATGTCTATTTGAATCAGTGTGGTACAGTTTGTACGTTCAAAACCTGAGCCTTAATACATAAAGTTAACTTCATTTATAAAATGCTCAAAAATAGGCAAAAATAAACTGCTGTTTAGAGATGCAAATATAGGTGGTAAAACTATTAAAAATCAAGGTTCTGTTTATAATTACAAAATGCAAGATATTGGCTATCAACAGAATAGAAACGTAGAGGATGTGTATATCCCATGGGCAGTGCTGACCTCCTTGGGGGCAGGGAGTGGGTGTCCTCCAACATATTTATGTGTCCTCAGAGCTTCCCCAGTGCTGAGCCTTTTCCTTAACAGGTGGATGGGTACGTGGCAGTTTTGTGCTGATTCGTTTTGAATGCATACTGGCTACATGTGTAAGCTTTCCTAAGACAAGTGACCACAGCACTGAGAGGGTATTACTGACCTCTTCTAGCAAGAACCACACAAAACAGACTCCTGACAGTGGGGTGGGACTGGGGTCCCTTTAACTGGAACAATCACCTGCAGCCCTTTTTCTTGCACTACAAAACTCCGTGGCTCCATCACACCAAGCGATCATGCTCTGTCTCCAGAGTATCAGCTCACTTGGTGTCTGGAGAGGAGGAGGATCAACATGATTCTCATGCTGAGGAAAGTTATATTAAACTAGGAATTCTGCATCTTTGGAGTTGTATTAAACCCACCTGCACATTTAAATCAATTACGCGGTGATTTTTCTCTTGGAAACAGTCTCACTCTGCCTCTCAGGCTGGAGTGCAGTGGTGCGGTCTCCACTCACTGCAACCTCTGCCTCCCAGGTTCAAGCAATTCTCATGCCTCAGTCTCCAGAGTAGCTGGGATTAGAAGCTCTTGCAACCATGCCCAGTTAATTTTTGTATTTTTAGTAGAGACAAGGTTTTGCCGTGTTTCCCAGTCTGGTCTCGAACTCCTGACTTGCCCAGCTCTGCCTTCCAAAGTTCTGGGATTACAGGCGTGAGCCACCGTGCCTGGCCTTCTCAAGTATTTTTAACGTGCCACACTGTTGTTTAATAACAGCTCAAAGGGCAAGGTATGCAGAGTGGCTGAATTTAGAGGGGCCACAGCAGCATAGGGGTGTTCTGGGTTGGAATTCTGTCTCTTCTGCTACCTCCAACCTAACTTTGGTCTAGTTTCATATCCTCCGGAAGCTTCTGTTTCTCAGCCCTTGAGGGGATATTGTGCAGATAATACCCATATAAAGGGCCCAGCACATAGGTGCTCATGGAACGAGAACTATCTGTGTATATGGCTCACTTTATAAACCTGAAATACATATTTTGAAAATAAGAAAAGAGAAACGAAGTGAATATGTTGATTGTTACTATCATAGTTGTTCTGGGCTAGTTGTTATAATGTGCTCATTATGCTTTCATCTTAATAGTGATTACTGAGAAAGCACTGGGATTTTCCATGCTCATTCAGATATCCTCTTTAATCACAAGCATTAGTGCTCACCACACAAGGGCCCCAAAGAACTGGTGTTGCGTTTGTTGGCCTCTGTTCTGAATGGCATCTGTTTGCATCCTTGAGGGAGGTTTTGCTCAGGAAAGGGTTATCAGTGAGGGCGGGATGCCCTAGGCAACCTTGGACAGGATTCAGTGGTTGGGAAAGGAGCGGCAGCCTAATACCTCAGCCACATGCTGGCCGCTCAGTGACACAAACCTCCAGGTGCACGGTCATTGGCAGACACTCCTGTAGGTGGCAATGCAGGCACCATCAGGATGACATCACTTTCATCCATGGGGCTTTTCAGTTTATTTGGAAACAAAATTGCTGGCTGATAATATTACCATGGACAGAGTGGGGGTGTGTTACTTTCAGAAGGAGGGCACTGTCATGTAACCTCAGCATCCAGAGCAGAGCCAAATGTGAAGCTCACACCTCGGTCCAGCCTCCGCTGGGGCCGCTGAGTGCTTATAGCAAAGGCTGCTGGTCCATATGCAAGAGGGAAACAGGTCTTGGTTTCTAAGGCACAGACGGGCTCCTTTAGCCTAGAATTCTGGAGGGGAACCTGATCCTGTGAAGTGTTTCTTGAAACTTCGTCTGATTCCTGGAAGAAGCCCAGAGTCTTATTTGAGATGAGACTAGTATGTTGCCACAATGTGCTGGGTGACAGGTGTCGAGGCATCACATGTGCTGCTTCCTGGAAAGTGCATTAAACAGGCTTCAGAGACACTCTGATAAAGGAACAGAAGGGGCATAGTTATAATAGGAAAGACAAAGGGTTAGTACCCGTGTTTTCAAAAGATTGACAATAAACAAACAAAATAATAATAATAAAAAAAGATTGACAATAAACCAACGAGGAAAACTCAGTTGGTGCAATGAGGAAAATGGATGAAACTATGAATGATGCTTCACTGATGAAACACAACCCACTTGTGAAAACATGCTCAGCCCAATAGAACTCTGGGACATGCAAATTAACATGAAGTCTGATTTTTTTTTTTTTTTTTTTTTTTTGCCTCTCAGGTGTGCAACGTCCCGGGTGAGTGACTTCTAGGGAGACAGCGCCATCATGCCCTATTGGTGAGTTGGTGCCCGGGAAGGTCCTTTGGAGGTGACAATTTGGTGGTTTCTACTTAAATTTAAAATGTGCCCTTTGACCTAGAAACTTCACTTCTAGGGAATTCTCCCATAGAACTAGTTTGCACGTTAGCAAACATACACACATGCAGGAGTATTCATTATACAGTTGAATTATAGAATTGCAGCATGTGGAAAGAAGTTAATGTCTGTCACTGGGGAGGTGGAGGTGACTCTCCAGACTTTGTTATGTTTATACTGTGGAATGCCAAGCAGCCATTAAACAGAAGTAGGAAGCTGTGTACGTGCTGACATGTCCAGGCAGAATGTTGACCAAAGAGGGCCATCTGCAAAACTGCCCATATGTGGCAGATTTAGTCACTTCTAAGACACAGTACTTTCACATATTAACCTCCCTAACATCAGGATTATCACAAAATTGGTGGGATCTTACAGGAATAAATGGCAGTATTTTTGCTTTCTTAGCAGAGCATAAAGTGATTTTGACAATGGTAGTCCTGGATTTGATGATATACCAGGAGTTTGACTGTTGTTCATAAAAGCAAACAATGTATATGTTTCTGTAACTATACAGATTTAAATTGCAGAGTGTTGTCTGTTTGGAGATGTACTCCAAAGTTACCAATGGATTGAGATGGGGAGAGGAATTAGGAAAAGGGCTAAATGCTCTTGGTGTGTTTCTGTTTGGTTTGAATGTTTGTAACAAACATGTCTCCCTATATTGCTGGTATTGCCCCGTCCTTTGAGACGAGGGGCAGTTGGCTCTGTTAGACCCTGGGCCAAGTGGGAGACCAGCTGTGGGCACTGAATGTGGAAGTGGCAATGTGAGCCCTGGCTGGGGCATGGCTGTCTTGGGCCCTGAAGCTGCCCTCCCAGCAAACCAGCAGATGGCCTGAGGGCCCCCAGGGATGAACATTGCTCCCGACTGACACACAGCTGCCACGCCCAATATGCAAGCTGTTAGAGGCCAAGCTTGGGAGCTTGGTGACCACAGCAGATGCCTTGATGTTGTGCGCCACTGTCCCTGGGTGTTCCTCTGATTTTGGCAACAGTAGGCCCACACGTGGGACATGCATGTGCCAGGGAGCTGACAGCCCTGGAACAAACTTTCCACCTGGTGGGCGAGAGCTGTGGGTCAGTGCTGCAGCATCCTGCTCCTTCATGCAGAAGATGTGGGGAGGCCCCTCGCACATCTCTGCAGAGTAGAGTTCCCAGTGTGGTCTCAGTAATGCTCCTCTGAGTGGCTTGCTCAGACACACACACTAATCGGTGCCCCTGGCTACCTGTCTGTCTCTCCTGAGGTCCCTCAGCACTCAGCGTCCTATCTGTGTATTTCTGTTGATAGTAGCTGCCTTTGAGGCTGGTCTGGCAAGCGTACTTTTGCAGACCTCAGCTCCTTCAGAGGCGTTGGGCTCAGGCAGGGCTATTTGGGTTCATTGGCCCCTGGTGGAGGCCCAGTTGGTGACTTCCTTTATGCCTCTTCCATACCTCCTTTTCCTTGGATCCCTCTGCCCCTCCCCACTGTGTCCAGCTGTGCCTGCACCTTCATGTATCCAGGTCTGCTTACCCCAGGGGAAGGGCCAAGACCACATCCACAGCAGAGTGGATGCTGCTTGTCTAGGATGGAACATTGGGACCCACAGACCCATAGAGAGAAACTGGTAACAAAAGGGCCCACAACAGCAAACACCATCTCACAGCAGGCGATTTTTTTTTTTTTTTTTTTTTTTGCAGAGGAATGAAATTAAGAGATTTAAAGACAAAAACACAGGCTGGTAGTCAAAGTAAAGGTTTATCCTTGCATCAGAATGGTTTAAATCTTGCAATTTGCATATACAAAGAGTTCAGCAACATTCACTGGCATTATAATCAGAGCAAGATCAAATTATAAATGTAATCAAAGAAAATATGATAGTTGAAACTGTAATAACATACATACATTATAAAGACTGCACATAAGTTAAACACAACTTAGTTAAACAAACAAACAAAAAAGTATCAGTAATTATACACTTAAAAGAATAACATGGGGATGTCTCCAAATGCTGAAACACAGGTGTCAGGCTCATTTAAAAAAGTGTTTAAAAACACATAAAAATACCTTTTAAAACACTGGTATGCATTCTTCATTCATATAGCACATGGAGAGAAACCGTAAAGGCAGTCACATAGTGACCAGATCACACACAGATCAGAATGGTCGTCTTCTAATCACTATTTGGCATTTGAACCCAACTGCATGCAACAAAGGAAAGTGTGAAAGGAACAATGGTGTCGGCACTGGGCTGTTTGGGGGCTGTTTTGTTATGTACAATGGACTTTCTTTGACTGAAGGAAACAAGAGATGAACTTTCCAGGTTGCACGGAGAAGATTCTGAGTCCCTCAGGGATTGATTCCCCCAGCGTGAGGTGCTCCAAGGCCCAGGAGATCCTGTGATCTGGGGCCTTGGTAGAGGCCATGAGGCTGTAATGACCTCCCCGCTAAAGGGCGAACGCTGTCCCGGACAGTGGAGGGGAGAGTCTTGCGTCCTGGGGAAAGTGGCTTCTCCTTTGTTCCTGGAATGGAAAAAGTTTGGGAACAGGCAGAACCCCTGCAGTGGACACCTGGGGTTGGTCTAAGGGGACAGGAAAAAAACATGAGCAGGGCCCTTTCCTGAGGGCACCCTGAAAAGGTCTACCTTAAAGGTACTTCTTGATACAAGAGATGCCAGTTAGACCATTAAAGGGCTTCAAGGATTCTGACAGAGGGCTCCTAGACATGAACCAAAGCCGGTGCCCCTCGACTTTGACTTCGAACTCTCAAATAAATGACCAGAGAAATGTCACCTTCATCGTAGCAAACTGGCTCTTTTTCTAGGGTTCAGGTGCTGAACAGAAGCTTACTTCCCTCTCTTCTCCTTCAGTCAAACAAAGGCTTTGGGTTTGGAATTTTAATGGTGAAAACAAAAGGGACCTGGCGAGCCTCAAAAAGCTCCATTTTCCTCTTCCGCCGAGATGCTGAATCATTGTACAGAGAAGGAGAGAGGAGCACGTTCAGCAGTGTGCAGCCCAGGCATGCAGCTGGTGAGGATGGCGGTCACAAAGTGTGCTTTCGTCCTTCCAGCTGGGCACCAAGTCTTGCCCTTGGATGGGGCTCAGAGCCGTGGAGTGGGCGAGAAGCTTGATTCCCTGTGAGCATCTATCAGAACAATAATGTGTCCTGGGGTTGCATTTGCACACACTGTTAATGAATAGGGGACGAACACTGCAACATGAGGGTGCGATCAGTTATCAGTGAAAATGTCAAATAAGGCCTTTATGTAGCTTTTAGAAAACAAAAAAAAAAGTACCAAAAATGCACGTGTTAAATGCTTTTAGTAGTAAGGTAGGCCAGATATCTTTTTGTTTATATTGTGCACATCTGCTAGGTACCTAATGGCCATAGAAAGATAACTGCTGTAAGATTCAGTGTTGGTACATTCACACCCCATTCTTTTTTTTTTTTTTTCCCCGTCAGTCAATCTTATCTGGTAATGGGATCATTACTGTTATCCAGTGTCAATGGTCTCAGTAGTATTTCCATTCAAAAATAATTTAGCTTTTAGATTAAGGATTTCTCTTTTTGTTTTATTAAACATTGAAAGGTGGGACTTTAAAAAATGGTATAAATCTAGATTTTAAGGATTCTTTTCTTACAAACTGTCTCAGCTTTTTACAAGAAATGTTTAAATACCAAAATGCTGCTCAGAAAATTTAAAGTTTAATTGCCCGTGGTTATTCTACTGTTTCTATCCTAATGTGTGCTCCTCTGTACTGCGTGTGTAAGACGCTCAGTTCATCTGAATGTTTGGATGGGAAGTTTTGTGTTGAGCCTCCAGGCATAGCACTGGACCAGCCCAGGCCGCTGTGGCAGAACGGGAGGGGAGAATGGGAGAGGCAGCTGGTTTTTTTCTGAGGGTGGTCTGGGCCAAACGACAGGCAGCTGGACAGCAAATGGTGCTTTGGGGTGTAACTCCGATGGCTGGTTTTGTTGTACCCAACGCCGTGGGTCAACGGGACCACCCAGCATTTACATCTCTTCTCGTTCAGCCAAGATAGTGTAGACACAGTCTTGATGGTGTAGACACAGCATTTTAAAATATTATTTATAGTCACCAGCTACTCTAGTGTGTTTTAGACCTGGATTCAGGTTGTAAAGACTTCTTTGATCTTTAAAATGTAAAGATAAACCACATGGACCGAAACTGAGAACTTTACAGAAGTCCCCATTTACATTGTACCATCACGAACAGTTTGCCTTCCAAAAATGCTGCTGTTCAGGGTTGTGAATTCACTGTTAGGAAAGTGCATTTTCGAACTGACTTCTGAGTCCTCAACTGTTTTCTTAACATGAGCTTTGTGTTAGTATCTTGCAGAGGCACACTTCGCATATTAAGATTACAACATTTAAAGGTGTTGAATATGTGAAATTAAATGATATGAATCTAATGAAAAATTAAGATATTTACTAATATTAGCAGAAATATATATTTTATGGGATATTATTTGACCTTAATACATTATTCCAATTTTTAAAAAGCATATTTAAGATTTAACAACTGTATAGCAGGTGGCCTTTAAGGCATAACAAAATATATACAAAGAAATTAGGGAAGATATTAATGTCAACTATGAAATAAATTAACATGATTTTTACAAAATATACTGACCATTAAATTAAAAAATATTTTAAGGCAGGAATCTTCATTTGAAATTAGCATAATCAGAAAATATATCAATAAAATCTTGTACCACTTTGTAGCAGAATTCATACTGTTCCTGAAAAGACAAACAAGGACACATTAAAATGATATTCCCAAAAATATATTTGATTAATCAGGAGAAATACTCAAAAACAAGACATAAATAAGTGTGACTATTCATTAAAATACCATATACCTTTATGCACATCGTAATTTAGTTTTTAGGCACATGCAGAATTCCAAATAAAGCTGTTTTTCTACGTAGAATGTGTCAGTTAGTGTATTAACATTTCAACTTAGTGTATTTAATGGGCTGAGTTAAATGTCTGTGGCTTTCACATTGAAACTGGAAAACAACTATTTTTGAATTTAAAAAAAAAAACAAAAAACCAGGCCAGGTGCAATGGCTCAACGTCTGTAATAAGAGCACTTTGAGAGGCTGAGGCAGGAGGATCACTTGAGCCCAGGAGTTCCAGACCAGCCTGGGCAACATGGTGAAACCCCATCTCTATCAAAAAAGATACAAAAATTAGCTGGGCATAGTGGTGCACACCCATAGTCCCAGCTACTTGGGAAGCGGAGACAGGAGGATTCCTTGAGCCCAGGAGGCAGATTGCAGTGAGCCAAGATTGTGCCACTGCACCACTGCACTCCAGCCTAGGTGACAGAGTGAGACCCTGTCTCAAAAAAAAAAAAAAAAAAAAAAAAAAAAGAAAGAGAAAAAAATCAGAGTACTAACATTGCCAGATAAATTTCATAAAGCGATCTATAAAAGTTAAATAAAATGCATATCTAGATTATTTTAAAGCCTACATTTACTGTACAAAAGGGACATTGTTTTATATATAGGCTGGTCCTCCCAGACCCCTGGGTGGGATATGTGAGTTTGGGGCCGGGACAGGGGCTTGGAAAGCCGGAGAGGCCAAGAGCTGTCCTCAGCACCTCCCTGCTTCTTTCCAACACATTGCACTTGGGCTCTTCTCAGCACACAGTGAACAAATATCTAAATGCTTTTGGGTGGAAAGATGCCAAACAGCTAGCTTAGCCCTTCCTGAGTCCCGGTCTGGCCAGGATGGGAAGGAGCTGAGTTTTCCAGAGAAGGAAAAGGTGAGCCTGAAACTTTGCTTCTGAATTTGCATGAAGTTGTTGGAAGAGCCAAGACCACATTGTAGGGTCCTCACTTCTGGCTACTAAGACACGCAGCTGATCACCCAGCCTTCAGAAGGAAAGGGAATTGAATTCTTAGAAGGAATTCTCAATAAATATACAGGCTCTCTTTAAAGAGGCAAACAGCTTAAAGCAACATTGACTTTTCCAACTTAAAGCAACATTGACTGAATATCAAAGCTGGCTCAGTCTGGGATGGAAATGGAGACGATCACTAATTACTCTGTTTTCATAGCTAACACAGCAGCTAACTGCTGACCATCCCACGTAGTCTCGAGTACAAGTGATTGGGGCCAGTGATGGATGAAGTGTACTTTGGAGTGTGCTCGGATGATACAAGCCACACCTCAGGTCACAGACAGACATTTCTGGTCAATCCACAGACTCCAGGAGAACAGATGTACTTGTGGCCTTTGAAATGTCAGTTCCAACCAAAGCCTACCTAGGATGCTGGAAGCAAGTCTTCCCTGAGTGCTCAGCAATTGGAAACTGGTTCTTGGGCCACTGTGCTCACCTGCAGGGCTAAATCAACCTGCAGGTCAGCAATCATCTCTTTACTCAATAATATTTTTGTGCCTGTGTTTTTTTTTTGCCAAAATCTCCCTGCCAAATGTTAGATCTGGCAGCATACAGTACTAGTTAAGCCTTTCCCTTCTGGAATCAGATAGAGTTTGAATCTCATTCTGACACTTAATACCTGAAGATCTCAGGCAGGCCCCTCAACCGTCCTAACTGGAGGCACCTGCAGAACACTCCTTGTGAACAGAAGCAGGCACAAGGGCAAGCAGATGGTGAAGATGAAATGAGAAAGACATCTGTAAGGCACCTGGTTGCACTGCGCCCAACGCCTGATGGTTATTTAGTGACTCTTCTCCCTCATTCGTTTGCTGATTCACCACTTGCTCTGGAGCCCTCGCCACGGGCCAGGCATTGGACTAGACCCTTTACTCTAAAAGTCAGGCTACAAAGTGCTCTGTCAAGCTGTTACCAGGCAAGAGAGCACAGATGACAGCCACACAACATCTGAGGGCAGCTTCTCAGTCAGGGAGCATGGAGGGGCAAGCTGCGGTCAGGAAGAGCACAGCTGAGACGGGAGGACACCTGGATGACAGATGCTCTCGAAGATAGAATATATTGGCCAGACCAGGCAGATTAATGAGAGCTGTGAGTCCCTAAAAAGACTAGGGGAAGCTCTGTATGCTACTGCTTAGAGAGATGGTCTTTGCTGTAGGTCGTTGGGTGTGGATGGACAGACCCGCCCTCAGCTCAGGTGTCCTCGCTCCTGCTGCGCCTTGCTGTGAGGGGGACGTAGAAGGGCCTCCTTCCTGCCTCTCTATGCACAGGGCGCTGCGTGAGCCAGGATTGTCAGCGTGGAGAGTGAGCAGGCAGGGAGGACAGGTGCGAAGTGGGAAGCTTTGGTAAAAAGGATGCATTGTAACAGGCTTTAAAATTGTACTCGCTGGGTTAGCAGCACGAGCCATAGTATTTGGTGAGGAGGAATCGCTTCTGAAAACCAGAAAGCAGGAGTCCTTGAAATGAAAGAATGTACGGGGAAAACTACTAATACATTAGGGATTCCTGCAGCCCGTGGACGGTATCTTGAGGCTGAGTGAGACCCCGCCAGGGAAAACAAGCCACATGGACGAGTATAACATTGAAATGAGAAGGACCAGGATTTTAAATTTCAGTGCTGCTTTTGAACTTGATAAGAGTATGTTTTTCAGTGCACACAGGACTCTCGTAGAATAGTTCACTTTGACACAAAAGCTCCTATCCTCAGTGCGTCTCTCCGAGTGGTCTCAGACATTGAAACTGGCGGACAGGCCCCTCCTCCCGGGTCTTGCCCAGAAGACACCCACGTCACAGACCCAAGGAAGGAGGGCTCTGCAGAGGTTTACTGCGAAACATTGCAGCTGGCTCTTTTCCTTGGGAATTTTACCTTCCCACCTCCCCCATGTACTTAAGGTCCTTTAATGAAACATACATCAAATACAACATGAAATAATTCTCCACTCTTCTGGTAACATCCTTATTCAGATTCTTACCAGGGTTTGCACCATATGTGGTCTCTGAAGTCGTAAACTCTTCACAGCTTGAAATACATCTAAAAGTCCCTCGGCTTTTACTCGCTCCAAAATGTTGCTGAGGGCTATGAATGTACCTGTTCGCCCAGCTCCGGCACTGCAGAGAAAAAGCGCTTAATGCAGATCATCCGACTTGCACTTGGGGATGAGAAATGGAGAGCTGACAGCCAACCCCTGCATATCAGCACTGAAGCAACAATCGCTGAAAATGATCTGAGTTTGACTGAATTTTTTTTTGATCATTTGTATGTAGTGTAACTTCTGAGCAAGATTTAGCAAATGTAAAATTCCTAAAACACCTCCCTAATTACAGGAGACCGATATTTTATAAAATGAGACAGGACCAGTGACAAGTTTTTAAGCAAGTATCACCATTTCCCCTCTTCCTTGTGTAGGGCAATGGTTCTCAAAGTGTGGTCCCTGGACCAGCAGCACAGTTGGCACCTGGGAACTTGCCAGAAATGCAAACCCTCCCAGTTCAGGTCTAGGAAGGAGGTAATCTTGGCATACCCTCTCCTTACTGTGCCAGGGGTGTCTTCTGAAACAGGTGATGCTGAAAGGGAGGGGCAGTTTAAGGACATTCACAACCAGGAACAGTCAACTGACACTTCCCAGCAAGGCCGATTTGAGTCATCTCCATTTACCATGGTCATTTGCTGATAAACCCCACAAGAGCAGAGCCCAGGCCCTCGTAGGAGAGCCCAGGTGTACTGGGCTGGAGGAGGTGGGGTGGACCGGCCTCTTCCAGCAGGTCTTCTGGAGATGCCTGGCTGCCCTCTGTGCTCCATAATCTCACATGTGGGCTTATTCCAAGGCTCCTGTCCTGCCGCAATGATCGGCCCCGCATCTGCGTTCTCACAGGTGGGATCTTGTTCACCTCTGCATCTCCAGTGCCCTATGGAACTCATTTCAAGTTTATCCTAAATGATTTCTTGGAAGGCACCAGGAAAACCAAAAACCGAGGTGTGTGCTCCACCTACTGGCCAGGCCAGGAGTGCACCCCGGTGGGGTCCAGGCAGGGAGAGAGCTCTGCCAGCTATAAGGGGTGGGACAGTGGGTGGGGGTGAAAGGCAGTCACAAAGAGTGGGCGCCACCAGTGTGAGACAAGCCATGGAACTGCAGTTTCAGGAGCACATTAGCACCACCCAAGGATAGAAACACCCCAAGCTCCTGCTTGGAAGAACCTTGCCGGGTGTCGAGGTCCCTGCCAGCAGAAGTGTGCAGCAGGATCAGAACTACAGAGGCACAGAAGGCAGGCAAGTGGGTGGCCAGTGGGCTTGACCAGATTTGCGTATCTGCCCCTGGGCGTGCTGTGTTTCACGCCTTCACCTGCGGACTAAGCATGTCCCACCTGCCCAGGGTGTCCCTCTGCCTTTGGGCCTGACTTGGGAGCCAGGCTGAGGCTGCAGGACCAGCGTGGCTACAATCCCAGTTGGGACTCCTCATATGGCCAGGAATCCCAGCCCATGGGAGAGGGCGGGTGTAGGCCAATGCAGCCCAGTAAGGCAGTCTCTCAAAACCCACCCAGGAACTTGAAGTCCAGGAGTGTGTTCCTCCGAGCCCTGCCTGGCAATTTTTTGATGACTTCAAAAGCACATGGAAATGTGTGTTTGAGTGGTTTCCCAACTCCACCCTCTGAAGTGCATTCTGCATTTATGTTAAGATGACACACATGCATCTTATGTATGATACGATGACATGTATGTACTTAAGTGAAGTCGTGTGTGCATGTGTGTAAGGAGAGGTAGAGAGGAGACTCTAGGGAATACCATGGCCAGGGGCAGCGACCAGGCTCTGCTGCCCACAGCTGCGGGTACTGGGGGGGTGCAGCCTGTGTCCACCCCACCTGGAGGGCTTCGGGCTGGGGGCTCACCTGCAGTGCACGGTGATGGGGTGGTTGCCTGTCTGCTGCTGCTGCTTCTGCACGGCTGCGATGAGGTCAATCATGCCTTTGCCCTCGGCGGGAATCCCGATCTCAGGCCAGCCGTGGAAGTGAAACTGGCGCACTACTCGGACCTGCTCCTCCTGGCGGGCCTGGGGCTGCAGGGAGGAGAGGGGGTCTCAGCGTCGCCTGCCTGCCGGGGAACAGGCCCCAGCCCCATCTGCCCTCTCAGGGATTGGCCAAGGCTGGGAGCCCTCCCTGAGCCTTCTGTGCTGCCAACATCCCCACCGAGGCAGCCTGAAGGAGAAGGCTGAAACCTGCTTGTCCTAAAGAAGAAGGCAGGTGGCTGGCTGTGCTTCCTTCTGCAAGGGGGAGCGAGCCGTCCAGAGGACATCCCCTGGATCCCTGTGAGGACTGCCCAACCCCTACGGGATCCTTGGCAGCTCTGCTGGAGAGAAGGGAATCACTTTCTCAAGAAACCAGGGCCCTGCATTTCCCTTCAGAGCTCAAATGAGCAGCATCTGAGTCTGGTGGCCAGGGTGGCTCTGTGGCTGGCATGGAGGAGACAGTGGCAGGTGCATTACGTGATACTGACTGTTTGGAGCTCAGCATCAAGACCTGTGTACAAGTGAGTCATCCTACCTACAGCTGACCCCGAGTTCTCATTCTTTGCCAAGGAGAGAGGATGAGCAGAACCAAGGACCCAGTGGAAATGGGGACAGTTGGGGGGCTCTGAGAAGGCACCTGGAGGAGGGCCCCAGAGAGGCCCCTGTGGCTTCATTAGTCCCCTTTGTTCTTCCTCTTACAGCTAATGGCTAATGTAATTCTCCTGAGAGATAAATGGGAGGTAGGCAGCTAGGGAGATGGGAATTGTACAGGAGGCCTGCCACTGTCTCTGAAACCCATTGGCCATTCATAGCCAATGGGACTAGGTGAAGGAGCAGGACAGGTGCAGGGCCACATTCTGGTTCAATGACAAGCAGAACCCAGAGGGAGGGCGTGGTTCACTAAATTCACAAGCGTTTAAAGAGCTACTTCAACAATACCTGATTGAGAGTGACCAGAAAGTCTCGTATACTGATGGCTTCTGAAAGGGTATCATTCTTTATCTCAATCGTTATTTCTCCATGAGTAACTGAGCCCTCGGTTGGCCAATACTGGTAGCATTTATCCTTAGGGGATAAAATAAAAATTTAAGTCTTGTAATAAATAATTTGCTGCTGGCGATTTTGAGTTTATAACACAGAATTGTTCTCAAACCAGTTAATGTATTTCATCTGACCAAAAAAAAAAACATATGAATATGAATATAAATGCCTGTTAATGCTTGTTGACCCAGGGAACAGAACAGAGTCTAGAAACAGACACATATATATATGAAACCTTAACATATGGCAGAAAGGAGAGATTCTTCAATATGTGGGGCTGGAAAAATTGGTTTTCTACCTGGGGAAAATGAAATTGGATCCCTGACTCATTCCCTACCAGGGTTGATGTGAGTGCCCCCAGCTCTTCCTAGAACTGGGCAGTGTACACCCTGCACTTCCACGTGTCATGGCCTTGAACCTTAATAAAAATACACCCAGATGGAGTAAGGTTTAAGGTAAAAAACAAAACTGTGAAACTCTTGGAAGAAGAAATATCTTTTCACTTTGAGGTACACAAGGATTACTAGACAAGAGCCCAAACAGCTAACCAATCACGATGCAACAATTTGAAACATTGGATTACAGTAACATTCACTTCTCTTCATCAACAAACATCATTAACAGAGTGAAAAGACACGCCACAGATTGCAATAAGATGTTTGCAATACATAAAACCAATAAAGAATTAGTATCAAGATTACGTAAAGAGCTCCTATAAATCAATAAGAAAGGACAAACAATAGAAAAATCAGTGAAAGGCAGGAACAGGCATTTGACACAAGAGGAAATATGTCATCCACAAATATATGAAGTGATGGGGTTGACCTTGGAATCAGAATGATGCAAATCAGAGCCACAAAAAGATAGTATTTATACAATAATTATACAATGAACAATATTTTGTTAATTTTCAATTAACAATAATTAGGACACCTTGAGAATACCATACTAGGTATGTAGATGAATGATATCTCTTATACATTGTTGATGTCCACTTTGGAAAGCAATTAGGAATTATCTTGCAAATTCAAACTTTCACATACTCTTCAATGAAGCATTTTGGCTCTTTGATACATCTTAGTCCTAGTGCAGCATAAGACATGTACAAGAATATACAGGTAGGGAGAACACAAGGACACAGGGAGGGGAACAACACACACTGGGGCCAGTTGGGGGGTGGAGGGTGAGGGGAGGGAGAGCATTAGGACAAATAGCTAATGCATACAGGGCTTAAAACCTAGATGATGGGTTGACAGGTGCAGCAAACTACCATGCACATGTATACCTATGTAACAAAACTATACATTCTGCACTTGTCTCCAGAACTTAAAGTTTTAAAAAAAGAATGTACAGGTAGCACTGTTTGTAAAACAACGAAATGAAACCAACTCAAGTGCCCATGACAGGAGAAGGAATACCTGAGCTAATGCAGGATATAGTTTGTGCAGTGGAATATAATGAAATAATGATGACGAATGAACCACAGCATAAGCATCAACATAGAATATCAAAAGCACAATTTTGAGTGGAAGAAGCAAGTCTCAGAAGACAACATGCTGTAATGATGCTCTTTCTATAAAGTTCAAACACAAGTAAAACTAAACAACAGTCTACGTAGGCATAAACAGATGTGATTTTAAAAGATGTTTTAAAAAAGCAAAGAACATATCCACTAGGATGGCTTTAATCAAAAAGACAATGACAATGTTGGTGAGGATGTGGAGAAATTAGAACCTTATATATTGCTGGTAGGAATGTAAAATGGGGCAGCTACTGAGGAAAACAGTCTGGCAGGTCCTCAAAAATGTTAAACAGTAAGTTTATGACATAGAGTTATGACGTGACCTAGCAATTCCGCTCCTAGTATATACACTCCTAGGCGTATACCCAAGGGAAGTGAAAAAGCATGTCCATACAAAAACTACTACCTGAATGTTCAAGAAACTTTTTTTTTTTTTTTGAGACAGAGTCTTGTTCTGTCCCCCAGGCTGGAGTGCAATGGCGCGATCTCAGCTCAATGCAACCTCTGCCTCCCAGGTTCAAGCGATTCTCCCTGCCTCAGCCTCCCAAGTAGCTGGGATTGCAGGTTCCCGCCACCATGCCCAGCTAATTTTTGTATTTTTAGTAGAAGCGGGGTTTTGCCATGTTGGCCAGGCTGGCCGCGAACTCCTGACCTCAGGTGATCTGCCCGCCTTGGACTCCCAAAGGGCTGGGATTACAGGTGTGAGCAACCGCACCAAGCAAAGCAGCACTATTTATAATAGCTCCAAAGTGGAAACAACCTAAATGTCCATCAACTGATGAATGGATATGCAGAGTGTAGTATATCCACACAAGCAAATACTATTTGCCAGTAAAAAAGAATGATTTACTGATTCATGCTACAACATAGATGAACCTTGAAAGCATGATGCTAAGTGAAAGAACCCAATCACGGAAGACCACATACTGTATGATTCCATTTATAATAATGTCCAGAATAGACAAACCCATAGTCAGGAAGCAGATTAGTGGTTGCCAGGGGTTAGGGGAAGGAAGGAATGGGGAGTGACTGTTAATGGTACGAGGTTTCCTTTTGGGTTGATGAAAATGATCACAGATTAGATAGTGGTGGTGGTTGCACAACTCTGTGAATATACTCCAATTCACTGAATTGTACCCTTTAAAAAGATGAATTGCATGAATTATAGGTGAATTATATCACAATAAAGCTGTTCCTTTTTAGAGCAAAGAAATAAAAACACAAATACACAGCAGTAGTTATGTCTTGGGGGAGAACCCAGATAGATGTACATTGTTGGTAAACCTTGGGTTTACTGTTGTCTTCATGTCTTGAAAAAAGTCAATAAATGTCTTTTTCTTCAACAGGTTATGATCTTGGCCAATACCAAATGGCAGAATTTCAGGGCAGGTTAAATAACATGTAGGCTAAGGATAAAGGGCAGCGGGTAGCTATGGTTAAACCTCACTCCCAAAAAGGGAAAGGGTGAAATGAAACCTTTTTCATTTCCAATCTCTCTCCTTCCCTAGTGGTCCTGGCTTGGTCTCACCCATGTGTTTGCAGTGATGGCAGGTGGGACATTTGTAATGAACGGGGACAGTGCCTCAGGTGCACAGGCTGCCCTGGAGGGACCGGGCTGGGCGGCACTCCTCACCTGCTCTCTCTCCTGCACCTCCGTCAGCATCACGATAGTGTGGGATTTCCATTCCCAGATCATCCTCCAGAAGTCCTCAACCGTGTGTGCCAGTGGCCCCTGGGTGGCGATGAAATAGTCCTTCTGTCGGTAGCCCTTCAAATGGAGGCGCAGAGGTTAGAGTCTGACTTCCTTCCATCCTGGCTCCATTACCTGCTCCCTAAGTTTAGGACAGCCTAAGGCCTAATGAGGAAAACTCTCTCATCCTCCATGGTCTGCACCAGACCCCAGTTGGCACGAGCACTCAGGCACACACCTGACAAGCAGGTCAAGAAGCTCGCTTATCTGAAACCATAACGGCCACCGTCAGCCCCTGAGGTCATCAACAAATGGGTATTATGAACTGGTAGTTGCCTGTGGCCACCTGAACAGCACCTGGTGGCTTAGATTCTAACATGTTTCTGTGTGTTTCAGCTAGATCAGCATGGAGCCCACCGGATTCTGGTACAATTTTCTCATCTGCAAATGGCAATATGAACACACACTTGGCTGCCATTCCCCCTTTTGCCCTTCTTCTGCGAACTCCACTGTGCATGAAGACAGCCTCTGTGTGCCCTGAACACATAATTGTATTGTCCACGTGGGTACACATTGCAGAAATCACACAAGAGAAAGAGCACAGAGGCAGTGGATATATAATTGGTGTGTAACAGATATGTAAAAGAAAAATAACTATATATTAAAAGCAGAATGAAAAAAGAGCCAATTACTTAGCAGCGAGTCTATGTCCTTCTATTTCCAAAGTCCACTTTTTTTTTTTTTTTTTTTTTTTTTTGAGAGGGGGTCTCGCTCTCACTCTGTTGCCCAGGTTGGAGTACAGTGGTGTAATCTCAGCTCACTGCAACCTCAGCCTCCCGGATTCAAGCAATTCTCCTGCCTCAGCTTCCCAAGTAGCTGGGATTACAGGCACCTGCCATCACGCCCAGCTAATTTTTGTATTTTTAGTAGAGACGGGTTTTGCCATATTGGCCAGGCTAGTTTCAAACTCCTGACCCCAAGTGATCTGCCCGCCTTAGCTTCCCAAAGTGTTGGGATTACAGGTGTGAGCCATCGTGCCTTGCCACTTTTTTTTTTAAGCAAGTAATTCTGCTAACAAAAATGGCTGAGTTTCTGGAAACATGTCAATTCTTTCTCATTGTGAAAACAAGCTAATCAAGTCTGTGGTCACATGTGAAGGAAACACATCTGCATAAACACAACCCAGGCCAGCATACGTACGTCTATGAAGGATGCGTTGATGTAGTCTGTGTATTCTTGACCCCTTTTCATGGAAAGGATCACTCGGTTGAAGTCATCTGCAAAGCATTATCTTCCTTTAGTTATTACAAAAAGGGTCCCACCTTGCTAACTTTAATCCATTGCTACAAGCTTGCAAAATATAGATCCTATTAATAAAATCACTACGTAAAGCCAACTCTTTGGAAAGTTTACGTTATGAGAGACGATAATTAAAGTGGCTCAGGGGTATTTTTCTTTTTGAAGGAAAACTCTGAAAACCACCCAATTATCATTTTCATTTTTCAGGAATCGATATAATACATACCAAAATACAAGCACTAAAAATATTGCGCTGAAGGAGTAAATGGAATGTGGCCAGGCAAGCAATCTAGAGTGGCCAGCAGGACACCGGGGCCCCAGAAAACCAAGGGCCAGAGTCTGAAGATGGCAGCACCCCGGGGAGCTCTACTCGCCTGCAGTGCTCGGGGAGACCCTGCTGCAGCAGGCCTGCTCCCAGCTGTTTCCAGATGGTGTTTGTTGAGCTGTGACTCTGTCGAGGACAAGTCTATAACGAGGCACACCCTCCTCCCAAGCGGGGCATCTCCCACCTCCCTCCCTAGTTCCTCGGATCCCTGTGGAGTCTGCTTTGGGGCCGGGTTTCTCAAGTTTCTCTTTTTCCCACTTGGTGAGCCTCCCGATTCCCACTCCCCTGCCCACTGCATGTGGCCCTGTCTTCTTGCCAGCTTTGCCTCCACTCCTCCCACACCTGCCAGGTCCTCCTTCCCTCTCCCATGACCTGGGTGGCAGACCAGTGTCCTGACTCTACCCTAGGCCCATTTCTTGTCCTCCTCAAGGCCACAGCCTTTTCCTAGGTGGTCTCAGCTGAGTTCACCTGCATGGCCTCGGCTGGGTGGCTCAGGCCCCTCTGTGTAAGGGGGAGGCGGGCCTCTGCCCAGGCTTGGGGAGACAAGGAATGAGACAAGGAATCCCAAGTCGTGCCTGCCGCAAATCTCCAGCTTCTGTGAAGCCCTCCCCTGAAATCAGCCTCGGCTGCCCTCCCGCATCTGCAAGCTCATATCCGAAGCAGCTTGCCTGAGACCCATGCAGGACTGTCTGGGTCAGCTGGTGCTTCACAGGTGTCTTTTCTACCTGACATTTGGTACAGCACACAGGAGCCCTTAGCCTGAGGCCAGAGGACACCCTGCTTTTGACCCTGGTGCACAGGGGTAAGCGGTCAATGGCTTCTCCAGGATGAAAGCCTCCGGCACCAGCCCCGCCCCAGCCCTGCCCAAGCCACGCCACGGGTGCCTTACACGGGATGATCTGGATGACCCTGGCCTTCTTCATGTTTGCCGGCAAGTTGCCCGTCCTCATGTTCTCCTTCATGATCCGGACATTTGTCAATTTCTGCAGCAGAGAAGGATATAATGACACAGTTAAACCTCTGACACTCCTGAGCACATTGCTCAGCCGAGGACTAGTGCTGCTGGCAAGGACGCCTGCTCAAAGGAAACCACTCTCCAACCCAGGAAGCCTCCTTAGCATTGGGAAATACAAATGTGTGCCTAGTAGGGCTGCTATGAGGCTCTGAAAGCCACCTGATCCTTCTTCCCTTGTAAATCATGGCTCAGGTATTGCCCCTGCTTTTTCTGAGGTCAGTTAAGGGGCAAGTGATTGAAAGAGGCTTCCTTTAAATGGTCACCTGTTTTCCTCGTGCCCTTGGCTGCTTACACCAGGATGGAGAGGAGGGTCAGCTGTACTCACCCTGAACTCCTCCTCCAGCCCGATCTTGTCGAAGTGGGTGGTGGTGCCGTGCATGGTCTGCAGGTGCTTCTCCAGGGAGGACACGTCCAGCTCTGTGTCCCCGTAGAGGTAGTACTCGAGTAAGGCTTGGTAGATGAACGTGTACTGCATCTGCAGAGAGGCCAGGGGTGCCCACACCCTCAACTCTGCCCTGCAGTCTTGGCCCACGTGGAGCTTGGCAGACCAAAGAGGGCGGCTTTCTTCTTTTTCTCTTTTTGCCAACACAAGGAGGTGTGAGGCAAGAGTCAGAGTACCGGCCACGGATAACGACCATTTATGCCCTTGAGTAAGGAGAACGGTAGCAGCAGAGCCTCACATTGGTGAGCACGCCACGCACTGTGTACATGCACCGTTTGGGGGAGTAGGATTGCCCCATCTCACATGAGGATACGAGGGAAAGATGAGGACGAGGGAGTCCCTGAGGTCCCACGCGTGGGCAGGGAAGGCTATGGGGAGCGAAGCCAGGCCAGGCCCAGGCTGGTTGCCACGTGCCCATCAGAGCCAGGGCCCTGCACACCTGTGTGGCGAAGGCATCGGGTTTGCTTTGGGAAGCTAGATCAGGGCAAGAGGAAGGCATGACTCACATCCGTTTGAACCATCTGAGGGCGCTGATTACGGATTCGAGACACAAATTCAAACACATCCACCTTCTGCTCCGCGTGCATCATGGCCATCATGGCATCGATCACAATGAAGGTGCCCGTCCGGCCCACGCCCGCGCTTTGGGGAAAGAGAAAGATGCTGCGTCGTGAGTCACACTCCTCCCGAAGTAAATGAAAGGCCCCGAAGGGGCCTGCGCACCCAGGTCACTGGATGCAACTTTTTGTTTTTTTGGTTAATTAGGAGCAAAGCTACAGTGCAGCCACCAGAGGGAGCTGTGGTCTCAGTAAAGTGATCTCAGGCCGGTCCTCTGATAGCCACCGACACTCTACTAAGAGGCACATTAACAGCTGGTGCAGTAAGCCTCGGATTAGGCTGTGTGGAGAATTTTTCTCACTTACCAAACAGTGTCTTCTTCTTATATGTGTGATTGGCATCCTAGATCTGTCCCCCTGGGAGCAGAGGGACCTCAGATCAACTATGCAACAGCTCTGGTATCCAGCCTCCCTCTCTGTCAAACTGGGCAAACCAAGTCATCTGACTCGGGGCATTAAGTGAGGTGGCATCTGTCAGATTACTGTTATCTGACCCTGCAAATTCTTCCCAGTATGAGCTACACTGGAGGGTGGGTGGGGTGGGGTCCAGCCTCTGCTTGGCCCCAGCAAGCGAGTGTTGCTCAGACTTGGGGAAAGCCCGTTCTTCGGGGGTTCCTGGACGGCTTCTCGTGAACACCTGCATGACAGGTGCAGAGCGCCTGCATCACTGCGTGCAGGTGGCTTTTGTCCCTGGCAGTGCTGTGATACTCAGAATGAACCTGTCTGTAACAGATGGAAACTTAGTATCTAATCAAAGTGATACCCTGGTGAGGCCAATCACTGCCAGGAACAAGTGGGGCTCTCTGTGGACAGGGGGTTGTGGGGTGGCCTTGGCTGTACATTTGAGTAATTCTTCATGTTGTGCAAAGCCCACCCAGATGCCAGTCACAGGCTCCGCCGAGGCTGTCCTTCCCATCACAGGTGAGGAAACCGAGGCTGAAGTGGCAGCTGGCGAGGGGCAGCCTGGTCCTCGGACCCTGGTCTCCAGGACAGCGTGTTCTGGAAGACTCTGCTGTGGGGGCCCATCTGAGCATGGTGTGCTCTTCCATAACGACTTGTGTGTTGTTGGGGGGCTTCCTGTAGAAACCAGGGGGCTTTCTCTCATTTCCATCTTGGTTCCCAGAGGTGACTTGGGATTCCCGGGGAGAGGTGAGGGCGGCCAAGCAGACCTGCCCAGAACTCCATTCCCACCATCAACCGGAGCCTCCTGGCTTTGGTGGGTTTTATCGACTGGGATGAAGAGGGGGCTCTCTGAACATTCTCCTGTAGGGTTCTTGGGGCCTGGCTCAGTCACTGACATTTGTGTTCACATCAGCCCTGCCCAAACCTCTGCCCACCCTGATATTGGTCCCCTGGCATTGCCCATGAGGATGAGTCATCCCACTGTGGCCTGCCCTTGAGGGTCCCGCCCCGTGGCCCCCACAGCGTACCTACAGTGGACCACGATGGGCCCAGCGTGCACGGGGTTGAGCGTCTTTACTTTCTTGAGGAACTTCAGCATCCCAATGGGGGTAAAAGGCACTCCGAAGTCGGGCCAGCTGGTGAAGTGCAGCTGTGAGACCAGCCTGGGGGCTTTGCAGCCGTCGGGGAGCTGCTGCGGGGGACGCGGGGAGACAAGAGTGGGTGAAACAATCCTCCCCCTGCTCCCCCAGCATCTCATTCTGAGGACGCCGCCGTGGGCTCCCCTGTGCTGGGGCTGCGTAGGGGAGGGGCCCATCCACAGAGGGCCTGCCTGAGCCAGACAGCCTGGACCTTACCCCTGCCGACTCTGAACATGTGCTGCTTTTGGGGCCACAGAACAGGGCCCGCAGCAACCGTCTATGCCCAGGTCAGGCAGGGCCCAAGCAGCCAGACACATCCCCAAAGTTGGTCTGTGTGCTCACAGACCCCCGTGCAAGCAGGGCGGCCATGGCCCATCTTGCCTGGACAGTCCCACCTCAGGCCGGTGGTGCTGAGTAATCACCAACAGCACATCCTTCCTTGGGCAAAGCTGTCTTACATTTGGGAGGACAGATGATGCAGTCGGCCTGCTCTTTGGAGTCTCCCAGACCTGCCCTCAGAGCCTCTCTCAGCTTTTGGACCCAGAGCCCATGAGTTTAATTCCCTTGCCCAGATCACGGAAGGTGATACACAGCGTATTTGGAAGTAGATGTGTGTGCATGTGTGTGCACATGTATGCATGTGTATGTGTGCATGTGTGCGCATGTATGTGTGGGTGAATGTGTGTATGTGCGCACGTGTGAATGTGTGCACATGTATGCATGTGTGTGCATGTGTGAATGTGGGTGCGTACACGTGTGCACCCATGTGCGTGTATGTGTGTGTGCACATGTGTGAATGTGTGCATGTGTGCACGTGTGCGTGTGTGAATGTGTGTGGATGTATGTGTGTGCACATGTGTGAATGTGCATGTGTGCATCTGTGCGTGTGTGGGTGCGTGTGTGTGCACATGTATGCATGTGCATGAATGTGTGTGCGTGTGTGCATGTGTGTGCATGTGAATGTGTGTGGGTGTATGTGTGTGCACATGTGTGAATGTGTGCATGTGTGCATGTGAGTGGGGTGTGTGTGCACATGTGTGTGTGAACGTGCATGCATTGTACGGTTGTGTGCGTGTGTGTGCATGTGTGTGCCTGTGTGTGGGTGTACGTGTGCATGTGCATGCATGTGTGTGGGAGTATGTGCATGTGCGTGCCTGTGTGTGGGTAGGTGTACGTGTGTGTGCCTGTGTGTGGGTGTGTGTGCATGTGTATGCCTGTGTGTGGGTGTATGTGCATGTGTGCATGTGTGTGCCTGTGTGTGGGAGTATGTGTGTGCGTGTGCATGTGAGTGCCTGTGTGCGCCTGTGTGCACATTTCTGGGAGAGATGCCAGCAGGGGATAGGATAAGAATAATCAGCTCATCCTTTTCCTTTTTTGCTGTGGCTTCTTGGAACCTCAGACACTTATTTTGTGACCTAATTATGCCAATGACTGTATCTTTAAATCCTGACAAAATGGTCTTCTGTCTTTTCTCTATGGTTTTAAACTTTCTTCTATATCTTGATTTCATCTGCTTTGCATACACATATTTTTACTGATCTCTCTCTTAAACCTTTTGGGGTGGTGGAACTAGCAGAACCCAAGTGTGGAAAATAACGAGGAGGTTTCAGACAGAATTCGGAAAGTGTTAGAAAAAAACCCCACCTCCCAGTCAGTGTGTGAAATGTCACTGTGCTACTGAGGGAGGACCTCACCCCCAGGCCCCTCCAATGACTGGTCTTCCTCCTGGAGAGGCCCAGAGGAGTCACTAGGAATTAGGAGCCCCCAGCACTGCCTGCAGACCCTTGTGCACCGGCCTCTGGTGTCTTGGCCCTCTTGCATGTCTGCCTATCACAGCCTGGCCACTGCACCCTCTCAGCCAGGGCTGCGACAGTGCCGGGCTGGGAGCAAAGCACTTCATAAATGCAGAAGGATGTTAACTCTGGGCATGATGCTCTCTGAAAATGATCTTTCTGGAAGGGCAGCAACTAGAGATGCTTACTGGCTGTATGCAGAACTTCCGGATGGTGTAGTCGACCAAAACCACGCAGTCCTCCACGCACACCCGGATGTTTCCATAGGTCCAGCAGCCTTGGTCGGGCCAGTACTGATGGCACTTTTCCTGCACGGAACAATTTAATAGAAGCAAATAGATCTGTGGGTGCAATGCATCATGACATCCCCCCACCCAACTACAGAAGGCCTCACACACACCAGCTGGAGTCACACAGCTCCCACAGCTGAGAAACAAGTTCACGTGTGTCGACCTCTTGAATGGGGAAACTGAGGCTGCGTAACTGGTGAACAGCAGCCTTGAAACTATGACTAGGATGCCCCAAGGCTTTCTGATGTAGACAGCAACAATGTCTCATTTCTTCATTCATTCACGAATCCCATACATTTTATTAACTGACCATCAACCAGTTATGCTGAGCCTGTAGCCTTCAGAGCTGGGCACCTAACTCCAAGTGACCCTCAGGCTAGAGGGCAAGGACGGTGCTCCCCCCAGACATTTCCCACTGGATTCAGCAATTTGTGTTTTTCCTGCTCAGTTCACTAAGGACAAAGTTAATTTGCACCACTGCCAGTCTGCCATTCAAGAGTGATGAACCTATGATTGGTCTAACGATCTTCATTTTTCTCTAGCAGGGACGAGGCTGCCGTGGAGTCTGCAGAAGAGGGTGCATTGCTACAGACAGGCCCATTTCTTTACCTTCCCGACCTCTGAAGCAAGAATGACCCAAAATACACGTTCCAGGAGCCCTTTCATTTTGCAGCACCGCCCGCAGCACCTGCCCGGTGGTGTCCTCCATCACTTCGCGAGTGAATGAGGACCCACCTCAAGGGGGAAAAGATCTACTTCATCTGCCAGAGAAACATGTCTGGAATGGAACAAGCCTGCCAGTAGTCAGAGAGTATATCCAGGGAATGGCCCCTGAGCAGCACAGCTCGTGGTCAAGCCTCCAGGATTAACAGTCTTATGAAACAAACAGCATCTGGTATTTAGTAGAGAGCAGCATCATTGTGTTATGACGGCTACCGACAACTTCCCCCTCCTTACACCTGGCTCCGGGCGGGGCTGCGGGGCTGTGGGTCACAGGCCATCTCTGATGCAGCCCAGGGGAATTGCAAATGCCTACATGTCCCGGTTTGGGTGAGTCTTGGCCCTATGGGGAGCCCTGGGGTCCCTCCTGAGCTTCTCACCTTGAAGGCTCTCCAGTAGGAACTGAGAACATGTGTCAGCCTCTCAAGGGCTCAGTGTTGGTGGCTGGTTTTATACCCCCTCCCTCTGCCTCCCTCCCACCCGATCATGAGATGCCAGGGCAGCTGTGTTTTGCAATGCAGAGCCCAGGATGTGGAAGCCAAGGAAACCACAACAGAAGTGTGAGCAATTAAGAAAAAGGGAACTCTATTGAGAAATGATTTCATCTGAATTGGTGAGAATGAGGACGCGGCAGCAGCCCAGCACTGAGTCACAGGAGTGGAAAAATCCAGTAGGAGGTTGTGGGGGAAGATGGAGAGAAAATGCCAGTGACACTTTCAGCAGAATGACTGAAAGAGGGAAGTGAGGGCGTCCTTGAGCCCCACTGCTTCTGTGCTGGTCTCATGCTTGGAGCACCAACCCCAGGAAGACTGGTCCCTATGGGCCATGGGTCACGGGGGACCCTGAGGCTCCTGATGAAGGGTCAGCCTCCTTTTCCCTCGCGTGGGTGTCCTCCTCCATGGCCGCTACAGCGCAGGCAGAGTGAAGAGTCCTGGGCTGGGAATCCCCTACTTCCCTCTGTCACTCTTCCCTCTTCCCCATGACAAAGCATGACAAGGGCAAGATTTGCAAGGGCAAAGGGGTGGCCCTCCACAGTCCTGTTTCAGCTCCCCCCAGAGCAGAATGAAAGCCTCCATCCTATTCCTGACCAGAAACGGTGGCTGGAGGCTGCTTCCTGTGTTTTGGGTGGCAATTAGTAAGCTGGCACTGCGGGGACCAGAGCACCTCCCAGCCTGCCCTTCCTGTGGGCTCCTGCCACCCATCTTCTGCCCCAGCTGAGCTCCCCAAGGCCTGGTACTCCCATCTAAAAATGGCAGCCCTTCCCCACAGTCCTCGCTACAATGCCTGGGAACTGCTGGGGCCAGGCCAGCAGATGACTGAGGAGCTCAGGACACAGCAGGCCCTGAGCAGGGCCGGGCAGGACACACGGCTCCCACTGAACCGGGCCTTCATGCCAGAACACGCCAGAAGCACAGCCTCCTAACTTCGCCCCACCTGTGGTAAGTGTCCCTCAGGCTCCCAGTTCTTCTTTCATTCTGGAGAGTGAGCTCACTGCCTATGGCATGGCTCCCTGCCTGTCACTCAACCCCACCCCCGCACCCAGGCTCCCCACAGCCACCACTTCTCAGCCCTGAATTTGAGCCCCTACTCCTTGCACCTGGGACAGAGCTGGCCCAGCACAGCAGATGCTAATGAGTACTTGTTACATTAGGAAACGAATCAGTTCAACTTTTCTTCTTTGTCAATGATTCAAATTCTTATAACGTACATGCATCCTTTTTTGAATTAGAAACAGCTAATTAAATATATTCGGATGACAAATCAACATTTCTTCAATATACCAACGTTTTCCAAAAGCATTTCTCTAGTCTGGATAATAAGCGCGAAATCATGTTCATTTCTAGCCTGAGCTCTGCCGCATGACACGCTCAACATCCTAAAACTCTAAGATTCATGTCTCTCATCAGGCAGGCAGAGCCATGGGGCCAGCCGGGGGCCACTCTTACTTGGGAAAAAAAGGAAACTCTTGTGTCATTGTGTTATCACAGATTAGATAACAGTGAGATGCTGGGGACACAGGGGATTTGTTTCGTGAAGAAAATGCTGTAAGCCACTGCATGTGTTTGGGTTTTTTTCTGCAGTGATAGTGGGAGGAAGGGAGGGAAGTAGGAAAAGGAAGTGGTAAGAACATCCCCAGCCCGGCAGCAGCAGCTGAAAGGAAGTGATACCGGGGCCAGATGCCTGGAACTCACCTCTTTCCTTTCTTTCAAGTTTGTTAACATGACGATGGTCGCAGACTTTTGCTCCCAGACCATTCTCCAGAAGTCGTTAACCGTTTCCTGTTTGGGACCTGTGTGTAGAGGACAATTTCGAAGTCAAAAGGCATGAAGGGAAGTCCCTTTGGGGTCCCAGCCCCGGCACCCTGGCCGTTGGCCCCTGGACAGCTGTTCACTCCCTTCTCAGGCTTGTTGGGGACACACACGTCATGCCCTGAAGCGTTCCGGAACCGGTAGGGGCTGCCTGTCCTGCCACTCACCCACTCCAGCTAGGAACTCCTCAGTGGGCAAGATAATTGGGCCCAGGTTGAGTTATGACGTTCACAGGTAAGAAGCAGGGTTCAGATGAGGGCTGGGTCTACAGCCAAGTGTGGGAGAGCTGGTGAAAGCCTTGCGAGAGGCAGAGACTGGCCAGCCTCACCCTGCATTCCCAATCCCCTCCTCTTTGTCAAAATCTTACTCTCAGCATGGTGCTGTCCAATACGATATGAGCTAAAGTCCCTCGGGAGGGGGATGTGAACAACAGACAAAGTGTCACTAGGAGAAAGTCCTCTGCCCCTATCCACTTCCTGTCTGAGCTGCGGCTATTTTGCAGTCCCGAGCTAAGTGCTACGTGCTGAGGGGGATGGGCGGGGAGATAAGGAAGCCCCTGGCCCTGCTGCTGTCCTGCCGTGGGCTAGCTCCCTGTGGGTGTCTGCTGGCAAGAGAGAAACACATGCTTTCATCTGCTTCAGCCAGGATCGTCAGGTTTCCTGAGGTTTCCAGCTGGGCACATTCCTGATGGCCTCTGCGTGTGCACATGTGTGTCCTTTTTTCTTAGAGATTCTGCATTTGTAACAACTTCCCAGGTGATTTTGATGGACGCTGACTTTCAGAGCTCATTGCCCTAAAGACTCCTGGCCTAAGAGTGAGGAAGTCTGAGGAATCTGGTTTCAGCTCCACTGATATCTAACCGCACGTACACCAGGTCCTGCAGATGACAACCTCTGGTGGAACGGAGTGATGCTGGATTCAGTACTCAACACACAAGGTAGCCCTGTGCAAGGTGAAGGGCACGTTTTCACAGCTGAAGTATATTCTTAGTTATGGCCTTGATCTGAAAAGCTATTCACCCCACTAACCCCTCGCCCAAACTTGGGGAGCCATGTAGGGCTCAGCCAGCTGAGAGAAATTCAAGGTTATCTGACGCAAGTATTAACAAGCTGGAATGGCAGCCGGGGCCATTGCGTGCCCTGTGTTCACACCATATAGGTGTGGGAATAAGTGTGTGTTTCTCTGACTACACATATCCGTTGTGTGAATGGATATCTAACGTGTCTGTTAGGTGTAAACACACACACACAAATCCAGTATAAGTCCTTGGTCTTGTTGGCATACAGAGAAGGAAATAAGAGCTATTCACGTTACCAAAAATACGTTGAGAAATTAATAAAAAGCTTACCTTGAGCTGCTATGAATTTATTCTTCTCTTTGTAACCCTAGAAAAAATAACATCAGATTTATATTTTTTCAGAATTATCTTTGCTGAAAGGATTTGTTGGTGTTGCTGTTAGGAAAGCAGTACATATTCACCATGGAAAATTTGCAAAACACAGGAAAAGGTTAAGAAGGAAAGAAAACTCACCAGCAATTCCAGAAATAACAAATCCTACTTCATACGTCCCCTCTCTAGTCTGTTTTTCTGCCAAACCTTTCCCAGACTCACCCACAAGCAGACATGCAGACATTTCTGTCCTCTAATTGGGTGAACATGTACAATTTATTTTATGTTGTATTTTTAATGGGAATTTTATAATTGATATTAAATGATCTTTTAAAGATTAATACAAATCAAGTTCTAATAGTCCACTGCACATGGTTTTACCACAATCTGTTTAACTACCCATGCTCCCTGTTCTATTTGGTCAGGAATATACATAATGCTGTAGTGAACATCCTCTGTGATCATCTCTGTCTCTTGAATTCAAATTCCCAGATGCTGATGCCAGTGTGTAAAGCACGGGCAGTTCCGTACCCTTTGTGCTTGTGGCCAAACTGCCCAGAAAGGTTGTGACAATTTACACTCCGGGCACCAGACAAGAAAGTGCTTACTGCTCATGCCCCAGCTGGGCCAGGGGAACAAGAAACCTCTGCCCACTTACATCTATGTAGGAAGCATTGATGTAGTCTGAACAGGGAATTCCATCCAGTTGGCTCAGAATCACCCTAGAATGGTCATCTGGAAAAAAAACCCAAACAAAGCCAAGATATTAGGACCAGGAATCACAGTGCTGTCTCTTCCAGAAATCACAGTGCTGTCTCTTCATCTGCAGTGTCAGCTCCTGGGAAGGGCAAAAGCAGCTTCACAGCGACACCAGGGATGGCAGAGATGTTCTTCCTCAGCGTTCCCATGGAGAACACTAGTGTCCTGAGAGAGAATGCACCTGCTTTGGTGAACACTGACTGTCTCAGCTGTGGCATGACGACAAGGGTAGGATTTCAGCATCCAGGATGGGGGCTGCTGGGTCATTACATAGCAAGAATAGCAGAATGTGCCAGGCCCCTGGCAGTGCAAGGGCTGTATTTTATGAACCCTGCACTGGGCCCAGCCCCAGTGTTGCCAAGTGTGGGTGCACTTAAAAGAGCCCCAGGACAGGAGAACTGGGTCCACTCTCCCAGGCTTCCCAGGGAAATGAGCACCAGCCCCATGAGGACAAGTGGATGTGGGGGTCTAGGATTGGGGACTCTGACCCTCAGTCCCACCACCGGAGTCTGCCCCAGAGCTGGAAGGCGAGCACAGTGAGGAGCGTCTGGTAGATCCAGCCTGTTGCACAAGCAGTTTTCCGGGGTAGAAGGCTGACCGTGGAGTGCTCTGTGTGTGGGGTGTGTGTGTAGTGAGTGTGGTGTGTGTGTATTGTGTGTGTGGTGTGTGTGGTTGTGTATGTGTGTAATGTGTGGTGTGTGTGTGGTGTGTATGGTGCATGTGTGTAGTGTGTGTGGTGTATGTGTGGTGTGCATGTGTGTAGTGTGTATGCTGTGTGAATGTGTGCATGTGGGTTTGGTGTGTATGTGTAGTGTGTGTGTGTGTGTGTGTGTAGTGTGTGGTATGTGTGTGGTGTGTATGTGTGTGGTATGTGTGTGATATGTTTGTGTGGAGTGTGTGGTGTGTGTGTGGAGTGTGTATGTGTGTGCGTTATGTGCGGTGGGTGTGTAGTGTGTGTGTTGTGTGTGTGTGTGTGCATGTAGTGTGTGTGTACACACACGTCAGGGCTCCATCATGACTTTTGTGGGTTGTAGTCACTTCTGCCTTTGCAGCTTCCTCCATAGAACTATTAAGAAGGTTATCTTAGGACTGGGTTGGTCGCCAGTGAAAAGATGCACTCCAGAATGGGTTTTGCACGTTTTGTTTGTGATTTGAAGAGAAATGAAGACATTTTCATGGGCTTCTAAAAGTGCTGTGGGCCTGGCCCTGCTCCTCCTGTAACCTTTCCCAGGAACGTCCGGCTCGGCCAGGCTGGGACCAGGCTGGTTCTGAGGACGTTTATGCTGCACTGGGCACAGAGTCTGGCATGTGGTAGAAGCTTAGGGTCTCCTTCCTGAGTCATTACTGAGTAACTCTAGGTCCTCTCCCTGCTTTCTCTGCTTAGTCTCTGATCAGGGTGGGTTGTGTTTGTGGTGTTTGTGGCGTTTGTGATGGGGAGCCGGGCAGCCCCCAGGTCATGCCTTGTTTGTCTCACCTTCACCTGGAAGGCTGCCAGGTGGGCCACGGGCTGGTGGCCTGCGACCTCCGATGGTTGAGCCAGCTCTGTCGGGCTGCCAGCAGAGAAAGGGCGGGTATAGCTCTGAGAGACAGTCACAGCCCACACAGGGTGGCCAGGGAGTCAGACCCCAAACTTACAGTCCTGCAGACCTCACTGTGAGACCCTCCTGCTCAGGGACTGGCAATGCCCAGGCAGAAATAGCTCTGCTGAACACATATAACACTAGTTGAAAATAATTTGGAATGGTTTACGCTTTGAGGACAGCTATAGAAAAGCACAGGGTAAAATATAGCCTTCTGCTTAGATTTAGAATCTTGCAGTTTCTAAGAGCTTCCTGTCTTTTTATTCTAAAAAGTCACACTTCACATTCAAAACATTATTTCCTAAAATTATCAGCTGTTGGCACTTTTCCAGAAAAGAGGCCTAGCTTGCCATCTTTCTATAGTCTTTCTACAGGCAAAAGTCAAGCCTGCCTGACATGCAAAGCACCTTGACCTCTGACCCCAGAGCTCCCCAGGGCCACATGCCTGCCCAGAGCCAAGGACCATCTTATGACTCTGGTAAAAGACTGGGAAAGGCAGGGAAGGTGCCAGGGGCTGGGGAAGTTGGGTCCCTTCTCTCCTCTCCCCCAGGTGACTCTCAGTCCCACCCTAAGTGATACTAGGGGCTGGGGAAGTTGGGCCCCTTCTCTCCTCTCCCCCAGGTGACTCTCAGTCCCACCCTAAGTGATACTATGGGCTGTCACCCTGGGGGCGGGTGGAGCAGCCCTGAGAGCTCCCTGCCCAATGTCCCTTCAGCCTTAAGTCTTCCTGATGGCTAATGCCAGATGCCACCCCATTGATCCTTGCCAGGCCACAGCGTCTCCATGCCACCATTCTGTAAACCCATCTTTCCACCCATGTGAGAAGTGCCACGTCCTGGTCCCCCAGTCCCGGGCAGCTGCGTGGGCCCTGGGGTTCCCATGGTGTGGTGCTCCTGCCAGGAGCAGGGGAAAGATCTTACAGGGGAATCTAGAAAAGCCCATTCTGAATCTGACTACACTTTCAGGCTTGGAGGAAATGCCAACTGACTCCAGCAGCACAACCTGGAGAACGCGGCTCAGAGAAGACTTGAGAACGTGGCTCAGAGAAGACTTGCAGTGGGTGGGCCCGGCCTCTTCCAGGTGGGGGACTCCCAGGTGAGGCCACTGCTCTGCCCTGGGCCATCACACTTTGAGAAGGGGACTGGGTGTAGGTAATGCCCACACTTGGCCATGATTCTGCTTCCACAGAGGTCCCAGCTAAATAGTCTTAATTAACAATGTGATGTTACCTTTAAGGGATGAAGGTTTAGTGATTGAGAGAAATGAGGAATTCAGGAATGTGCTTAGCACTGAGCGGTTTCTTAACACATATGGTTGGCAAATCAAGGCACAACTTAAAACCACTCAATTAAGGTAATAAATTAAGCAGTGAAACTAATTTCTAAATATCCCAAATTTGACACACATTATTCCAAAGATCTCAGACCTCCTCCTGCCATGGCCTTCCTTTCCTTTGAGCTGCTCAAGCCATGTAAGTTGCCTCCCCTCTTTCTGTGATATCTTCTACCCATTGGCAACAAATCCTCTCCAAAGTGTGCAGCATCTAGCCATGTCTGAGCTACTGTCAAGGCTCAGCTGTGTGGCCACCACATGACCTCCTGACCCATCTTCCTGGTGTTGCCTTGGCCACCCCTACACATATGTGTTGAATGAAAGACTATTTGATGAATTTCTCCCAGTTTTCATTGGATCATGGGTTCACAGTGGGTTTTGTGAAAACCACATATCAATCCCACGCATGTAAAATGGGACAGAATTATTTCTAAAAAGTGCACAGTTTGGACAGACCACAGATCGGACAGACCATAGCTGCTCTGACATACAGAGCAGATGAACTCAATTCTAGTCCTAAAAATGCAGCAGGGAGCAGCATTCCGGGGCCCACATGGGCTGCCTTCCTCCATCCCACCAAGGCCCTGGCAGGGTGGGATGGACTCCCTTTGTGGACCAGGCGGAGGCTGCAGGTTCGGGATTTAAACCTGAACTTAGTGGAGCCCTTTGAGGATGCCATTTTGTTAGCCTGATGGGCAAAGCAGATGATGGGAGGGGCCCAGGTGAAGGATCCCCAACTGCACGCCCCGCCCCCCTGCTGCTGGGCCAGATCTTTTTTTTTTTTTGAGATGGAGTTTCGCTCTTGTTCCCCAGGCTGGAGTGCAATGGCGCGATCTCGGCTCATGGCAACCTCTGTCTCCCAGGTTCAAGAGATTCTCCTGCCTCAGTCTCCCACGTAGCTGGAATTACAGGCGTCCACCACCATGCCCGGCTAATATTTTGTATTTTTAGTAGAGACGGGGTTTCACCATCTTGGCCAGGCTGGTCTTGAACTCCTGACTTCAGGTGATCCACCTGCCTCGGCCTCCCAGAGTGCTGGGATTACAGACATGAGCCACAGCACCCGGCCCGGGCCAGCTCTTACAAAGGCGGTTCAGAACCTACAGGGTTTGTCTTGGCACCAAGACAGGCTGTGAAAGCTGCCCCCAGGTCACGACCCATCCAGCTGGAGCAGGTCACCGAGACGCACCCCCGCACACATCCGTCTGCTCTCTGGCCCTGCCACCTCCTGGCACCCACGCTCCCCAGCCCATGCCCACTTGTACTGCTGGGGTTAAATCAGGTCGATTCAGAGCCTTCCTACAAAGCTGCTGCCCACCTACAAATTTCGTATTCTATTATTTTTGTCATTGGTCCAGGACCCCAGACAACTCTAGGGATTTGCAGCTTGTGGTCACAAGCACTGAGTCTGAGGGAAGGGAGCTGCCCAGGGCCACTGGCAGGCCTAGACTGGGTGCCAGGCCTGAGTTCCACAGGAGGGGCCCTGCCAGCTGGCACCCATGGCCACGAAGCAGCACCCTTACCCGCTGGGCCCCAGGCAGCCCAGGTCCCAACAGTAAGCATAGGCTTGGCAGCCAGACCCACGAGCAACCAAGGTACCCAGGGCCTGTGCAGGGAGATGGGCACCTAAAGAGGAACGTTCTGGAGTCCTAGGTGCAAATGCTGAGCAGTTAGACTGATTTGGGGCCTCTGAGCACCAGGAATGGCCTGCAGTCACGGGGAGCTGCAAGGCAAAGCTGAGTTTAGTGCAAACACCATTGATCATGCAAAACATAAAATAAAATCTTACTGGGAAGGATGTTGGGATATCTGTTTTTTTCTCTGTTTTCTTCTTTATTTGCCAGTTCAAAAGTTCCTTGTATGTGTCCAGATGGCAATGACTGGAAGAAAATGTAGCATTAGTATGAAATGTGATGGATTCAAGCACCATGCTCATGTCAGTTTCCCTACTGAGCACAGGAATTAATGAAAACACGTGGAGCAAACTACCTGCTGTCCATAGTCCGTCTCTGCCTCAGACCTTGCACCAGGCATGGGGCAGAGAATGAAGGAGACACAGACCCTGGCTTTCCCCAGGGTGCTCTTTCATGTGGGGTGAACAGTGGTGTGGCCAAAGTGATGGTCTCATCAGCCAGATCCTATGCTGCATGAAGGCGGAGACTTGCCTTTGCATTTCCATGGTATCTCAGGGCCCATGGACCCTGGCCTAGAGCAGGTGCCTATGATTTGGTAAGAACTGACTACGACAGAACTGTGAACCGGGAGATGGGGGAGCGAGGACAGGCATGCGGAGGGTTTACAGCGGGATGCTGTGACTTTGGGGCTGAAGGATGAATAGAGCGGTCCTGGGAGGCAAGGGGCGGGAAACAGCCTTAGATACAGTCCTGATCTTGCTTAAGACTCCAGGTGTGCTCTGTGGACCAGTGGCTTGGGCACTCCCGGGAGGGTGCTTGTTAGAAATGCAGATGCTCTGTCCACACCCCAGACCCACAGAATCAGCACGAACATTACCATGATCCCCAGGGCTTCAGTGCACACGTCTTTGGGAAGCACCACGCTAACCAACTCCTTTGTCCCAGTCAGGGAAGTCAGGTGTGCAAGGAATGCCGCGGGGCCCCTATCCCCTCTGAGCAGCATAACCGAGCGTGAACTCTGGTGGCCTGCATTCTAGTTCTTTCTGCCGCCTGCAGCCGCCATCTCTGATTCCTGGTCATCTCCAGCTGTCTCCTGCGTCTGCTCGCTGCTCAGGTGAGCTCCCCACAATGCACAGTGTGAAGAGCCTCTTGAAGCCCTGAGTCCTGTCCTTTGACATTACACCCGACCAGCGGCTGGACCCGGGGCCACTGGGATTCCAGTAACATGCATGAATATGCACTGAGTGTCTCAGTGCGCCAGGTACGGTGGAAGGAGCTGGGTCATCTGCCCCAGCCTTTGCAACTCACCTATCATTAGGTGATACTAGGATGGTCCCCGTTTTATGGGTGAGGAAACTGAAAGCCAAAGCGAGGTGTTATAGATTTGTCCAGGGTCACCCAGCAAGCAAGGGGCAGGAGCCTAGAGCGGCACCCAGACTACCAGGAGGATGTTCACTTCTTCAAATGTAGGAGAATGTGAGGGGTCCCGCTGCAACTACCCAGGAGAGCAGAGCAGGCCTCACTGCGTAGCTTTGGATCCAAGCCGTGCAGGCCTGGGCTTGCTCACAATGCAGAGCACAGCCTGACCTGCCACCCACAGGTGTCCCGAGTCTTCCTCTCCTGAGGGCAGGAAGCTTCTCCAATTGCAGACTCAGATCTGACCAGCTGGAGCTCATGGTGGGGCACCGTAGGCCGCCCTCTTTCCTCTGCTTTGGGGCCACCAAACCCCATGGCCACAGGTTGAGGCCCTTCCAGGCCATGGGGTTTGTTGGTCCCAAAGCAGAGGCAAGAGGGTGGCCTATGTGGAGGGACCTGTCTGGCGGCACTGTGGCAAGGGTGATAGGTGGTTCTTGGCCTCATCCCCAGCCACCAGCACCTACGCCGCCTGTAGTTCCTGATTCTTCATCAGGGCTATCTTAATACTGACCTTCTTGACCTAATCTAAGCCTGACATCTGTGGTAAAATTCTAGAGCCTTCTCTTTTTCTACCCGCAAAAGCTTTTTTTGGCCCCAGCACTGAAAATACACGGGAGGCATGATACCGGATGGTGGGTACATGATACTGTGCATTCGTCAAAACCCACAGAATGCGCAACACACAAACCCTGACGTGTGGACTTCTGCTAGTAACAACAGAGCAGTGTTGGTTCATCAATTGCAGCAGTTGAAACACACAAATGCAGGAAGTTAATAATAGGAGAAACTGCTCACAGGGGAGGAAGGGGGCATATGGGAACTCTGTACTTTCTGTGCAATTATTCTGTATAGCTAAAACTGCTCTAAAATAAAGTCTGTTAAAAGATAAATTAGGCCAGGTGTGGTGACTCACACCTGTAATCCCAGCACTTTGGAAGTCGAGGCGGGTGGATCACCTGAGGTCAGGAGTTCAAGACCAGCCTGGCCAACATGGTGAAACCCCGTCTCTACTAAAAATACAAAAATTAGCTGGGCATGGTGGTGGGCGCCTGTAATCTCAGCTACTTGGGAGGCTGAGGCAGTAAAATCGCTTGAACCTGGGAGGCGGAGGTTGCCGTGAGCCAAGATTTCACCACTGCACTCCAGCCTGGGGGACAGAGAGAGACTCTCTCTCAAAAAATAAATAAATAAATAAATAAATTAAAAGAAATTGAGAAGGCTCCCTGGAGGGATTGGATGGCGAGGATGGACCAAGCTCTGACACCCCACGGTTGCGTGTTCCTGGCAGCTGCAGAGATCCAGACCATGGAGATGGGGCGTAGCCACCCAGATGCACAGAGGGTCAAAGTTGAAGTGGGGAGGGGCATCGGGCCCTGTGCACCGCACACGTATGTATCCTGGATCCAAGTGCACAGAATAACCACCCACATGGACTCTGCAGCCCTTTCTCTGGCTGTCAGTCTACTGGGGTCTCAAATCTCTGAGCTGCTCAGGTGGCCCAGGGGAAAGGAGAGCACCTGGAGGGGTCTGCACACCTGGATGAGCCCTGCAGTGTCTTGCTTGGGGCTTGCTCATAGTAACTGGCCAATAAATATTGTGTGATTGGCTGTCCCATTATGTAAATTGTCCAAATTGTTTGTGGTTTGTCTGTTTGAGGTGAGATTTCATTTCATTTCTTTCCTTTTTTAACATTTTTATTTTTGAGACAGGGTCTCACTCTGTTACCTAGGCTGGAGGGCAGTGGCGCGATCTCGACTCACTGCAACCTCTGCCTCCCGGGTTCAAGTGATTCTCCCACCTCAGCCTCCTGAGTAGCTGGGATTACAGGTGCACACCACCACGCCTAGCTAATTTTTGTAGTTTTTTGGTAGAGATGGGGTTTCACCATGTTGGACAGGCTGGTCTGGAACTACTGGGCTCAAATGATCTGCCCACCTTGGCCTCTCAAAGTGCTGAGAGTACAGGCATGAGCCACCACACCCGGCCTAGAGATTTCATTTCAATGAACTCATGAGCCACGTTCCTTTCTCTCTCCGCTCGGTAGTGTCGGGCAGGCAGCAGGAGAGTGTACAAGAAGCTAGGTGTGGGCAGTTCTGCAAGAGGCCCCAGCTGCTCTATGGAGCTCCAGGGAATGGTTCTGGTTTGTTTGTTGTGCTGGAAGCTTTGCGGTTGACACCTCCCTCTGCACTTTTACAGCACGTATCAGTGTGTTAGTCCTAGGCACTTGGCTTGACATAACTTGCTAGGATGGAGGTAGGGACGAGCCTGTCTGAAGCGGGGGATTTTCCTTGGCCCAGTGGTGCTCACTTTCCAGGACTTACTCTGGGGCCTGGAAGCAGACTTTCCTAGGATGGTGTTCTACCAGTGCAGGGTGGAGATTGCAGAGTGCGGTCTCGTAAGGATTCAGTTGCATGTCCAGGTTATCCAACCTCATGTCCATGTTATCACAATCCTATGGGGGGCAGGGAGTATCCTCATTTCATAGATGAGGAAACAGGCAGAGGTTAATTGCCCAAGCTCTCTGAGCCGGGACAAACACTCAGGCCGACTCCAGCATTCACTGTACTGACCCCAATATCAAATCCTTTTCATCCCCACCAAGTTTGCCTGCACTTTGAATTGGCAATGCACACATGTCAAAACTCAACTGGATCGGCCACTTTGAGACTCTGGTGTCTCCCTTTCATGATTTTGGGGAGAGGAGCTCAGATCAGACGGCAAGAGAAAAGAAAGATGGGGTTGGGAGCATGTCCCTCTGAGGACCCAAGAGAGAGCTGGCCATGGCAGGCTCCAGTGCTCTCAGAGGACGGGTGCTGCATCAACGTGGACTCAGGACATGGCCAGCCCTTCACTGGACAGATGAGCAGAAAAGCACAGCCTGGACATCACAGTGGGACCCCATCTCTACAAAAAAAGTAAAAAAGCCAGTGGGCATGGTGGCACATGCCTGTAGTCCCAGCTACTTGGGAGGCTGAGGTGGGAGGATCACTTGAGCTGGGAGGTTGAGTCTTCAGTGAACTGTGATCAGGCCCCTGCACTCCAGCCTGGGAGACACAGCGAGACCCCATCTCAAACAAACAAATAAAACAAAAATATGACAAAAAAGCAGCTCCCCCAGGGTTCCCCAGACACAGGATCAGGCTCCGTGATCCTGACTTTGGGTCCAGTGTTCTTCCCCTCCACCGCGTCTCTACCCTGCCTGTCACTGAGCACAAGGACTCCAATGTTCAGCCAAGGGCCACCCAGTGGCAGAAGAGAATGAGGAACTTCCTCTGGGTGCAAAATTTAATGGGGTGCCCCCAAAATTCAGAAACCAGGGGAAATAATATTCGAATGCAATATTTTTAAAAGTCCAAATCAAGGCACAAAATCTATGATGACCAAAATATGAAACTTTTAACTAATGGCAGGATGAGTAGCTGTGTGGTGACAAGCCGTATGTATCAGGGCCCAGGGCAACAGGGAAAATCAGTCGGCCCAAGCCTGTCTTCCTTTATGGTCGTGTTATTTTCTTCACCAGGGACTGCCTGTATTCATTTTGATATTGTATTTGTTACCTTTCCTGTGGTGCTGATAATTTTGATATTTTAAGTGTTATGTTAAAATATAATTTATCCCACTGCTGAGCTTTTGGTGCTGTCTTAAATTATGTGCCTGGGGTGAGTGTCTCACCTGCCCCACCCTATTCCTGGACTCCCTCCCTGGGAGTGGCCCCCTCTTTTGAGCTGGTTCTGACTCAGACACCCCCATCAGCAAGCCCAGCCCCTGTCACTTGGGGAAACAAAAGTGCAAGGGGAAATGGGATGAGAAGGGTGGGGGAGGGGATCTGCTAGCTGAAAACTTGGATAGTTATTTTGAAAATGAGAATTAAGGTCTGTTGTCAGGCTGAGAGATTGCAACACAATAGTGCTTCAAGCTGTCTTTCAATATGACCTAATTTCTCCAAAAAAGGGGACACATTTGGAAACAATAAAAAGGAAGTAAGATAAAGGCAGAGGAGGCTTGCACCAAAAAACAAGCAATGTACAGTTTACATGGGCCACCACCTTCCCATGCCTTCACACGTTGCTTCTGGGTAAAGTCTCATTTCTGCAGCAGAATTCATGCCATCTTCAGATATAACAACTGCACAACACTGTTGTTTACAAAATCCATTGTCTGAGCCTCCCATTCCAACTTCAAGGTAATTAAGACAGGCCCATCTCCATTGCCCCTTCCTAGGTGGTGGAAGACAGCTTCAAGGAAATTAACTGATGTGCCAGGGCCAGCACGCAACAGGCATAGCCAGGACCAGTTAGCAATCCTGCTGAAAATCTATCCTCTTTAAGATCAACACTTAGCACAGCCACATGCAAGAAGGTGAAGATGCATAAAATTCAAAACACGACCAAGGATAAATACTGAATAGCAAAATCCAAGACAATACTTCCTCATATCTGTTTGTCTACTTCTCTATCTGCCCATCCATCCATCCATCCATCCATCTGCCCTCCCACTCATCCATCCATCATCCATCCACCCATCCATCCATCCATCCATCTGCCCTCCCACTCATCCATCCATATGCCCTCCCACTCCATCCATCCATCCATCCATCCATCCATCCATCCATCCATCCATCCGCCCTCCCACTCATCCATCCATCCATGCATTCATTCATCCATCCATCTGCCCTCCCACTCATCCATCCATCATCCATCCATCCATCCATCCACCCATCCATCCATCCATCCCTCTGCCCTCCCACTTATCCATCCATCCACCCACCCACCCACCCATGTTGATACACAAGCAGATATAGCTAGTGTTCTCTCAAGGCAGCTCACAGCTGCTTCATTAATGCCGAGATGGTGGTTCAGAAGAGGAACATCGCCTACTCTGATTAGGTGCTCCAGCTCTCAGAAGCCATGAAAGGATGGTTTGGGGCTCTGTTACTTTCCCCATGATATTGTCATACCGTGCCGCGCTCAGGTCCTAGCCTTCTGTGTTATCGAGATAACAGTGTTTCTGCCACAGTTGATTTTAGAACTTGACACTCAGAGTGGGGAGGTGTAAGGAGGCTTCACAAACCTCTAACTCAACTGTCTCATCTTATAAATGAGGAAATAAGCATTGGCAAAGGGCACTGCACCACACACCAGGTTTCCTCACACGCCCATTCATGGGACAGTGTCATAACTGATGCAAGGGTTCTGAGTCTTTGGGATAATTCATCCTGAACTCTAACACTGGATTTCACAGGTCTCCACCACAGGGCACCCAGCAGAGAGCCCTCCCCACACTCACGTTGAACTCCTCCCGAAACTGCTTGCAGTCGTCGGCGGATCTGATACGGATCTCCTCCTCCAGGTGCTCCACGGGGATGGGAAAATACTTCTTGGGCCCTGAGGGTGACCTGCTGAGCAGCATCACCCTTTGCTGCTCTGTGGGATCAAAAGAAACATGGGGGCCATTTAGCCACATTCCTGGATAGGCGACTGAGTAACCAAGCTGACCAACGACATTCCTGAAGAAATGACCAGGCTGGAGCTGGAACAGTTCTCTCAAATCGCATAGCTGGGCTAAGCCGGGTCCCGAGCAGCTGTATCCAAACACTCGCCTCCTGTGAGGCATCCACATCATTTACAAGTGACGGGCGTCCCTCTGCCCAGTGTCACCTGCTCTCCCCCATTGGAGACAGCCTGTCCCCCTCCCGAGGCCACTCATCCACCCACCCTCCCACCTCTCCTTCCCTCCAGCCCCTGCTCCTTCCAAAAAGGATTCAAGACGGCCTCACTCTCCAGCTCAGCTTTCCAGGTTTGGAAATAAGAAAGAGTAATTACGGCTTCTGGGAGCAAACTCAGAACGTTCTCTCTCAGCCTTTTCTTCTTCATAACAAATATTCCTGGTTCCTCAAACCCCATAAGCTCCAAGGGAAAACCACCCTTGTCTGGGGAGGGTGACAAGGGGCATTGAGAAGGAGAAGTACGCGTTATAAGGGAGTTCTTGGACACATTCCTTCCCCAAGTTCGGAGTGAGAGGCAAGAACAGTTATGGACATGTCTTTCTCTTCCTGGAGAATGAGCTGATATTGACAAGGTCAACATGATAACCCAGCTGTCACACTTGCAAAAGGGCCTGTCCCCACCTGCAGAGCCATTCTGAAGCCCAGCCAAAAACTTCACCCAAGACTCATTCCTCCAAGTGACAGATGGGATCAGAATGAGTGATGCTGAGCTTCCCTGCTACTCACTAGCCGCACCCTCCTCCCTTCCGTTCCTGCTATTGAAACATTCAGGGCAGGGAACCGGGGACTGGAACGAGGGCAGGAAGACAGCACCTGGTGCCACATTATCGTCTAACCAGGTCTCGGGTCCCGCGAGCGCTGGGAGGCTACATTTCAGCTGGGTCCTTGTTGGTGATATTCTTTTAATGATCTAAGGGTCCGTTTTAAGAGTCTATTTTAGTCTGACGGCACGTGTGTTCCCCCAAACCATAGAACTGACTACAGTTAGGTAGGAAGCTGACTCCAGGAAGTTGTAGTCACTGGGGTGTGAAGCAATATTTTTGTGGCCTCTGCCTTACACACGTTTCTCGGTCATCTCATCTCTATGTATGGAGAGAAAAACAATGTTCCTTTGTAAGTAGCGACAACAAGTTCGAAACTGTACTTCGGATGGAAAAGTTGGAAATGCTCCCAGCTGACTCTGATGCTCTGTAAACATGAAGCACTTCAGGAGAGCGAGTCTCTTTTTCCAGCTGGATCCTAAAGCAGTACAAACCCAGCTGAATAGTTTCTGAGCCAGACAGTCTTATCTGAGAATGATTGTAAGGCCTCACTGAAAAGTGTTACATGTCAACACCCTGTGAAAACGACAGGATATGAACAGTCTCTCTAAAAAAAGCCACAAACAAAAATGTCTCAAACGTCCATGTCACACCCGAGAGAAAAATGATCCTTAAAGTTTTGAAATAGTGAAATTCTAAATGACAGCATCATACCAGGTAGAGTGAGATGAAAGTGGCAAGGCACACCTCAAAATTTACTTTGAACGTTAAAGGCAGAAAGCACCTCAGTGTCTGCTAAAAAAGAACACATTTTCCCCCAAGCCCCAGCCAGAGAGCAGCTTCTGTACCTTGCTCCTCCAAGATTCCGTTGGGCATCTTCTTGTCGCTGGTGCTGACCACAGCTTTCCTCTGCTTCCTGAACCTTAGAGACACAGGATGCGTTAGGTTTCCACACTTCTAGGTTCCCCGAGAGCCAACAGCGCTCGGCACAGTGATACCCACCAGGTGAGCCGGGAAAAGCTACTCCTGTTGCTCATGGCTGAGCCGCGCTAAGGCCTGGCCTCTGTGTGTCTCCCAGGCCCAGCCACCCAGCCTCTCAGCTGCCCTCTGCTGCACAGCCCACGCCCACAGCATCAGAAGGCTCATTTCCTCCTCTGAGCTGGTTGGGGCAAGTCAGTGCCCCGGGACACTCCTACCTGAAGAAGTAGGCGGCGAGAAGGAGCACGAGGAGGAGGAGCAGCAGCGGCAGTAGCAGCCAGGCCAGCAGCGGCTGGGAGGCGCCCGGGTCCGGAGGGCCTGCAGGAGAAGCAGAAAGACCCTAACCCCTGACCTCACTTCACAGTTTGCAAAAGAGTCTCCCTCCATAAGCCCTTCTTCCTGGACACCAGAACCCCAAACTATATTTTGTAAAGTGGATCCATCATCCTGAAAAGGCCCCACGAGGTAACAGAGAAGCGACTTTAGTTGTTGCTGTTGACTCAGAGAAAGAATCCGGGACTGAGGAGTGGGTGAGGTGACTTGTCCAAAATCCCTGGGGCAGGCATGACAGGGGTGAGTTCCCCAGACCCCCACACGGCCTGGCTGCCTGGCTCTCCTGCTAAGAAGCTGGAGAAGGGTGAAGGGGCCGGTGTCCACTGCAGGGTCCTAGGACAGCGCGGGAGGCTGACTCGGCGTAGCTCAGCTCTTAGGGCCCCTTGGGCTTGGGCAGGAGCTCAGGCACAGGGAGGCGGCCTGGCCCTGGGGCTGGGCAGAGGCCTGTGGCCCTGGCGCACTGTGACCCCACCTTTCAGAGCCTCCAGGTCCCGATTCCACCTGTCAGAGGCCGAGTGCCCAGCCACCACCGGCCTCTTACTGTGTCCTTTGTACCTGACAGGTTGACCTTCCTCACCCAGAAAGAGACCCACAGCCCCAGGCCCAGCTAAGTGGCTTTGTTGCTGCTCAGGACCCACCCCTGGCTCATCAGCCCAAATTCCAAGGGACACTGGTGGCCTCGCTGCCACCTTTGGACCCCACCCACTCTCCCAACGTCGCACTTTGTTCCTGCTCCTCCCCCGCTGGCCACACAGCCCCCTCATCACCAAAATGTTCCCACTCCTCGAGGACAATCTCAAAGGCCCCCACCTCCAAGAAGCCCACTGGACTCCTCTCTTGTGGACCCAGAGGGGCCCTGGATGCCTCAAAGCGCAAACCTCGCTCTGCCATGAGTGAACAGGCCTCAGCATGACTGCCTTGGCTCCCGGGTTTCTGGGGAAGCCCCTCGAAGGCAACGACCGGGCTTCCAACTCTTTAAGTTCCCAGAAGCACCAATCACTTGCCCTGAGCCCAGCGCAGGGTCCATGCGCTTCCTCCTGAGGGCTGGCACGGCCTCCCGAGGGTGCTCCGGGCACTGGGAGGGCTCCGCAGCCCCAGAGGCTCCGCTCACCTCACACCCCTCATCTGGATTCTAAAAGGGACCCTCATGCCTTCCGCCTTGCACCCTAGGTTATAAACTCCCCAGGGAAGGTGTGGCTTTTCCTCCCTCATCCCCTACCCTCCCAGGCCTGGCACTGACTCTGGCACCCTATGAGTGGTCCGCACCATCGTTTCTCATAAATGATGAAGTTTTAGGGACGTGGGTGACCATTAGATGTTGAAGTTCACAGAGGAAACAGCTGGTCTGTGATGCGGAGGTGGCCCCAGCCGTGAGAGAGGGCACTGTTCACCTGGCCCACCCACTAAGTGCCCACCTTCCAGGTGGGGTCCGTGCCTCCCCCATCTGGCTAGCAGTGTCAGTAGCCTGGCAGCCTGGCTGTCCTCTGCAGCCCCCACACTCAGGTGTCTGTGACCCTGGCCCAGAGGAGCTGGTTCTGGCCCCACACAAGGTTCGGTTGGTGCTAGGATGAGTGGCTGGGTGTGGCTGCCACAGTCCCCCGCCTTTGACCTCCAACCTGCCCACAGCAGAGCTTCCCTGGGGAAGTGAGCTGGCCTGAGGCTTCCACACTTGCAGCTCCAGAGAGCACCCCTCTCCACTCTGCCAGGGCCCTGGAGCAACTCCGACAGGCTGAGTGGGAAGACCCCTGACACGGAGGGAGGGGCAGCCTGGAGCCCAGCCCCACGGAGGGCCTGGCTGCTGCTCACACTCCAGACTCAGCCAGAAAGCTTGGGCCTCGGTCCCCCTCCTCCCTCTCGAATGTACCCAGGTACATCTGCCCTCATCTCCCGGGGCCCCAGGCAATGAAACTTCCCACTTCTGCATCACACAGAGGTCAGGCTCTGGGCTCAGCTTCTGCAGAGATGGTGACTACTAAGTTTAGTCCAAGCCAACTCATGGGGTCCTCTCATCAGAGAGAGACACGAGGGAGCACCTGGGCCCCACCAGCCCTCCGTGGGTCTGGCCTCCACGTTCCTGCCTGTAGTGAAGGCTGCGGTCACAGACATGGGTACTTCCATAGAAGACGGGGCTGAACCACCCAAGCCCAGAAAGGGGCCGTGCACACGGGCAGAAGGGATGGGTCACAGGGCCAGTGGCTTCCCCAGCTCTGTTCCTGGTGTTTCTTAGTAGCTACCTCTGTTCAGGAGGCCAGAGATCAGGATCAGAAACCCAATGGCCTTCAAGGGGCAGGTAAGAACATCCCTGGGTGGTGTGGGGAGGCCAGGTGGGGGCGAGAGTTGGGACTCCCCATGTCCTGCCTGCAGGGATGGCTACTTCTGAGTTCCAGCCCACTGGGGCCAAGCACAAGGGGTGCCCACAGTGCCTAGTTCTTCCCACTTTCCTAAAGAAGAAATTCATATTTTTATGTAAACATTTTCTGATTTTTAAATATTGGTAAGAAATTCAATTTAAAAACATTTTTTTTAAATGGTGTGGACCAGGAAGAAAACAAAAATATGTCCTCTGGGCACCAATGTGGTCCAGCCAGGAGTCAGGGAGTCATCTGAGAAGAAATTCCTGTCACAGTTTATTTTCATTTCATGTTATTGTGGCTCTGACGGGGTGGGACAGAGGTCAGGGTGGCCAGTCCCCAGGGTGGTCATCCTGAAGCAGCCTTCTTCCTGTATGACTGTCTAGCTATTGCCCAAAGTGAAGTGTGTGTATGTTCACACCAATTTTATACATACATACACTTGCAACTTGTGTGTGTGTGTGTTTGCTTACATAGAATCTGATCCTGAAAGTTGAAAACCTTAGGCTTGAATGTGACTTTGGAGGAGACAAAGAGAATGGCAACCTTGGCTGGAGTGTAGCCACCCAGCACCCTCTGCTCAGGAAGCTGATCCTGAGCTCTGGCCAAGAGCCGGGGTCTTCCAGGGACTACCTCAGTTCTGCCCCAGGGCACAGCTGCTCTCACTGTGTCCCCTATCTTATCTCCATCCCTCTTTTCCTCTCCCACCTTCATTCCAAGCCCTCCTTCCCCAGGGGCCCTAGAGGCGGAGCAAGTCCATACTGAAAAGATGTGGCTCACTCAAGGACAGGTGTGCAGACAATGGTTTAAGGTCCCAACTCACTCCGGCCTAAAATTTTCAATGTTCAGGAACCTGTTCTCTTTGCCAGAGTTAAACATAATTAAGATTTCAAAGCGTATCTTTCCTGACATTTTCTTCTATAAATTTACGTTCATAAATATGCAGGTTTGGGAAATAAATAGACCATACTACTCCTCTCGTTTCATCTACAGCTTCACGGACTGTAAAAAGTATCGTTATTTTAAGAACCACTAAGAAAGAAAAAAAATGATACTGATTATAATTGTGAAGTGCTACCAATTTTAAGACACGTCCCCATATAGCCACATTAAATATGAAAGAAACAGATGAAATGCACCACGGGGCAGTTCTCCAGCTTGCTTTTCTGGTACGGCTGTCTGTCTTGGAGAGTTTCCATGTCAGCCCAGATAAGCTTCCTCATTCTGTTTAATAGCTGCTTGGATTCCACTTTTTGGATAGACCAAAATAGGATGGACATTTAAGTTGTTTCCAACTTTTCTGCTATTACCTACAATTCTGCAACACACACACACACACATATATATCTTTGTGTCTCGCAAGTGTTTCTGTAGGACAGCTTCTGTGTTAGCCTGTACGCCTGTTACATTTTAACACAATTGCCAAGATGGCAGCCCCAAGTGTCCAACTTCTACATTCATCCACAGCGGAGGTCTCTAACTCCCCCAGGACACAGATGGATATCAGTCTGTGGCCTGTTAGGAACTGGGCCACACAGCAGGAGGTGAGTGGCAGGTGAGCAGGCATTATCGCCTGAGCGCCGCCCCCCGTCAGATCAGCAGCGGCATTAGATTCTTACAGGACCGTGAGCCCTATTGTGAACTGCGCATGCCAGGGATCTAGGTTGCGTGCTCCTTAAGAGAACCTGATGCCTGGTGATCTGTCACTGTCTCCCATCACCCCCAGAGGGGCCGTCTAGTTGCAGGAACACAAGCTCAGGGCTCCCACTGATTCTACATGATGGTGAGTTGTATAATTATTTCATTATATGTTACAATGTAATCATAATAGAAATAAAGTACAAAATAAATATAATGCACTTGAATCATCCCCAAACCACCCCCCACCCCAATTCCACGGAAAAACTGTCTTCCATTAAACCAGTCCCTGGTGCCACAAAGGTTGCGGAATGCTGCCCATAATGTGCGATGGAGCCAGTTTCTCTTCTCTGGGATATTTTGCCAACCCTTTGCATTTTGGTCCATCTGATAGGTAAAATGATAATGTCATTTTAACTTGCATTTCTCTAATTTCTAGAGAGTTGAGCATCTTTTCATGATTAGTGAAACATAATTAGATATTTGTATTCTACCTGGTCATATTCTCTACTCATTTTTCGACTGTGTTCTTTTACGTATTATTTTTTATAGATAACATTTTATTACATAATTTGTAAACATTTACCTTCAATTCCTTCTGTAAAAGAATTTGTCTGCATGAGTACTGAATATATTTTGTTCGATGAACAAATGAAACAGCTTCCTATTATTTTGGCACACTGTGGAAACGTGTTATCATCTGAAATGGTCCTTCATACTTCTTCCAGGGGTCAGATGAAGATTTAAAGGGCACTTCACAGGGTCAGGTTCCCCTCCACAATTCTAGGTCAAACGAGCCCGTCTGCGCCTTATAACCCGAGGCCCATTTCCCTCTTGCTCGTGGACCAGCAGCCTTGCTAAGCACGCAGAGGCCCTGGCAGAGGCTGGACCAAGGTGTGAGTTTCACATTTAGTTCTGCTCTGGGTGCTGAGGTCACATGACAGTGTCCTCCTCCTGCAAGTAACACCCCATGTCTATGGCAATATGTGAGCCCAATAATTTTGTTTTCAAATAAACTGAAAAGCCTCAGATGTGGAGTGGACGTCATCCTGCCGGTGCCCACAGTGCCACCCGAGGGACTGTCTGCAGAGCTCGGGCAGATTCTTCCCCACTGTTGCGCAAACGGATGTTCTGCCATTGTGGCTCCTGGATGTGAGGGTACATCCGGGCAGTTTGTCAGATGTTTCTACGTGGCCAGTCGATTAGCGTTGGGAAGAAAAGTCGGGATTGTGGGTTGAAATAACTCTTTGAACCACCAGTGACCTGCCCCTGAAAGGCTGGCTTGCAAAGAGGCAAGTTAATATTTGCGGGCAGCTTCTGGTCTCTCATTTTTGGGGTTTTGGATTTCTCTGAGGTTTCAACATGAAGAGGAAAAAGACAGGTGGGCGCTCAGAACTGCTCTCCTTGCTAGAGGTTCTGTCACCAGAAATCTTTACTCTTTCCTCCTCCTGGGGCCAGTGGTACATTTGCAGGACATTTGTCCAGGGTTTGCAGGACATTTGTCCAGGGTTAGGGAATCATGTGGGGCTCTTGATGTGACTTTGTTCACAAGCCCCCACCCCCACTTCCCTCTTGCTCTTTTCTGCATAAAGCCCAGACATCACAGTTCACTCGTGAACCCTTCAGCAGGCATGTCAAAAGGCAAGGACTCTTCTTTTTAAAAATAAAACTAACCATGACGCCAATATCTGACCTAAAATATTAAGAATAATTCTTTTTTTTTTTTTTTTTTTTTTTTTGAGACGTAGTCTCTGTCTGTTGCCAGGCAAGAGTGCAGTGGCACAATCTCAGCTCACTGCAACCTCCGCCTCCCAGGTTGAAGTGATTCTCCTGCCTCAGCCTCCCGAGTGGCTGGGACTACAGGCGCCCACCACCACGCCCAGCTAATTTTTGTACTTTTAGTAGAGACAGGGTTTCACCGTGTTGGCCAAGATGGTCTCAATCTCTTGACCTCGTGATCTGCCCACCTCGGCCTCCCAAAGTGCTGGGATTACAGGTATGAGCCACCGCACCCGGCCTAAGAATAATTCTTTAGTTCCTATCATTAACTGTCACATCGCCTCATCCATGTATGTTCATGGTTGGTTTTCTGCACAAGGGGATTTTGGGGGATTTTTAACCCTTTTGCACTCCTGCCTCCAGCCAAGGCTGACCCTGACTCTCAGCTGGGGTTGTAGATGGGTCACCTCCAGAACACTAAGCTTTGCTGAACAACCAAATGCTAAACTAGCTTATTTAGCCTGCCTGTTTTTAGAGGCACAAACTATTAAAAGCACACTAAGAAATTCAGCCACACCATTCTTCTCTTACCCTAAGCCCCTTTATCACCCTCTGAATGGTCCCAGGAGCTTAGGAGGAGGTAGTAGGGGAGGCAGCCAGGGAAAGGGGTCCTTACCTGAGGTCGTGGTTGTCTCGTTGCTGTCGGCAGTGGTCTCGTTGCCCCTGAGAGCCCTGGCGAGCGGCAAGCTAAAACCCACCAGCAGGAGTGGACACAAGGGCTCCATGGTGGACCTGCAGAGAGGCAGGGACAGGCTCAGAGGTCATCCAGCAGCAGCTGTGGGACCCTCCGGTGCCAGGCAGTGATGATGAGGAGAAGAGCCAACTTCATTTCAGGGCTTTCTCTGAGCCAAGAACTTTGCCTGTCACTTTCACGGATCATCTCACTGAGGCTTCTCAACACCAGGGGGATACAGTCACTGACTGTGGACATTCACTCAAAGGAGGGAACCAGGACTCAAAGGACCTGCTTGGTTGATGGTTAGTGGGGGCAGATCAGGGACTGGAACCCAGGGTGATCTCATCCCAGACCCCTGCCCTCCCTGGAACCACTTAGCAGAAATCACATCTGGGTGACCTAGCCTGGCATCCTGGACCCTCTACCATCCACCCTCCACTCGCCCTGCTAACTCTACCCCTCCCATTCAAGCCCTGTTCTCTGGCCACGCTGTCCTCTTCACACCCAGCAAGACACTGCTTTTCAATCGGTTTCTTCATCCCCCTTCACTCTGCCTGGGAAACCTCGATCCTTTCAGGGCCTAGTTCATGCAGCCTCATCACCCAGCTGCAGCCAAGTTCTCTGTTCTTCGCTGCTCCAGCACACTCAGTCTGACTCCAGCACACTCGGTCTAGCTCCTACATGCTTGGTCTGGCTCCAGCATGCTCTGCCTGGCTCCAGCTTGACCCTTGCATCTGACCATGGCCATGTCTAAACTCTCAGGTGAAGTGGAGGTAAGCTGCCTCTGCGAGGATGGAGCCACGGTCCACTCATCTTGACAGAGCCAATTGAGTACCCTGGGATGCAGGTATTTATTGGGGGTAGGGGGTGGGAATGCCCAGGGGCAGACCCAGATTGTAAAGTGGCTCAGCACAGAAAAAGGCTCTTTCATGCTGAGGACCTGTGGGCCATCACCTCAGATCTTCACCTGGCACTCCATTTTGCCAAAACATCAGAGCATCGCTAAATGTGGCAGTGACTGCTTGGTGCTGTGGAAACCCCTCACTAGAGGCTCACTGGCAGGTGCAGGTGGGCAGTGGCACCTGCTGAATGGGATTTGCTGTTGACAATGCAGACATGCAGTGGAGGTGTGGCCCCCCCACTCCCCACCCCCTGAACCCCGTCCAAGGTCAGCCTGTCCCCACCAGCAGCCCTCCTGCCTGAGGCCTCCCTCAGGGATGCAAATGGACCCATTTCAGAACTGAGGCCAAGAAACATCCATTCCCCGGCTGCTCACATGTTAAACACTAATGCTTGTAATTAGAGAAGACATCTGAATGAGCATGAAAAATCCTAATTGTGTTTCAGTAATCACCACTATTAAGATGAAACCATTATGAGGATATTATAACAATTAGCCCAGAACAACGACGATGGTGGCAATCAGCACTTTTACTTCTTCCCTCTTTTTTTTATTTCCAAAACACACATTTTAGATTTGTAAAATGAGCCACATACACAAATAATTCCATGAGCACCTACTATATGCTGGGTATTTTATATCTGTATTATCCGCACAATAACCCCACAGGGCTGAGAAACAGAGGTTCCCGAAGGATAGAGAACTGGCCCAAAGTCAGGCTGGAGGATATGGAGGAACTGTGATTTGAACCCAGGAACCCTGGAGACAGAAGCCCTCACCCCCGCTGCATGCTGCCCTGGCCCTTCTACGACAGGCAGCTCTGCCCACAGAGGCACACACTGTTTTTAAAAATCTGGTATTGCACACTGCCACAATACTTTTAATATACTTGAGTAAATTACAGAGTAATTGATTGGGGAGTATTAATTGGTTTAATACAATTCCAGAGATGCAGAATTCCTAGTTGAAACATTTTCTTATCTCATGCATTAATTTAATAACCCTCCTCTCCAAATGCTCAGTGATCTAAGAGGAGGCCGACACCCTTGAGAAAGACAAAGATCATTTTGTTCATCTGTTAGACACTGAGGTCCGGAAGTGCTCAGGAGAGCCACAGGTGATTTTCCTGACATGACCAGCAATGGGCGACAACCTGCAGAATTCAAAGCCTGTCCACCAGCTGGAGCCCGGGTCTGTCCCCATTTTTTATATGTATATATATATTTATACTTTAAGTTCTAGGGTACATGTGCACAACGTGCAGTTTTGTTACATATGTATACATGTGCCATGTTGGTGTGCTGCACCCACTAACTCGTCATTTACACTAGGTATATCTCCTATTGCTATCCCTCCCCCCTCCCCCCACCCCACGACAGGCCCCGGTGTGTGATGTTCCCCTTCCTGTGTCCAAGTGTTCTCATTGTTCAATTCCCACCTATGAGTGAGAACCTGTGGTGTTTGGTTTCCTGTCCTTGTGATAGTTTGCTCAGAATGATGGTTTCTAGCTTCATCCATGTCCCTACAAAGGACATGAACTCATCCCTTTTTATGGCTGCATAGTATTCCATGGTGTATATGTGCCACATTTTCTTAATCCAATCTCTCATTGTTGGACATTTGGGTTGGTTCCAAGTCTTTGCTATTGTGAATAGTGCCGCAATAAACATCTGTGTGCATGTGTCTTGATAGCAGCATGATTTATAATCCTTTGGGTATATACCCAGTAATGGGATGGCTGGGTCAAATGGTATTTCTAGTTCTAGATCCTTAAGGAATCACCACACTAACTTCCACAATAGTTTTAAGGCCAATGACAACTTGCCAGTCCCTGGCCATTCACTCTCAGTGGGCTTGCATAAGTGACCTGGTGAGCACAGACATGAATTGGTCCAAATGATGCTTGAAACAGTGATTAAAATCATGCTGGGCCAGACGCGGTGGCTCATGCCTGTAATCCCAGTATTTTGAGAGGCCGAGGCGGGTGGATCATAAGTTCAGGAGTTCAAGACTAGCCTGCCCAGGAAACCCTGTCTCTACTAAAAATACAAAAAAAAAAAAAAAAAAAAAAATTAGCCGGACATGGTGGCAGGCACCTGTAATCCCAGCCACTCAGGAGGCTGAGGCAGAGAATTGCTTGAACCCAGGAGGCGGAGCTTGTAGTGAGCCGAGATCGCACCACTGCACTCCAGCCTGGGCAATAGAGCGAGACTCATATAAAAAAATGCAGAATTTTAAGGATTTGTATTTCATCAGTTTCTGTTGTGAGCCTACCAAATGCTGAGTATGTAGAGCACAAATTGCATGTGATTTCTAGAACTGAGATGAGAAAAGGAGTTTATTTATGATAAAGCAGGTTGTATATTTACTCCCCTCAACAGTCAACCTGCTATCTACTTCATTATAAATCTGTCTTTTTATTCCATCTGATGTCTTTTTAATATTCTTCACTGGGCAAGTTCTTAGGTCAGGCAGCCAGGTAAGCCCCAGAGATGCAAAGAATATAGTCTTGTTTCAGCCCTAAAGTAGCTCATTGAGGAGGAAGGGCAGGCAGAAGAACAGCCACCCTGATACCCCACTCCCATGCTCTGGAGACAAGGCCATGTGCCAAGGAGCAAAGGTGAGGGAGCAATGATTCCTCTTGGCAGTTAATGAAACCTTCCCCAGAAATGCAGTGCAGTGAGTGAGTCATTCAGGACGGAAGGCGAGGGAGACGCAGGCCAGGGGACAGAGGAGTGAAGGGAGCCCAGACAGAACCCACTGTCCAGGCAGTTCACAGTTCTCTGGCATGTGAGAGAAGATGAGTGAGGAGGAAAAGTCTGAAGAGGAATTGGGTAGGTCCTCAATGCTATGCTAGATTTGGCTTGGCCCTAAGGGCTCATTTTCCATTAACAATCTACATTATTAGAGTCTCCTGGGGGCACTAAGGAATGATGCCCACTCCTGTGCCCAACTCCAGATGGAAGAAATCCGAGTATCTGGGGAATAATGGCTTTATATAGACTGAAGTTTGAAAATCTTGGCTACGAGTCATGAGCCGCCAGGAAAGTTTCCAAAGGGAGCCCTGGATGCTGCGCGTCAGCTCCTGACACAGGATAGCCTTTGCGGCCGGAGAGTGGTCCAGGAGCCCGAGCATCACCTGGGAGCATGTGAGGAATGCAGAGTCTCAGGACCATCCCAGACCTCCCACCTTTTATGAAGATTCCTCGGTGGTTCCTCTGCTCATTAATATTTGAGACGTATTGGTCTAAGCAATGGATTAAGAAAGACCAAGCCGGAGGCAATGGGAATGGAAAGGAGGGAGGGAGTTTAGAAGGATTTCAAAGGTAGGGTCCCTGGCAGTGGTGGTCAGTGGGATGTGGGTGATAAGTGGGGCAACAAAGGTATCGGGGTTTCCATCTTGGGAGCTGGGGTGGGAGGGAGCATCATTCATTAGCTGAGACAAGGACAATGGGGGCTCTAGGGTGGGGATAAGGATGATTTTTAGCTGGAGGCATAAGGCAATAATATAAGCTCCCAGTTACTGGGCTCCTATGAAGCGGGATAAGCTACCTGAGGTTCTGAGATAAATGACCTCATCAACCCTCACCGAAATCCTATGAGCAATGTCCTGTTGTTACTGAAGATGAAAGGTTGCATTAGAGAGGACAGTGGAACATTCCTGGGGAGACTGTCTGTAGGAGTTGCATCTGGGGTCTGGGGCCTTGTCAGAAGGGGAGGTGGGCTGCAAGTGCAGCGTGTGGGGGAGGCACTCCTTGTGGGGGTTATTGGGGAGGAAGGCCAGGGTCAAGGTGGCGAGCTGCAGGAAGTCACTGCACTAGGGCCCGAGGAAGGGAGCTCGGCAGGAGACTGGGAAAAGGTGGCTGGGCTCGGGGGAGGGCAGAAGGCAGGTCGAGGTACACACCCAGGGTAGGAAAGGGATTTTCCTGATCCCCGTCCACTTCCCAACATCCCTGCCTCCTCTTTTGGAGTGGTCCCCTCTCTCTCCTCACCCTTTACTTGACCCCACCAGATTTTGAGGTTGAGCGACCTGAGATGGAGTCCTTCCTGGCATCACACTGTCTGGCCCTGTGTAAGGTGATTTGGGTTTTGGACGTCTCAACCAGCCCAGGAGACCCCAGAGTGTAGGGGCTGTCTTGTGTCCCCGTTTCCCAGTCCCTGACTTTCTCTCCGGCACCTCAATAATTGGAGCTTTCAGGGCATTTGAGGGCAAGGGGCCATCCCTGGGCCAGTGCCTCTGAGCAGGAGTTGCCCAGCTGACCCCTCTGGCCCTACCAAACCCGAAAGTGCCCTTTCCAGCTGGCCCAGGATGTCCAGCAGTGGACTGACCCACACTGCCCCCTGCAGCTCCAAGAGGGTAGTGTTTTCTCTCTGCAGCCCGAACCCATCACCTACCTGGTCAAAACCTGCAGCTGTTTGGCTTTCAACTAAGAAACAGATGAGGGTTCTTCTCAAGGAAGCAGGAGACAATGATTTGGGAGCCATACTCAGGTTTCAAAGCCACCGCACTTAAAGAGAGCCCCTGGAATGGGTCCCATGTAATTTCTCATCCAAACCAGGACTTCTTGGAGAGCAAAGGAGGGGGCTAAAATGATTCAAAATATATGCTTCTCTAAAACATTTATTGACCAATGATTTGATTTTATTAAGCTGGGAGGCTATTAAGTAGTTCTATTCACAAAATATTTTTAAAAATTAAACAATCTTTCTGAAAACAAAATAACATATTTTGTGTGTGTGTGTGTGTATATATATACATATATATGTTTTTAAGAAAACTTTTTTTGGATGCCCAGGCCGACAGATCGCTTTGAGCTCAGGAGTTTGAGACCAGCCTGGGCAATATGGCAAAACCCTGTCTCTACAAAAAATACAAAAAATTAGCTGGGCGCGGTGATGGGTGCCTGTGGTCCCAGCTACTTGCTGGACTGAGGTGGGAGGATCACTTGAGCTTGGGAAGCGGAGGTTGCAATAGCCGAGATCATGCCACTGCACTCCAGCCTGGACAACAGAGCCAGACCTTGTGTCAACAACAACAACAACAAATAAAAATAAAAGAAAAAAACCTTTTTGTATTGATTATCTGAAAATAAAATGAGAACGTAAAATAATACTTATTCTCAGCACACATTCACAGGCTCTGATCAATTTCTTAGCCTTATCTGTTCCTAATATGTTTCATTCAATATATTTTTCAATGTTCTTATTCATGTTTTAATTTTTAAAATAAAATTGCCTGCATTTTTTTAGATTAGCATTTTGTGAGCTCTCATCATTTAATTCACTTTATTGCTTCCTTGTTTTTGTAGAAATAAGTTTTAGTGTCTTCCTGTTCATAACCTCATTTGTTTGTTTGAGGCAGAGTCTCACTCTGTTGCCAGACTGGCTCACTGCAGTTTCAACCTCCTGGGCTCAAGGGATCCTCCCATCTCAGCCTCCCAAGTAGCTGGGACTACAGGGATGCACCACCATGACTGGCAAAATTTAAGACTTTTTTTCGTAAAGATGGGGGGGGTCTCACTATGTTGCCCAGGCTAGTCTCAAACTCCTAGACTCAAGCAATCCTCCCGCCCTGACCTCCCAAAGTGCTGGGATTACAGGTGTGAGCCACCACCATGCCCAGCCATAACCTTTGTTTTCAATAATTTTAACTCTATAAAAGTTTCAAAAGCCAAGAGTTCTGTGTGTGTGTCGGTGGGGGGGGTGGTGTGGAGGGGAGGGTTTTGGGTGCTCCATTTATTGAATCCTCCCATAATATATTTCCAACTAGTTTGGAACTAAACTAAACTCACACTTAGGGCCTTGTTTGCAGAAAGATTCACCATCTTTTTAGGACACTTAGGTTTATTTACAAAATAATTCTTTGAAGGCCCGAACATTTCTAGAATCTGATTGATGATGAGCAGGAGAGAGAAAGTGCATACTACAAAGCGGCAGTGTTTTAAAAATTCAACATCAGCCTAATTACCAGGAATTTGCAGTTTAGTTACTCTGTGTACATGTAACTATTTATAAATTTTGACATCAACAGCTTCTATTTTAACTGATGAGATGTCCAATTTGGACACAATTATAAATGCTGTGAGGCTGGGTGCAGTGGCTTATGCCTGTACTCCCAGCATTTTGGGAGGCCGAGGCAGGCAGATCACTTGAGGTCAGGAGTTCGAGACCATCCTGGCCAACATGGCAAAACCCCGCCTCTACTAAAAATACAAAAATTAGATGGGTGATGTGGTGCACGCCTGTAATCCCAGCTGCTCAGGAGGCTGAGACAGGAGAATCGCTTGAACCCGGGAGGCGGAGGTTGCAATGAGCCGAGATTGTGCCACTGCACTCTAGCCTGGGTGACAGAGCGACACTCCATCTTGAATAAATAAATAAGTAAATAAATGATGTGTACACCATAATCAATTCCAAGTACAATACATTTACTACAAATGCCGAGCTTTACCCAAACTTATATAATCATATTCATAATTCCCCCACAAATAATTTTATCATGATGCTGACTCTTCCACTGCCTTTCCTGTGACATTAGTAATTAAGTCAAGGTCTTGCCTTTGACAGGAGGAACATCCAAGTTGTATTGGGATTCCATGAAATGAATAAAAAAATAAAATAAAACTGCTATGGGAATGGACTGATTTTGTTTGAAAATTCCTGCTTGAAAGTGACACTGATGTAACACTGGCATCATCTGATGGTTCGTGAAATTCTTCTACCCTTGGGAGCACTAACAGCTATCACTTCACCTTCTGTAAGCACACAGTGAAACCTGGAATTGAAGATGAGCAAAATTAGCTGAGAATAGTCGTTTGAGCTAAGTGAAAAGTCATGCTTTGTTAGCAGTTTGCAAAGCACCTTCAATTTATCATCCTCAGGTGCAGGGTTCTTCAAGCAGCCGCTTAGTGAATACTGATGATCTCTTAGTAGCTTTTTATTTCTTCCTGGCTTCTACGTGGTCAGCGACACCATTACAGCCCCCGAGGTAGTTAGTAAATGTTTATAAGTATTTTGTATAAATTACAAATTATACCAACATTATCATCAACTTTCTGGAAAAAAATCAGTGCTTGATATGCCTTTTCTAATTATTCCTGACCCACAAGTTTAAGGCAAATTCAGAAAGTTCTATTGAAACATAATTTAAATAGAGTTGCAGATTCACACCATATGATAAATGCCCAAGCCCATGGAAGAAGAGAGTTCAGACTGTTTGTTTTTTACAAGTTGTACTGACTTCCTGCAAATATTTCAAAATCCTCTACCCTGTAATTTCTCATGTTTCTGATAGGTGCTGATGACCATGGCATCTCACAGGCCATGGTGTGGGCCGCAGCTCAACTGGCTGGTGCCACAAGTGGCCAGCAAGAGTCCCAACCCTGAAGCCTCCTCCCGCCACACTGGGAGGCCAACGGGAGTTGGTTCTAACCCACTCTTCTCCAAGGGCACTTTTTCTCTTCTAACCTGCCTGTTGTCCTTGAAAGGTAAGTGTTACTGACATTGTGTTAGGAAAGGGTGGTGAAGAGAGAGAAGACGGTGGCTGTCATCTTCCGGATTTAGTCATGATTAAAGAGAGCCTGTTCCCTACACAGGTGTCTCCATCCTATGAGGAGAGCACAGCAGAAGCTTGGAGGCACAAGTGGACAGTCTACAGAACCTTCCTGGATTCTGTTAATGCAAGTATCATTTCAACATTAAAAGTTTAATTTTCAGCCAGGCATGGTAGCTCATGCCTGTAATCCTAGCACTTTGGGAGGCCAAGGCAGGTGGATCACCTGAGGTCAAGAGTTCAAGACCACTGTGGCCAATATGGTATAACCCCATCTCTACTAAAAATACAAAAATTAGCCAGACGTGGTGGCAGGCGCCTGTAATCCCAGCTACTCAGGAGGCTGAGGCAGGAGAATTGCTTGAACCCAGGAGGCGGAGGTTGCAGTGAGCCGAGATTGCGCCACTGCACTCCAGCCTGGGTGATGGAAAGAGACTCTGTTTCAAAAAAATAAAGGTTTAATTTTCAATTGCTCTAAGATGAAAAATATGGAGCAAATGTGAAAGTGGACAGGACACAGGGATAGCAAGCAGAAAATAGGGCTGTCTCTGTTGAAGAGGGAAATACGGCCCCCTGGAGAGAATGCAGAGAGAAGGGGTGGCGTGGTTGGAACTGAGCCCTGGGGCCCTCCAAGATTTAGATCTCTGACCCCTCTGTCATGAGACCTGCTCATATTTTTCCTTCTCTCAACAAAACACATATTGATTCTCCCCTTACTCAGTCTCATCCACATTTTGCTGCCCTGAAGATTCACACCTGAGCCAGGTAAGGAATGTAGCCTTGCTCAGGTCCGACTGATGGCTGCACCTGCCCGTCATCTGGCAGAGTCACACTCACAGGTACTTCATGGCCCCCAAAGGCCATTGCTCACTCAGAAGAGATGTGCTTTATCAGAGGCTACCTGGCAGGGTCGTGGGAAACATCAATATAGGAAACAGAACCACTGCCCAAAACACCCTGGCCAGGAAAACAGCAGGGCCCACACAACATGGCTCCACCCATCCGCCCTTGGGGCTCGGCAGTAATGGTGTGAAACAATGGAAGTGTTGGGAATGTTGGAAACAGCACAGCCCTCCCGCTGTCTCCCACTGAGAAGAGGGCACCCGGAGCTGAGGCCTGCAGCCCCTCCACGGAGCCTCCGCTCAGGGGTGTGGCTGACAGAGGAGACGCTGGCCAGCTGCACCCCAGGCCTCGCTGAGTACAGCCCACCCTGGATCAGACCTCCAAAAGTGATGATGACTGGACTAAACTTCTGTGGGTAGGTTTACGCTACACTTTTGATTTCAAAGAAATCCATCAGCTGCCAGTTGAGGGAGACTGTAGACTCAAGAGTACCTGCTGGTTGGCTTATGTATTCATCCATGCATTCATTCAGCATTGGTTACTAAGAGTTGACTGCCAGGATGTGGAGAGACAACTAAACAAGACCAACACTGCCCTTGGCCCCTCCTCCCACCTCCCCACTTCCAAAGCTTGCGATTCAGCCAGAGAGAGAAAAGACTTCAATAACTAGAATGCAACTGCCATGTGTTAGGCGGGGGAAGCACACGATGTGGTAGGGGCGCCCTGCAGGGTGCCTGCCCCTGTCTAGAGGGGTCTGGAGGGCTGCCTGGGGAGAAAGGGAGTCAGCCGGTCCAAGGAGGCTGGGGAGGTGAGGGAGGCCTGCAGGGGACAGAGAGCACAGGGCCCTGGGAACCCACAGAACCTGAATAGGACGCGGGCGACCAGGAGTCTCCCCTGGCAACGCCAACCCTCAGTGTTCAGAGATGTCCAGGAAGACCTTGCCGGCAGGATTATCCATGCACGCGGCACTGCTCAAAGCAGAGGCCAACTCTCATGCAGGTCTCTACCCTGGTGCCTTCTCAGAGCTGCCACAGAGGAGGTGCTCCACGGGTGTTTTTAAAGGAATCGCCATGAAGAAATAAGGTGTCGGGGACTGACACGTGGATTCTCTCCAGCACATCAACTCACGGCACTTTCTGAAGGGCCCGGGCCACGGAGCCTGAAGACCCAGCTGGTTCGACGTCTCTCTCTGCCTCTCTTTCTCATTAACTCTCATCCTTTCTCTCTCTCTCTCTTTCCCCTCCCTCTACCCCCAGAGGAGGGCCTTTTCCAGAACACTTAACCTCTCTGCGCCTGCTTCCCAATGAGTGAAACAAGAGAATCCCACGAAATCATAAATGAGTGAGTCTTGTAAACTGTAACTCATCAGGCAAGGGCTGGTTATTGTAACGGCGTGGCCCCGTTGTTCGCCAGGGCAGCAGCCATGCTGCGGGAAACTGCAAACTCAGCAAAGCGAACGGTGGTGTTTGCTGAGTGGACACGGTCTCTGCCACCAAGTCTTCCTGGGAAGGCCTCGGAGGGGTGAGGGAAGCCCACATGGGGAGCCTCTGCCGTTTCCAAAAAGGAGCCTGCAATTCCGGAGCCTGCATCTCCACTGGGATCTGTGCCTGTGTCTGCCCCCTGGGTCTTTCTTTGAGGTTTTTCATCCTCCTGTGATGATTGGTGGGGGGATGGAGATAAGTGTCCTGTCCCCGCCCCCAGAAGAGCAATCTCTCTACAAAACTCTTTCAGAAGCAGCCTGGGCGGATCTGACTGCTGAGGCATTGATGCCCAGGAGCTGTCTGTGCAGGCAGGTGGGTGGAGGAAGCTGGCGGCCCCTAAGACCCCAGCCCTGGTGATGCCCACTGTGGGGGCCTTAGGCAGGCCTGGGCTTACAGTCCGTCTCAGCTCAACTTGGACACATGCCGTCTTTTCTTCATCCTCCTCTTCTTGAAAGGCTTGTTTATTCAGCTGGAAAATAGACGTTTTTCAGCAGATTTTCTCTATTCAGAAATAGACTAAAGCTTCTGCTGGAGTCTGGCATTATCCCAGAGAATGGAGACCCACGGGCCTTCAGCAGTGCACCGCCCTCAGGGAAGTCATCCAGTTTGGGCATCCTGACTCGGTTCTCCCACAGTGTCCTTCTCATCTGCTGTAGCCGAGGTCAGGGAGAAGGCCCTGGGTGGTGTCTGGGCTGAGAGGGTCAATTGTGCCACCTGCTTCAGACGCCCCATGGGCTGGCGACTCTTCTGGTCTTTAGTGCTGACACCCACAGGCCTGGCTCACAGTGGGTGCTGGGTCAGGGCTGGTGGAGAACAATAGTGCTGAGCCAGGACCCGCCCATGTGTTAGAGAAAGGCAGCAGCTTGGAAACCTGTAGGTGGGTCTTCCATCCACTAAGTCACCAAGAACTAGGAGCCTGCAGCCAGTTGAGAGGATTCTTGAGGTGCTCTGCCCCCAGCTGGGGCCCTGAGCCCCCACGAGCCTTCCGCCTGGGGCATCTGATGACTCACGTGCACCACAGCACAGCAGCCCAGTGGGCTGGGAGTTGGGAGCTGGAAGATGAAAGCCACCCACTCTTATCTGCCTCCGAGGAGTCGCAATCAAGAGGGAGGATGCCCCCATAAGGTAAATAACCACAGGACGGGGCATGTGGGGCAAAAGGCAACTGCAAAGTGGAGACAAATCCCAGCGGGAGGCCTCTGGGGGGACCCTGAGCAGAGACGGAGCAGGATAGCGCTCCTCGAGGAGGACAGCTGAGGCCAGAGGGGACAGCATTCGGGACGAGGGCCAGACGTCTGGGGTGGCCAGGGCTGGGCCGGGGCAGGGTGGAAGTGAGTGGCCATGGGTGGGGACTGGGTCGCATCCCAGAGGGTCTCAAGCCCTCCGCAGGGATGGAGGCTTCTTCCTGGGAGCAGATCCCGACTCCTGGCCTTGGCTTCGTGTTCTGGGAATGAAGGCATCAGAACCCAAGACCAAGGAACCCTGGGCCCCGGCGGGCTGCTCAGCTGTGCCTGAGGGGGTGGGGTCTCGGGGACAGATGGGGCTGCCGCTTCTGCTGGGCGCTGAGGGCCAGCCTCCTGCAGCGAGGCAGTGGCCTTCTGCAACCTGTCCACATTGGGGGGCTGAGCCAGGGCCAGGTGTGCTGTGTACCATCTCACCTTTGCCCCATTTTTCCTAAGAAATGCAGATTCTGTGACCTTCAGAGGCAGCTGGAGAAAGAAAAGATGGAGGAGATCACGGCCCAGCAATTCCAGCCTGGGGCGGGCGCGGGCTCAATGATATCCTTCAGGTCCTAATCCCCGAGTGTGGCTGTGTGTGACCCGAGTCCCTTCTGCCTGCCAGGAGTGAGGCCACCTGAGGTCGCAGAAAGGACTGGGGAGGAGACAGGCGCAGGGTGATCCGGATCCCATATTTAATTGATGGTAAGGAGGCCTCCTCACTTCTCCCTGAGCCTGACAAACATGGCTAACCTCCTTTGGAGAAAGTTCTGTGAATAATGTGTCTGCCGCAGGCTGGCGAAGTACAGTGTTCTCCAGAAATCCAGTGGTCTGCACCATCAGTGTCCTGGGCTCGCTGCCTCTGGAGACTCCCACGCCCCCAGCCAAAGCCGGAACCCTCCCCTGAAGCCTCTGCCATGGCCTGTCCTGCCTTGGGGAGGTGGAGACCCTCGGCGTGCTGGTGTCCCACCTCACTGTGCCTCTCAGCTTCTTTGTTTCTGCCCAAAATACAGGCTCCTGAGTAGCCTCCTGTGGGTGTCCTGGGACTGTCACCTGCCCTCTTTCAGCCAGGTGGGCTCAAACGTCAGGGGCACCATCTCTGGTCCAGATTGGGGTCTCTCTCGGTTCATTTATCCAGGATCTTTTGGCAAAAAGAGAAAGACCAAGGATTATCCCCTTTCAGGAGAGCTCAGCCTGCTTTTTCGGGCTCTTCAAGGCCCATCCATTCATGCACGGAGAAATAACACGAATGCTGGTGTGGAAATGATGCCCGGATACCTTTCCAAAGGCTCCATAGCCCACTCTTCCAGTATCCATCCTGGTCATGCAGGCGCTGACCCACATGTTTCTGGATTAGGAAGGAAAGCAAAGGCCAGGAGGCGGAGGCTGACCCCTTTATCTTCTGATAAACCCGAGAGCAGAACAGCCTCAACAAGGACGATTACAGCAGGGAAATGGCATTCCTGGCCAGTGGACAAGCACCTCCTTTAACCTACAGCTCAGAGCCTCACTTTGACTTGCCTCCTGTGGGGTGCTGGTCAGTAGGGGCTGAATTCTGGGGTGCTAGGCATCCCTCCACCATGCAGGCCCCACAAAAGCAGCCGAGGAGGGAGAGTGCTAGGAAGCAGACAGCCACACAGACCACTGGGCTCCATCAGGCCTCTCACTGCAGGAAGCACAGGCCAGCAAGGCCAGAGTTAATTTCTCAGAATAATTGCTAATAATACAAATCAACCTTTCTGGGCACTGAGTACACACCAGGCCCTGTGCTAAGCGCTTCTAACCTAAGCGTCACCTCATTGCCTGCTAATACCCTCTCTAGGAAATAGGGACTACTATAAGTCCTGCCCACAGACATGAAAACCACAGCTGTGGGTTGACCCTCTCTGCGTCTGTATCTAATACTGCACCTGTTTTCTATGAAATCAGGACAATATGATTCATAGGGCAAAATGATTATTTGTTACACATGGAGAAAAACAAAAGCTCAAAGTATGTTTTCTGAAGGAGAAACAAAATCCAGACATTTTCCAAGCTTCAAGTGTGAATATACTTACATGGATGAAAGATTTAAAGAATAACAATAAAAAACCCTTAATGGTAAAAATTTGTTGACTCAGCATGTTTCAGATGTAGCCACGGTGAGCTGGCCTCTTTGGAGACAGCTTTGCTTGTTAAAGAGAAAAGGATGCAAAGGGCTTGCTTTTTATCTCAGTTGGTGAAGGTTGGAGCTGAATGTTTTGAACAAAAGTAATTGCCTATGTCTAAATGTAAAATCACTGAAACACTACTAAAAGACTGGCAAAGAAGTCCAGTGTTAAGAGAGAAAAAGTGGGAGGGGAAACAGGCAGAGAAATAAGGATGAGGGGCTTGGTGGTGTCCCTGGTCTGGCTATCACTGCAGGGACCTGAATGGGTCCACAGTGTCCTCCAGGGGTCTGGGCAGGGGACCAGCCATGCTCCGGACAAGCCCGAGCTGACCCACTGGAAGTGGGCGTTGTTCTATATCTTCCTTCACTGAAGACAGACTGGGGAGAGGTCAGGTGCCAGCCAGGTGGAAAGGAGGAAGGGATAAATACTGCTTTGTGCTGGCTGGCAAGCGTGCAGGGGGCCTCTCGCCAGACCCTCCCCTGACAGTAGCCCAGACAGGCAGTGCCCCTTTGCCTTGGAACACAGATGGATGAGGACAGGGAGGTCAGAGATGGTGAAGCATTTGCCCACCGCACCTGGCTGGCCAACCAGAGAGGCGCTGGGGGTTTGAGGGAGGAAGTGCTGTGTTCTTTCTTCTGCAGCCTGGGGCCCACCTGGGCCGTGCAGAGTCAGGCCACATAGCCACCCACCATGCCTGCATGCTTGGCCTGCCAGGGATGGGTTGTTTTGGGGTTTCTGGAGATACATGGGAGACTCTCGGGGTGCTGGAAAGTGAATTCTGAGCACACCCTGGGAGATTGTACTTCTGGAAGTACCTGGCTCTGGCTGCCAAAGAAAGGCAGCCATGGACAAAAATATTTGTCTCCCTCCCCATATAAACATGCCCCCTGCACCCTATACACACAAGCCAGGTGTGTTCAGAGGCATCTGAGGTCCCTGGGGAACAGACAGTGCCCTGGGAAAGGGGGTGACCCAGGAGGCTGCTGGGAGCTGGGGAGGGGCTGCTTCCCTGGGTCCCCTGGAGCAGGTCCTGGTGGCAAAGTCCAGCCCGACATGTAGGGCTCTGTGGGCAGTGCTGCCCTCAGACCCGAATCCAGTGCAGGCAGGGAGGCCCCAGGGTTTGGGGAGTTCCTGGGGGGATGAAGAATGGCACTGGGCTCCCTCCACATGAGGCTGCATGGAGAAGCTGCAGGGTCTGGGAGGAGCTCAGGATGGGGGCACAGGGTCCGGCTCTGACGCCCAGGCCTACTCCTGACTGTGTGGATGACTGCGGAGGTGATGTCTGCAGTTTACTCGTCTGTAAAGTGGGGCAATAAAATCTATCGCTATTTCCATACTCAAATGACCACGTCCTGACCTCACCTCTCCAGTGGGAGGCTTGGAATCTGCAGATGGGGTTTCCTTGAGTGAAGAAGAAGCTCCAGCAAAGCTAAGACAGAGAAGCTGAAGCCGTGGGTCCTCACTGGGGAGTTACAGCACTGACCCCATTCCCTGATGCTGGCAGAGTAACAGCAAGTGGCAATTTGTCATAAAAGAATTTAAAAAATCCATTATGTCTAAGAGTTAACAATGCTTCATAATTCATTTCAGTGCTTTTTTCTGTTCTTTTTTTTTTTTTTTTTTTTTTTGAGACAGGATCTCATTCTGTCACCCAGGCTGGAGTGCAGTGGCATGATCATGGCTCATTGCAGCCTCAAACTCCTGGGCTCAAGCCATCCTCCCACCTCAGCCTCCTGAGTAGCTGGAACTACAGTTATGCACCATCATGCTTGCCTAATTTCATTTATATTTTTTGTAGAGATGGGTTCTTGCTATATTGCCCAGGCTGATCCCAAACTCCTGGCCTCGGGTGATCCTCCTGTCTTGGCCTCCCAAAGTGCTGGAAATATAGGTGTGAGCCACTGCTCAATGCTTTCTTATATAAACACTGCAGAAGCCCCAAGTGCACACCTGTGGATTATACACCAAACTTTATTTTATCAAATAATTTTTTAAAAAGCAAAAGAAATTTTAAAGCCGCAGGAAGTCCCCTGATGGGCTTCCTCCTGGGGCTCCCTGCCTGGCTTGGACTGGGCAGGCCCAGATGCTGAGGGGTGGGACCAGCACAGGCACAGGGTCTGCCCGAGGACGCAACAGCACTCCACCCAGGCCAAGGACCGGTAAGAACGCTGGCGAGTCAGCAAGTCTGTTAAGGGATAATTTCAATTTCCTGTGTGCCAAACTCTAATCCTCTAATTTGCGTAATTCCAATTACGCATAGTGTCCTCTTGAAAATGAATAAAAAGTAAAGAGCTTATCCTGTGAGAATTAAGTCTATCTGGATTCCAATAAAGATGACAGACCCACAGATAGCTGGAGACACAAGGAACCTTCTCGAAAGCACGCTTTCTCAGACCCTAAAGCCATACTTGAATTCATTTAATCAACAACCAACAAGCCCAATGGCTAATTACCCATTTAAAGAAGTGAACCTTACAATAATAGCTGGGGCCAAATAAGACAGAATGGACTATATATAGCTAGACTTTTACTGTATACATTTCCTCCCTATAGAGAAAAATTATCCTTCTTGTCTTGAAAGAACAAAGCAAGGAAGCCCTTGAGAGCCTTAAAGTGATAACTCTTCGTTCCTGAATGGGGGTCACATAAAACCAAAGATGAAAGACAAAGGTTTCCTTACCTAATCTCAAATTTGAGAACAATGTACAATGTCTCACAATTCTTCATGAGTTTCAAAGATTACCAATAATTAATTTTTCCCATCCTTGTAGTAGCTGATTGTCATTTCAAATAATATATACCACTAATACCACCAATACCAAGATACCGGTTGAATCCTTTACTCATTAAAAATTGCCACCTAAGCAGTGACAAGATAATTGTGTTTGGGATAGTCTTTGGATCTTACCAAGACCAAAATATTATTACAGAGTAGACTATTTATGATCACGAAAGCGTGCCCTGAAGACAGCAAGGTTAACCTCCACAGACAAAAGTAAACTACAATTCACAGACACCAAGGACACTGCCCTCAATACTTTTGCAGTCTTGTTACTTTTTCCTTTAGAAACTGCCGTGGCTCTAATGGAAAGCACCATCGATTTATGTAGAGCAGTTCCCCGCTTATCTGTGCGGGATACGGTCCAAGAGCCCCTGAAGCCACAGATATACTATACTATGCTTTTTCCTATACATATGTACCTACGTAAAGTTTATTTTCCAAATTGGGCACTGTAAGAGATTAACAACAACAATAATAAAATAGAACAATTCTAACAATATGCTGTCATGGAAGTCATGTAAACGTGCTCTCTCTCTTCTCTCTCAAAGTATCTTGTACTCTACTCACCTATTTTAGACCAGTTACTATGCCGTTTTCTATACGTACTATGTATATATACTATGCTTTTTCCTATACGTACTATGTATATATACTATCTTTTTTCCTATACATACTATGTATATATACTATCCTTTTTCCTATACATACTATGTATATATACTATCCTTTTTCCTATATAATGTATATATACTATGCTTTTTCCTATACATGTATACCTACATAAAGTTTATTTTATAAATCAGGCACAGTAAGAGATTAACAACAATAATAAAATAGAACAATTCTAACAATATACTGTCATGGAAGTCACGTGAATGTGGTCTCTCTCTTCTCTCTCAAACTATCTTGTTCACTCTACTCATGTATTTTGGGCCACAGTTGACCGTGGGTAACTGAAACTGTGGAAGTGGAACCACGGACGGGGGCCACTGTAGCAAATGCAGATGGCGCTCTCTACTCCCTGGGACAGGTGGTCAGAGTCATTTTCATTGTCTTCATGATTGTCTTCACATTAATGAAGATGTTCAGCTGCCACAGCCTGTCAAAATTACTACAATTCCAAGGGTGACTTTGGAGCAGCGATGGCGGTTTCTTTCCAATCGACCGTCATCTCCTGGCCCTTGTTCACAGGACTCCGCTCTGGCATCACACCTGCCTCCAGCGCCCCTCCCAGGCCCCTGTGCCCGCCTGGGAAGCCCTGCTAGCTGTCTCCGCTGGCCATGATGGCTGGCCATCCACTGCGCTGTGTGCCTCCCTGTCTGCTTTTCTCTCTGAACTTGAACATGAGCTCCTGTGAGTCAGGGCCCTCTCATGGTCTTGCACTTTCTGGAGGGGCCTCTGGAGGTGCAGGGCAGAGTCCAGAGCAGCAGCACCAGTGAAACTGTGGGAGGGTGACCAGGAGGAGCACAGGGAGGTGTGTGCCTCCCTCTCACTGGGGGAGTCAGCACGGGGCAGGCCAGGCCCTGGGCCGTCGATTCCAAAGCTGCCAGGCAACTCCTGTTCTGGACCCGAGCTTCACAAAACGCCTGGACAATGCCCAGTGGGGCCTTGGGATTCCCCCTTCAGGGACAGGAAGGTTGTGAGAAGCACAGCTCCCACTTTCACAAGGCCTGGGGGCAGCCCTGGCCCTGCCTTGTTTCCTCACTGGGCATTGTCTCAGGTCCTGTCTGAGTGGTTCTCAGGGAGCGGGGTGCCAGGTGCACCTGGGGACTCAGTGCTGCCGACTCAGGAGGGGCCTGGGTGGTGCTGTGAGATTCTCCAGGGCTTCCGAACATGGTAAAGACACTTTCAATGTGATGATCAGGTCAAGACCACCTCTTCTACCTTGTGACTTTCATTTGACTTTATCTGGGCTGTGTCAGAAAATCAATTTGTCACGTCCTTCAAACAGGATCCATGAATAAACCAATACTTCCATTACCGCGTCCAGGGGAGACGCAGTGATGGGACAATAAACTATTGATGATCAATAATTGAATGCATACTCTAGGATCAGTCCTGAAAATTGCGGCCAACTACTGGAAATCAAAGCCTCGAACAGGAATGAAGACTCGCCATCAGAGTCAAAGAAGCTGACCCTCCAGCCAAAAGCAGCCTCACGGGAAGCACGTGGTAAGAGATACAGCAAGAAACTTAGAACTGCAAGATTATTTTTTCTGTGCCTTTTGGCCTGTCTTCCCTCCTTCATAGCAGGCACCTGTGGTCCCGTGACCTGCTGTGGTGAGACTCCGGGGCACAGTCTCACAGCAGGCGCTGTCTCTGACTGACTGGTGAGAAGAACAGGAGGTGGGAAATTTCATGACCACTCATTGGCTTGGGGGCATTCTATGCTTTGGAGGCCAAGGACAGTAGTTTCACCTTCTCACCAGGGCTCTGATTGTGCTAATGCTGGGTACAGACTGCATTTTCTGAGAGCTCATGTTCTGGGGAGCATGGCGGTGCCCCGAGGGCCTGGATGCTGAAGGCAACCTGAGGCTACACAGTTGTACTCAGAGTCCATTAAATCCCACCTGGCTCATTTCAGCGAATATCCCTGAACACGGGGAGGGGGGCGGTTTGCTCAGTGCTAAGGAGGCTCGCAGGAGGTCGGGGAGCACACCCCTGCCCCCAGGAGGTCACAGTCCCTTCAGAGGCCTGTGTGGCACCTGGAGAATGAATGCCCTCTGCCACTTCAGATGCAGGGTCTAGCCTGATGTGCAAAATTATCTCTTATTGAGTTCACCACCATCCCACCTGAAAAAAAGACACTCGGCCGGGCGCGGTGGCTCGCGTCTGTAGTCCCAGCACTTTGGGAGGCCAAGGCAGGTGGATCACGAGGTCAGGAGATCGAGACCATCCTGGCTAACACGGCGAAACTCCATCTCTGCTAAAAATACAAAAAAATTAGCCGGGTGTGGGGGCGGGCACCTGTAGTCCCAGCTACTCGGGAGGCTGAGGCAGAATGGCGTGAACCTGGGAGGCGGAGCTTGCAGTGAGCTGAGATTGCGCCACTGCACTCCAGCCTGGGCGACAGAGTGAGACTCCATCTCAAGAAAAAAAAAAAGAAAAAAAAAAGACACTGTACCCACAGGGCTGAGCTATGGCTGAACCACCCCTATCAAATCACACCGCTTCCTCTAAATTCCATCACCCACAATGGGGCCCCACGCTGGAAACCCACTGCCCGCTCAGGATGCAGCAGGATGGCAGTACTGTGAGCTCATCTGGGTTAGAACTTGTCTGAGGTGGGCTCTGGATTATCCCACCACTGGGACACCAGGAGGGCAGTGAGCAGAAGAGTAAGGACCAGCATTTCCCAGCAGGGCTGCCCAGAGAAACCAGAAGCTACCGGCCATTTCCTTAATGTCAAAACCGAGCTGTTTTTCTTTTCTTTTTAAAAAATATAAACCAAGAAGAGAATACGTCCAGGGTTATCTAGTTACTCTTGTACTAAAACCCAAATACTGAGCCACAGTAAGACTCAGCAGTTGTTTGTTTTTTTGTTGAAATATCCTTAAACAGGTTTCTGTTATTGGAAACCAAATAACAGCCATTCAGTGAAAAACTGATTATATTTGTAACCTGATCATATACCTGAACTCAGCGTCATAATATTAATCAGCAAATCAAAGTCAAGTAAAAAATGGATTTGTGTTAGTGCAGATGTACCACTTGAGACAGAAACAAAGTTAGAGCTGTTCAAATGGACAATGTGTATCTCATTTACATCCATATGTACAACATTGGGCTGCTTAAATTCTGATACTTTAATAAGAAGGTCTGCTGTGGAAAAGTGTGGGCTTATTAATTATTCTTGCTTTGAGCACAATTACTCTGCCTCCGATCTGACAATCACGCCACAGCCCTGTGTCCAGCGTGCATGTGCACGCACACACACACACACACACGTGCGCGCGTGCACACACACACACACACACACACAGCCTCCACCCTCTGGCAAAGCCTTTGAGGAGTCCAAGGAACACATGTCGACCAACCTGAGGGACTCTGGGCATTTCTCTGAGAACTTAATAACAATCACTGTACCGGGACCATTGCTCTGGGCTTGGGCAAAGCCAGGCCGTCCACCCCAACCATCCTCACTGCCCAGATGAGAGGGGCAGGGGTCCTCTGGGAGAGGCACCGTGGGTGCTGTGGGCCCAACACCTCTCGCAGGACCCTGTCTGGCACCCCCTCCCATCCCACTCACAGCCTGGCTTCAGGCTGAGCTCCCCGCCCAACAGAGGCCTGGGGAGAACCTTAATGCACATGGTGGATGCTCAGGGGGCAGCTGATGAACACGTGCTTAATGAATGAATGAATGAATGAATGGGCTGACATAGGACACACCACCAGAGAGCCCCGGAATGGCAAACCCGTGTTCAGGGTTCCCATTCCCTTTGTGCCAGCTCTGGCTACTCAAGGCAGATCCCACGAAGGACCCTGGACTCTGAGTATTTTAGAGAAACAAGAAAAGCCTAGAGCCATGTCCGGTCCTGACTGCTCCTTTCCCAGAGTTCTAGGCCTCCTGGTGGCTGAGGCCACGCTGGGATGAGAGGAGGGCAGTGACCCCGCAAAAACAGCATCGCGTGGAGATCTTCTGAGTGCCGGGCGTCAGCCTACACGATCCACCCGCGTTTTCTTGTCTTGTCCTCACAACCTTATGAGGCGGGAACTGCCATCTTCACTCCCCCAGCTGGGGAAACTGAGGCTCAGAAAGGCCAAGCAATGGGCCCAAGTCATGCAGTGAGCAAGGGGCAGGGCTGGGATTGGAAGTCGGGCCTCTCAGCTTCCCAAGTCCTGATGGAACCGCTGCACGATCCTGTCTGGGGCTGGGAGGGGAGAGGGGGCCCAGGGACCAGGGGATGCCCCAATGCCTGGGGTAAAATAATACACCCTTAGCTTATGACCTATTAGAGTCCTTGATTTCAATGTGGATGCACCCTCGGCTCCTGACCCACTGGAGTCCTTGATTTCAATGTGGTGTTTCCCTGGTGCAGTGTGCACATTAGTCATTTCTGTAGAAATGGGCTGAAACACTGTGTATCTGTGTGTCTATCTGTATGTGCTGTGTGAGTGTGTGTGTGTGTGTGAGAGAGAGAGAGACAGAGATGCAGAGAGTGTGAGAGATGGGGACTGGAGTGGCTTGGAGGGTTGGAGAGCCCAGGGCTCAGTACTCCCCACTAGGCTGAGAAGCCCCCATTTTCTGGCTGTCTTGGTTTTCAACTCTTGAGGTTTCCTGAGGGTGCTGATCTGGGAGAACTGGCCGGGAGCAGCTTTAGGCTTCAGCAGAGGAGAGTGAGGGTCCCTGGTCGCAGAGGAGATGGAGGCTGTGGGGAGGCGGCCTCTCCTCCCTCCGAGTTTCTCTCAGCCCCCCTCCTCTGGGAACAGCTGTTGGCGAGGGCCTCGGCCAACACCGCCTCCTGCTCTAGGAATAGCAGGAAACATCTGCATCGTCAAAGCCTCACGAATATAGATTTTGGCTGGGTCAGTAAGACCTATTTTGATTGGACCACAAGACAGGAAATTTAAGCGTCAGGATGACACAGATCTGCGAGATGATGGTAACGTGTGTGAGATGCAGTTGGAACTGCTGTGCAGATGGGTCCATCCAGCCCCTGGGGGTCTGGTGCCTGTGATGAGCACTGCTAGGAGCAGCATCCAGCAGCCGGGAGGGAGCCTCTGGCCCAGCTGGAGTCAAGAAGGAATGTGCCGTGCGATTTAGAGGTGAGGTTTCAGAGGATGCCGAGTTTCAGAAGTCACTCTCATGCCCCCCGCCCCAAAGCTCCTACCTCCCACGCCCCCAGCCCCAAAGCTCCTACCACCTCCGGAACAGGCACCCCTCTCAGTTGCTCTGGGAATTTCCACTCTCAGCCCGGGCTGCTGGGCTCTGCAGGGCAGGCACTGGATCTGTTGTGGGCGTGAGAAGCCCAGCGAGTTTGTGCCAGACCCTCCTGTGTCACAGCCCCTGTGGGCTCCTGCCGGGTACTTTATCCCTCACCTGTCCCTGTGTGTGATGCGAAGCATGCAGGATGCCCGAGTGGAGTCCGAGTGGAGCTCCGAGAAGGTCGTTTTGTGGAAGGACGCCCAGTGGATGTCTGAGCCAGGCTGGGGGAGGAGGCCTACCCACCTCCTGTACCACAGCCTCCAGCCTGACCCCTCTAACTGCCCCCTGCAGCTTTCAGAGTGAAAGCCTCTGCGCCTCCAAAAGCCTCGGTGCACAGAGAATTTTTAGGGCAGTGAAGCCCCTTGGATACTACATTGGCGGGTCCTGGTCACCGGAAATCTGTCCAAACCCACAGAATGTGGCCACCGAGGCTGAGAGTGGCATAGAGTATGGACTCTGGGTGACTGCGTTGTCCCAGAGTAGGTCATCCAATTACCAAATGTCCCATTCCATTTCAGGATGTTGTCGGTGGGGAAGGCTGTGCCTGTGTGGGGAGGGCATATGGAAATTCTGTACCTTCCACTCCATTTTGCTGTGATCCTGAAACTCCTCTAAAAAATGTCTGTGAGAAAGAAAAAAAATTCTCACCCTGTCCTACTGCCCTTGGAGTTGAACCCAGACTCCTCTTTGAGGCCAGCTCGGGCAGCAGCCCTCACAATGTGCACACTGGCCCATCCAGCAAGCGTGCCAGGCCTCTTACCTCCAATTTCTATAGCTCTCAGCTCTTCTTAATGTTCTTAATGCCCGCCCCACTTGCCCCGCCAAACTCTTTTGATCCATTCCCCTCTGAGCCATGCCAACCTCTCCAGGGACCAGCACCTCTCAGCCACCTGGGTGCTGTTCCCAGGCCACCGAACTGCCCTCTTTTCACTGCCATCAGCCTGGCCCACGCTGCTCACTGGATGCTGGGCTGTCTCCTCCCAGCATTCTGACCCCTCAGTTCTGCAGTCTGACTCGCATACAGCAGGTGCTCAATGCGTGTGCATGACGAGGTCTGCCTTACACTTTCCAAGATGTGCCTCATCTTCCACCCACATTTCCTAAACTCTTCTAAGGTAAAGGAGGAGTGGGAGGGACCTCACAGGACCCCTGAGTATTTGGTCTGGGGCAGAGGGAGCCAAGGCCAGGGCGGCACCGGCTCCACAGCGGCCACAGGTCTCCCCGGCAGGAAGGCAGGAAGCTGCTGTGCCTCAGCCACGTTGGGCTAAACAAGGTGAGTCTGTTCCTCTCACCTGTGTGAAAAGGCAAGTCATACCAACAAATCCAAAACAGTAGCATGACTGGGGCCACTGGGTGGGCAGTGATTTGGTGGGATGAGACCTTTCTGGCTGTCCCTGTGGTCCCCTCTGAGCTGTGCCAACCTCCCAGGGACCGACACATCTCGGCCACCTGGGTGCTGTTCCCAGGCCACTGAACTGCCCTCTGCTCACCGCCGTCAGCCTGGCCCACGCTGTTCCCTGGACCCTGAGCTGTCTCCTCACCAGCCTGGGCAACATAGCAAGACTCCATCTCTAAAAAAGTAAAAAAAAAAAAAAAATTGGCCAGGCATAGTGGCACTGGTCTAAAAAAATAGACATGCTTTTAGAGTAGTTTTAGGTTCTCACCACATGGATGGCTGGTGGTGAAGGATGTTTCTCCACCTGGGGGCTGGGGGTGCCTGGTTAACATAAGAGTACAAATTTACTGTAACAGAAGCTGCAAATTGGGTCCCGCTGACTAAATGTGACCTGTATTACTGGGTTTGACCTGTTCTGTGTTTTGAAAGTTTTACATTTTTTGAAAAGCTGTAATTACATAGAGTTAAGTGCATGGGCCTTAAGCCTACGGTATGATGAGTTTGGGCAAATGTCTGCTGCAGACCCCCATATGGTCCATGCCCTGGTCCCCTGGAGGAACATCTGTCACTATCCTAGACACCTCCTTCTTGTCCCTTTTCAGTCTACCAAAAAGTCCCCTCCTGCAACCCCAGGAAGCCCACACCATTCTGATCTCCACCTCCAGAGAAGATGCCCTTGCCTGCCCTTGAGCTTCCTCTAAGTGGAAACACGCAGCTCGTGTCCTAAAGCTTCTCTAGTGCCACAGGCTTCAAGGCCCATCCGCTTTCTCATGGGCACCGCAGCCCATTCCTTTGGACTGCAGAACAGCATACAGTCATGTGATTGTGCTGCCATCTGCTCTCCAGCTCTCCCCTTTTATTTATTAGTTTTAGAGACAGGGTCTTGCTCTGTCCCCCAGGTTGCAGTGCAGTTGCAAGATCATAGCTCACTGTAACCTCGAATTCCAGGGCCCAAGTGAGTAGCTGGGACTACAGGCATGTGGCACCATACCTGGCCAATTTTTAATTATAAGATGAGCTCAGCTGGACGTGGTAGCTCACGTAATCCCAGCACTTTGGGAGGCTGAGGCGGGTGGATCACGAAGTCAGGAGATCAAGACCATCCTGGCTAACACGGTGAAACCCCATCTCTACTAAAAATACAAAAAATTAGCTAGGTGTGGTGGCGGGTGCCTGTAGTCCCAGCTACTCAGGAGGCTGAGGCAGGAGAATGGTGTGAACCCAGGAGGCGGAGCTTGCAGTGAGCCGAGATCACGCCACTGCACTTCAGCCTGGGCGACAGAGCGAGACTCCATCTCAAAAAAAAAAAAGAGGTCTTCCTATGTTGTCCAGGCTGGTCTTCAACTCCTGAGCTTAAGCGATTCTTCTGCCTTGACCTCCCAAAGTGCTGGGATTATAGGCGTGAGCCACGAGGCCCGGCCCCATTCTCCTCTTGATACACATTTGAGTTGTTTCAGTTAGTTTGCTCTTATAAACAAAGCTGCTATGAATGCTTGGGTACAGGTCTTTGCTATGAATGCTTGGGTACAGGTCTTTTTGTGGACACATTTCTTCATGTATTTGGGGTCAACAACCGTAAGTGGAATTTCTAGGTTGGAAGAGGAAGTATATATGTTTACAAAGGTTTTAAATTAGTTTGAAATATTTAGAATCAGAGGAGTCCACATGAAAGTCTGGAGATCTGTCTTCTCTCGGGAAGACCGGGTGTGGCATGCACTCTTGTGTGACCCTCTGGGCTGGTCCCTGAGCTTGCAGAGTGTCAGCATGGCCCCCACCCCATCCCATTCCCAGCCATGTCATCTCCACTGTCTCCTTCCTACCAGCCTGGGGCTGCAGTTCCACAAATGGACGCCCAGCCACAGGGTTTGGGTTTATAGTGGCTCGTCAAATGCAGAGGGCTCCGCTGACCACCCCCAGTGCCCTCACTGGGAGCGCCAACAAGCCAAGGTGAAGCTGGGGTTGAGACGGGGGATGGGGGATTGCTGATTTTTTTTCTTCCTGACTCAAAGCAACAACTTTTAGTAAATTCCAAGTGAAATGCTTCCTTTTCCAGGCCCCCACTATTCAAAGTTGTGGGAGAATTTTTAATTTGGTTCAGTCTTCCTTAATATGCTGCAGATACACAGATTTTAATCTTCTTTTATTAAAAATAAATCCGCCCTCCTCGCATGGGTCTCTTGTGTAAATATCTAATTAGGGCAAAAGCTTGGCCCAGCCCAACAGGGGTGTGTCAATGTCCCCCTCGATACACGCCGTTTGAAGGAAGAGACTTCAAAGAATTGCCCCCATCTTCTGAAGAATGTTAATTGGGCCAAACAATGTGCATGCATTATTTATAACTGCTCCTCCGGTTGTTTGGGAGAACATTTGACCCCAAATTGCAACTAAGGAGAGAACGCTCCATATTTTATAACTCAGAGAAGCTGCTTCACAACCTCCCTGGACACCCCAGCTGTGAGGGGACGCACCCTCTGCCAGTGCCTGGAGGGGACCTGTGGAGCTGGGGTCCCTGCCAAAGCCCTGGTCCTCATCAGACTTGTTAGGGTGGTGCATCTCCTGCTTTGCCAGCCAGTCTGGGACGGAGGATCAGAATCCTCATCTAGAACAGAGATGACCACGACCCAGAGAGGACAGGCAATTTGGCCTGAGGCACACTTCAAGAGAATGGCAGAGGTAGGGGCACATTGGGTCTTGTCTAATTCCGTGGTAGCCTCCTGCACGCACACATGCATGCATTCCACTACTTACTGGCACCTACTTGCATTCAAAGGTGAACACAACAAACACAGCCCTGCCTTCGGGAAACTCCCTCTACACACTGTCTTAGTCAGCCCAGCTGCCATAACAAAATATCTTAGACTGGGTAAACAACAGAAGCTCCTCACAGTTCTGAAAGCTGAGAAGTCCAGGATGAAGGTGCCAGCGGATGTGGTGTCTGGGGAGGGCCCTCTGCCTGTTCAAGACCTTTTTGCTGTGTCCTCAACAAATAGGTCCCCTGGAGCCTATTTTGTAAGGGCACTAATCCCATTCAAGAGGGCTCCACCTTCATGACCTAATCACCTCCCAAGGCCCCGCCTCCTCAACCCAGCACATTGGTGATCAGATTTCAGCATATAAATCTGGGGGGGGACACAGACATTCAGATCATAGCACATCCCTCCTCTGTCTACCATGTGACCGTTTAAAGGATTGCTTTTCTCAGCAGGTGCTGCCCCTTAAAGCTGCTGTCCATCAAACTCCTTTCTACTAGCAGCCCCCAGTGGCGCTCCAAGATAGGATTCTCCCTCCATTTCTAGATTATCCCAACAGGTTTCCTAACAGATCCCCCCAGCTATTTGTTTTGACCGCACACATTGAGAGCTGCAGGGCAACTTTATGTTTCCTCTACTCACGACTTCGGAGAACACTCTCTTTGCCACCCTCGACCCAGCTAACCGATGAGTTTCCATTTGGTAAGGCTACACACTTGAAGTAATACAGTTCCAGGGTTACGTTTTTCTTTACTGACACTCTGTTGGTAAACTACAGTCAACAGCATGTAATTATAGAAAATTATAATGCAGCACAGCAGTAACCCAAAAAGCTACCCTTTGGGAGTATTTTATTAAATAGACTCTTCTCTTTAATAGAAAATTCATGCCAATTTCATAACATGGCTTGCTCTCACAGTGGGAAGCACTACGGCGCTCATGAATTTTTAAAGAAATGCTGATTTTACTGACCAAGAGCCAGTAATAGAAATGTGTTTATTTGTTTAACAAATATTTACTGACTGTCTTCTGGATACAGAGCAGGGAAGGAGGCCTTGTTTAATTAACCAGATTCGACAACCTTGCTGCCTTCCAGGGATTTCTAGTCTAACTGGGAGACCACACTCCCCTGAAAAAGACTTCAGTGGGTTCAAGGTAGGGTTGTGGGGAGTGGCTGGTGCCAACCTTTTGAAAAATTACTGGAATCCTTGTATTTGACATAGGTGTCCTAGGTGCTGAATATGCCACCAGAGCTAGCCCCCACCTCTGCTCTTGTGAAGCTCCCAAGGACAGGAAATGATGCCTCGTCCATGCCTAGCAAGTAGCAGGTGCACCTTAATGACTCCTGAGCTGAGCAGAAACCCAGGCGTTCAACAGCACAGCTGTTAGGACAAAGCTGATGGCATGAGCCTCTCTCCCAAGGCTGGGTGGGTGCCTCGCTGCCATGGTGAGGAGCTTCATCTGGGGCTTCTCAGCAAAGCAAGGGTAGCAGGTGACACTGGATATTTACTAGCTCAGGCTCATGGGGAGGATGGGCCAGACCTCACAGGTGCAGGGCAAGGAGAAGTTTGGTTTATTGGCCAGGAAGTTGCTGGACTCTTGAGTGACCACAAGGTCAGATCTATCCTGGAGCATTTTATTGCCCTAAAATCACCCTTGAGTTGCAAAGGTGAGTTGCATTGGGAGGCTCCAGGAGGCGGCCAGCACTCTGAAAAGAGCCCCAACACAGGAGACAGGTGGACCTGGATTCACACCTGGGCTCACAATCTTGTCACTCTGAGCCAGGAGACAGGTGGACCTGGGTTCACACCCGGGCTCACAATCTTGTCACTCTGAGCCAGGAGACAGGTGGACCTGGGTTCACACCCAGGCTCACAATCTTGTCACTCTGAGCCAGGAGACAGGTGGACCTGGGTTCACACCTGGGCTGTCTATCTTGTCACCCTGGGCATGTCATCTGTCTCTTAGAGGTTTTTCCCTTCTCTGATCTTGGGACAGTTTCCGCCCTTAGGATGGGTGAGGACACAGGTGGACTCTCTGGCCCAGGTTCTGCTCTGAGCTGGTGGGAGGGGGACAGTGACAGCCACATTCCAGGTGTTTAGGCCACCGCCTGTGAACTGGCACGTGTGAGGCACCCACAGTTGCTGAGCTTGGCTGGGCACCAGCCATGGCACCCTCTTGGGGTGGAGGGGGGAGCCCCTAGGATGCTCACAGCCCAACAGGACAGATAGAGGAAGCATAGAGTGACAGGAGTGTCCTAAAAGGAATTTCTAGTGAAATGGTGTTATAACTTTGCATTTTATGGGCTCAACTTAGCACCTGAATTTGGAAGCATTAGGGATGGGGTCGGGCTACGGGGACGCTTCCGCGCATGCGCCAAGCTTGAAGCCCGGGTGCTATGCCAGAGGTGACCAGAAGGTGGCACCGTCGGGTAAGCCACAGGAACGTCTACCGCGCACCCGCCTGGTGCGCCCAGGCCACGCTCAGAACCTTCCTAACCCGCGCCTCCTCCGGGGTCCCCCAGTCACCTCAACCAGTATCCTTGCAGGATCACTCTAGAAACGTAACCACTTCACCAATGCCCAAACATTTGTTCTTAAATAGCTTTTCCTCTCCATTCACTCGCCGTGTTACAGTGATTAATTAGGAACTAGCATTCTAAGATTCATCTGAATTCCCAAAAGTCATCCTCACACCCATGTCCCAGCCTGGAATTTTACAATCTGTGGGTCTGTTATCTCTACCCCAGCCAAGAAATTTAACACCCAAATGGACTTTTCTTGCCTAGAATGACAGAGAGAATTACCCATTAAACCGCATGCCATGTTCAGGAAATTGGCTTTCTTCCCACGGAATCGATTCTTCCATAAATATTAAAATTAATTATTCTGGAGACTATAACTCAAAGTATGTACAAATGAAGTGTCATGCTTAGGACAGGGGTGGCAATTCAGGAAGACGGGTGGCTCCTGGGACACGAACCTTCTGCCTGCCTTCCGCTTAATGGATGGGTTACCAGCTGTTTAAGGAACCAGGGTTTAAGGCCGGGAGCAGTGGCTCACGCCTGTAATCCCAGCACTTTGGGAGGCCGAGGCAGGTGGATCACGAAGTCAGGAGATCAAGACCATCCTGGCTAACACGGTGAAACCCCATCTCGACTAAAAATACAAAAAATTAGCCGGGCGTGTCCGCGGGCACCTGTAGTCCCAGCTACTCAGGAGGCTGAGGCAGGAGAATGGTGTGAACCCGGGAGGCGGAGCTTGTAGTAAGCCAAGATCGCGCCACTGCCCTCACTGCCCTCCAGCCTGGGCGACAGAGCGAGACTCCATCTCAAAAGGAAAGAAAAGAAAAGAAAAGAAAAGAAAAGAAAAGAAAAGAAAAGAAAAGGAACAGGGTTTGACGGTTGTGGCTGGGGATCTAAAGTTGAGAGGAGAAGGAAGTAGGAGAGAGAAAAAGGCAGAGAGCACTGGGCTGGGAACCGCATGGTCTCTTCCCTGACCTGGTGGTGATGGGATCTGTGCCCCGGCAAAGGGAGGAGTTCTCATATTTCTCAGGCAAGAAAAAATTTCAATTCCCCAAGCCAAGCTATTCTCTGCTGTCTTTAGCAAAGGCTGGGCATACCTCAACCACCAGGCTTCAGAGTCCCTGGGCTCTGCCATTTTCTGTGTGTGGGCGCTCATGTACATTTGGCAACCTATAAAATGGGAAGTAATCTCTGGTGTGAGAACAGAGGGGCTACAAACCACCCCCACTCAGGTATCCAGGCTGGAAGGGCTGGGGACAAGTCGGCCTGGTTTACGGCCAGCAAAGGGCCTGGCACCCAGGGGCTGCCCAGAAGGACTTGAGGGATGAATAAGTGAGTGAGTGAATGAATGAATGAATGGCCCTCATCACTGTAAGATGTTCTATAAATAGGGTGACCACGTGCCCCTGTGAGTTCCAGACCATCTCAGCTCATGGTCATTGCTCAGTGCAATTATCAGTCTTGCCTGCTTTCTCTCATAAGGGTCAGGGCTTGGACGGTGACTCATATGTCCCCCTGACTCCTGGCCATGGAGGGGGGTGAGGCCACCACTCAGAAACAAGAGAGAAATGTTGTTGTCTTCATATGAAACGAGACTACAATTATGTGCTAAATAAATTTCCTCCATTTCATTGGTGATATTTAAACAATGAAGGAGCTGGGAAAGCCCAAGTTTTAAAACCTAAATGACTGAATTCTTTTCAGCATCTTTCAGGGCTGTCCTTTGCAGCACACGCACTGCAAAGAGCCTGGGCCACAAGTTCAGGACGACCCGAGCTCCAGTCCACCAGCCGTGTAGCTCTGGGCCAGCTCTTTCCGGCTCAGAGTAAAACAGGCACAATAGTGACCTCGCTGCACCTCGGGGGAAGCTCCACAGGGAAGAAGCATGCCCTTGGCACTGGCTGGCACACAGGGGGCCTTTGCAAATGTCAGCTCCGTGCCCTGAAGCAGAGACCAAGTCTCACAGAACCTGCCGCACCCTTCAGCTCTCCCCGAGTTGTTCACGAACACAAGAAAACATCCCTGATCTCTCAGGAATTAACAGAACATCAAGCTCACCTGCCGTTGATGTTTTACCCTTTTCTGGAATGTAAACAAACACTTTAAAATATGTTGGCTCAAAGGCAACCAAACGAGAAGGCAACAAAATCCATTTTATTTCTCTTATTATGCACTGACATTCCTGAGCAGGAGACGGAAATTTAAAGGGGACCCCAATTTTCAGTCCCAAAGATATGAACCTCCAGAATGTGCAGGCTGCTGGACAGTGAGACCCCTCCTGGATGCTGCAGCTCCCAGCTGCCAGGAGAAAAGGTGCTTCTGTGGCTTGCGGTGACAGCCAGCACCATGTTGGAGGTGACACTGTAGCTGGCCGGGCCTCCAGGACTGAGTTTCCAAGCAACCCCTGACTGACAAGGTGCACTCCTGGTAAGATTTGCAGGAAACAAAGTAACCCAGCCCCAGCCAGACCAGAGACTCCTCTCTCTGTCTCTCTGTCACTTCTGGGACTTAGCACTGGGCACTGAATTCATGCAGGTTTGTTGATTGACTGACTGGCTGCATTCATCAGTGACAGGAGGAGCAGGGGCCCTGGCAGGATGAGGACACAGGCTGGATGCCTGGAGGCTTTGGTGCATTTATTCAGCTGATGTGCTTCTGAGAAAGGGCTGGCAGCTCTGTGCCCCTGATCCTGCGTCTCCTACTTCTTACATCCTTGAGTCCTGGCCGGAATTACCACAGTAGATTCTGGGAAGACGTGACTTGCAGGAGTTGAGAAAGACCAGGTGTGTCGGGCTCCTTCCCATACCAAAAGCAAAGGCGGGATGCTCCACTAGCCCAGGCTGGCTGTCTCCCAGGAAATACCACCCCCAACTCCAGAGTCCCCTGACCTACTAGAATAAAGGGGATATTGATCAACTGGGTTTAGAAACCCGGGACTGGCTGTTTGACATTATCCCTGGCTACTGAAACTTTTGCTAAGCATCTCTAGGATTTCTCTCCTTGATGGGAGGCTTTTTCAGGTCCAGAGAGAGCTTGGCATCCCAGGGACTTTATCTCACCTTCCAGAAGCTCCAGGAGGAGGCCAGAGGTGCAGTGTGAATGCCCTGAGGCTGCAAAGGCACCTGGAGGGAGGGAGGGAGGGAATGAGGGAGAGAGGGAGGGAGGGTGAAAGGGAGGGAGGGAGGCGAGGGCGGACGAGCCAGCGGGGCTGCAGACAGAGATGGTGGATGCACTGTTTCCCTTGGGCAGTTTTCCCAGGGGCATGTACCCTGGGCAGGGGACTCTGCAGACAGGCACACGTGGCGTGGTGCCTCCTGTGCCTCCCCAGTGGTGAGAGATGCCTTCTTCCTGGAGGAAGCTGACTACCAGCCCCAGTGCAACCCCTGTAAGCAGCAGGTGTGATGAGAAGCTCGGGGTTCCATCCCTAAGTCAGTATTGGGATGTAGGAGGGTTTATCAATGTAGGAACAAGGTGTGTGAGGCAGAAGGTGCCCTCTTATTTCAGAGACAATCATGTACAGAAGCCGAGCAAGTTGCACAGATGAGCAAAAGTCAAGATGCGGATGCTGATCAGGGCATGATGTCTTCATGGCGCTTTCTCTACAGAACACATCTGATCCCAAAGCAGCTCTCTGAGACAGTACAAGACTCTCATGGTGCCTGCCTTCCAGCTGTGCACACTGAGGATCAGAGAGGTTAAGTAATCTGCCTAAGGCTTCTCAGCTGGTAAAACGGCAGAGCCTGAATTCAAATCCCAGCAGTGTGAAAGCAACCAGACTTCAGAAACCCACATCTCCAGGGTCATAGCTCATAAGACGTGGGAATTATTCTGAAACATTGTAAGATTTTATCGGGACAAGTATGGGAAGCTCTATTGAAACAGACAAACATCCCCTTTCAGGATAAATGGACACACATTTTGTAAATTCCAGAAATCCATTGGAAATATTTACTTTAACTCCTCCCCCTACCCAAATAATATCCATGGATTATTTTGGCACTAACAGAGGTTAATACTGTGTGGTTTGTGGATTCTAAACATCTCCACTCAGAACTTAATTTTAATTCTGGCCTACCTGGAAAAACCCTTGCGTCATTAAAATAAGTGCTTCATAAATATTTGTTCAAGGAGTGAATGAACTAGCCAAAAGGTTTATGAAAAAAGGTTGGAGTTGAGCAGTATTTTTCCCCCACCCAGGTCTCTATAAACACTCAGCCACATCCCCTCAAATATTTATCAATGTAGAGCCACAGAATTGTATGTCTTTTGAGAGAGAACCCCTTGCTTGGTTACTTAAAAAAAAGAGAGAGAGAGAAACCTCAAAATAAATATATGTCACAATCTTCTAGAAAATCAGGTAATGGGAAAATAGGAAATAGGCAGTGAGAGTTTGAGTTTATTCAATTGTGCTTAGCAATGTTCAGGTCAAATAAGAGTTGACCTGACTAGGAGCCGTGGAGTTGTACTTGAGCTGTATCAAACTCTGGTGTCGTTTTTGAGCAAAGAGTATCATTTTATTTGAAATTCAGTGACAATGGGGAGGTTGGAAGGAGGAGAGAGAATACTTTATGGCAGAGCCATGACAGAAATACTTTTCTTCTGGTATAAAAGAGTCTTTTGTGGGACTTGACACCATCTCTGGGGTGCAGGAAAGGCCCCTTCATTCACCCGGACTATGTTTTCTCTATTCTTTTATCCCCCCAAATGTTTATGGGTCTCCTTGCTGCTGTACCCCAGGTCTGGCAGAGTCAGGCAAACAAAGACAAAAACATGATCCCTGAACTCAGACGTCTTCCAGCTCCACGTGGTGAAGTTTGCAATAAAGACGGAACTCTGTATCAACATAGCGTAAGTATAGTTTGATCTCTCATTTTTAGTTGGAAGCCAAGTAAAACACAATTTAGCAAGCATGAAAGACTATAAACCTCCTGGACTCTATTTAGTTCAGACAGGAAACAGACCTAAATTAAGCAATGATTTTCAAGTCAACGTTAAGTACCTGAGAGGCACCTACAAGTTGATTAGGTGATTAGGCGTACAATTCCTGTGCTCAGGTTGAACCTTGTCTGTGAAAATCTGCTTCCCCGCTCTTCTGTGAAATACCCAGGGACCCTGATGGTGCCAATGCCAATTTAGGTCAGAACTTCAGAGTGAAAGTGGATGCACCAGGTTGGTTTTGGGAAACTCAGTGGTGTCAGTCATGCCTCAAGACCTTCAGTGGGAATGGGTCATCAGCCAGCTGCAAACAATGCAGTACTGGGGGTTGACAGTGTCCCCCAAATTCATGACCATCTGGAACCTCAGAATGTGACCTTATTTAGAAATAGGGTCATTGCAGATGTAGTTAGTTAAGATGAGGTCATCATGGATTAGGGTGGACCCTAATCCAATGACTGGTGTCTTTATAAGAAGAGGAGGTGGCACACACATGTATACTGAGAGGAAGGCCACATGAAGATGGAGGTGGAAGCTGGAGGGAGGCAACCACAAGCTGGGGAATGCCAGGGACTGCGGGACCCAATGGACTCTGGAGGAGGGAAGGAAGAATCCCTCCCAGAGCCTTGAAAGGGAGCACAGCCCTGCCGACGCCTTGGCTTCAGACTTGCAGCCTCCGGAACTGCGGGACCACACACCTCTATTGTTTTAGCCATTACATTTCCAGTAAACTGCTGGCTTATGGCCGGCCTGCCCAGCGTCCTCCCTCTGCCCCACATCCCATCACCAGACTGAGGGTCCTTGGGCATCCCCCATCTGTCACCTGCTCGGGGACGCCCAGAGGTGTCCAGCAGCAGTTCTCACACTCTGCTATTCTCTTAGCACCCTCACAAGCCTTATCATATCACTCACCCATTTTTTCAGACATCAAATACATTATGTTAAAACTCTTTGTCATTAGTATAAATAGGAGGCCGAGTATCACCAGTGAAGATGGGGAAGACAGACTATGAATTTCCTGGCTGGCCCTGTGTAAGGCTCTTGGGTTAGAGCCTGTTCTCTCTTTGTGAAAAAGGTAGATGAGCAAGGATTGAATGGGTGTTAAGGCCACACCAGCACCAAGCTGAGCCTTTCTCTCTGGGTATACGGAAGGGTGGAAGAGAACGAAGAGAGGAAGGAGTCTTTCCCTTTATGATGCAATGTTTTTCATCACTATGCTCAGTCTCTGTCTAGAATCATCTCAGGACTTTTGTGCATCAGAAGACAGCGTCAGCAAAGTGAAAAGATGACCTACAGAATGTGAAAACGTATTTTCAAATGATTTATGTCGTAAGGACGTAGTAGCCAGAATGCATAAAGTACTCTTACAACTCAACAACAAAAAGACAAATAAACCCAAAAAACAGGCCAAGGACTTGAATAGACGCTTCTCCAAAGAAGTCATTCAAACAGCCAGAAAGTGCATGAAAAGATGCCCACCATCACTATTCATTAAAGAAATGCAAACCCAAACCATAATCACACTCCACTTCACATCTCTTAGGATGGCTATAATTTAGAAAAAAATAAAAGGAAGCCCAGTGTTGGCACGGATGTAGAAGAATTAGAACCCCCAGACATTGCTGGTAAGAATTCAAATGGTGCAGCCACCACGGAAAGATTTAATGGTTCCTCAAAATTTAACCATAAAATGATGTTTAAATTCCACTCCTAGGTATATATCCAAAAGAACTGAAAATGTGTTCAAAGAAAAACTCATCCATGATTATCGTAATAGCACATAATTCATCATAGCCAAAAGGCAGAAACTAACCTAAGTTCATCCACTGATGAATGAGTAAACAAAACACAGTAACTCAATGAGATATGATTCAGCCTAAAAAGGAATGAAATATTGATACATGCTACCGAACAGGTGAACCTCAAAACAAATGCTACATGAAAGAAACCAGACACAAAAGGTCCCATACTGGATGGTTATGGAAAATATCCAGAATATGTAAATCAATACAGATGGACAGCTGATTGGCGGTTGCCAGCATGGGAGAAGGGGGAAATGGAGATTGATTGCTTAGTGGGTTCAGGTTTCATTTTGGATGATGAAAATATGTTGTATCTAAGTAGAGGTGATGGCTGCCCAACACTGTGAATGTACAAAACGGTGAATTTTATGTTATGTGAATTTTACCTCAATAAAGATAAATCACCCCAGGACCAACATGTACTGCGCTTTGGGATGAAGGGCACCCTCCTCAGCCTGGCATCCAAGATCCCCATGGAGAATGACTCTTGAAAGATGATCATAAGGGTAGTATCATCGTTATTAACACCTAACATTTGTTGCACGCAGCACATTTTGCCCTTTCTAAGTGCTTCACATCATTGACCCATTTAATCCCCCCAACAATAAGAGGTTAGGACCATTATCACCTTCATTTTACAGAGAAGGAAACTGAGGCACCCACTCATGTGTAAATTGTCCTACAGCTAAGTAGATGACATGGCTTCCTCTCTGTGGTCCTGGCAGACGCGCTGGGGTGGGAATGGGTGGGGTGTTGCCAATGGGGTGATATAAATGGGAGCATCCGAATGGGCATCCATGAGGCCCCTGCAAAGGCTTCCAATTGCTAAACTTTGTTCCTTTCTGTATTAATCATTTCTCTTGATTAAACACTAGTCCTACAGTCTGCGGGCCCCATTGTGCTAAATTACATGGTGAGCATGTATTGCAAATTACACTCATTATTAGAAGTTGCACGGCAACATTTATACTAATTAAGTTGGGGCGCATTTCTTTAGTTCTAATTTTAAAACACTGGCAGAATTCCAGAGCCTGATGTCCGCGCGTGAACTGCCACAAATGCATGGTGCAAAATGTCCTCTGAATTTTCTAGCTATTCAGGATTATTTCACACTTAAAAACTGTTTATGGATATTATTATGCTACTTTCTTTTTTTTCTTTTTCCTTTTTGTTAAACAGTATCACCAGGATGAATGTAACAGAGTATAGTTTCAAAGTAAGAGTTAGACAGCATGATTCTAAAAGAATCAACAGTGCTAATATTTTTAATGTATTGGAAAACATTTTTTAACATCTCTTTTCCCAAAGTACAGCTGACTTAAATTTTTTTTTCCCAGTGAAATAAAAAATGACAACCACCCAGTGTGATTAGGAGAACACAGAGAGGGAAACAGCCGCAACAGCAGCAGCTACACTCTATGGGGCCCACTCACGTGCAGGCGTGTGCTGAGTGGTTTATAAGAATCATCTCAGCTATGTCTCTCATCACCAATGAGGAGGATACTACCTTACAGCAGTCAAGTCACCTCCCGAGGTCAGGAAGGAAGTGACAAGCCAGGATTTGAACCCAGTGTCTGAGCCACAGCCCACTCTGCTCTTCAGGACTGTAAATGGTCTATCTGTGCATGCATATCTGCAGAGGCACAAAACCCAACATCCATAAGACATATGACTCCCAGGCCAGGCACAGTGGCTCATGCCTGTAATCCCAGCATCTTGGGAAGCCAAGGCAGGGGGATCACTTGAGCCAGGAGTTCAAGACTCGCCTGGGTGACAAAGTGAGACCCCATCTTTACAAAAAATAAAAATAATTAGTCCGGTATGGTGGTGCACGCCTGTGGTCCCAGCTACTTGAGAGGCTGAGGTGGGAAGACTGCTTAAGCCCAGGAGGTCAAGAGCCGTGATCGCACCACTGCACTCCAGCCTGGGTAACATAGCAAGACCCTGTCTCAAAAAAAAAAAAAAAAAAAAAAAAAAAAAAAAAAAAAGATATGTGACTCCCAAACACTGCAAAGACAATTGACATTGCATCATTCATCAGATCATTTTCAGCCATTCAGACATGGCTGCCTGAGCCTGCGCCATGTGCCACGCAGGGCTCCAGCAGCCAGGAGCAGGCCCTGGCCCTTCCTGTATCCATCCTTCTGGTATCACTGACTTTTCCTGCCTACCTACGCACTGCTGCATCTTCCTTCCTTGGCACCTGTTCTGATTGGTAGGGCCCCTGGAATTAGATAGAGGGTGCTCCCCACTACTGACTTCCTCCTGAACAGCAGTGTCTTCCCTGCCCCCTCCCTAGGCAGCTCCCCTGCAAATGACCACCTTTATACAAACTCCCCGGAAATAATTTTGTCCTTGCCCACTTCCTCCTGATGGCCTTGTTCCCCCTCGATGCCCGCAGCACCCTGAGGTCACAGCAGAAATAAACAGGCAGGAGCAGTCCAGGGTCAGCTGAATATGCACATACTCATGCTGACAGCTTTGCTCTTCCCTCCACAGACACATAGGCTCTGGCTGTCAGCGGGGGCGACGGCTGAGACCGTGGCTGCCCCGGAGGTCCCCACAACTGGGGCTCACAGTCCTGCCTCGGCACGGCCTGGATCTGTGCTCCCGAGGCAGTGGCTGTGCTCTACCAAGTACGAGCAGAGCCAGCGACAGAACAGCCCTCCAGCCTGCAGAGATCAGGCGAGAGGCAACACTGCCATCTCCCCTGCTGCTGCCAAAGGGTCATGGGGTTTACTGATGAGGGACGGGAGAGAGGAGAAACCAGGTGAGCCCACAGCCTTCTCAACCCATAGGGCCCCGGTGATGTTTCCAGTGCCCCTTACTCCAGATGACAGCGTGCTTTCTTACGTTTGCCCAGCTAACATGTGGCTGGTTTCCACAGCATCCTGGTTTCCGCAGCTCCTAATACTAAGAACCTTCCCATACGTTATCTCCCAGAACATGTCATCATCCCATGGCAGACCCCTAGGTCAGAAAAGCGAGGGCATAATCCTTAATTTGCCTCTATGAGGAGTTTCCTCCAGGAACAGGGGACCTGAGCAGCTGCCAGCCCCTGCCTGTGCACTGTACTGGGGGTCGGCCTGGGGTTTTGAAGTAGGAGGCACTCTTGGGGACGAGGGCAGGCCACTGAACCACACAGCAGCACTGAACAGCCCCGAAGAAGCAATTCCGGGGGTGGAAGGATTTAAATTTCCATTAAAATGGGGGTCTGACAAAATGTCCACAATCCCCCAGTGCGTGACTGGGATAAAATACTATGCAAGGAAAGTTCCGGCGCCCTAGCCGTGCCTACACTTTACTTACTATCAGCCTTTCTCCAGCACACTGACACCAAGTGCTCAGTGTGAAAGCAGATCCAAAGCTGAAGACTTCCTGAGAACTTCCCACTTCTATAAATGCATTCCTTCCCTGGTTTCCATGTGATGTCCCACACATAGTACACACACACACATGCACACACACACACACTCAGATCTCTCTGCACACAGAGTAACTGGGATGGAACATAAGTTGATTAGAAGGTAATGGAAGCCCTTTCACATTACAGGTAAAACGTGATTAGTTGTTTTAGCCTAGTTTCTCTAATATGAAATAGCCAAATATTCTCTCTTAGTGTGAACAAAATACAGCAAATGTTGAGAGTGAACTGTAGCCACTCATGATGGTACATGCAGAGTTCAGATTTATAAAGACTCTCCTACTATCCATGACTCTGAATGGAGAGAGCACGGCCCTGGAGTGGTAGCTTCCTGTCCAAGGGCACGGTCACCTACTGAGACATGAGGTGTCTGAACACTGCTGAGCCCTTCTGGGCAGTTGCCCAAGTGAGTGAGGCTTGGTGGAATTCTTACAGTGCCAGGGACGACTCTTCCTCTGAGTGCAGTGCAAGAGCTTGTAGGGCCTCCTTCACTTTGTAGGAAAGAAACCAAGGTTCAGGGATAAACTGATTTAAACGAAGTACCACATAGAATGAAATCTAATATTTATTCTCAGCAGGAAGTCTGTTCTCATCATAAGTATCAAAACCAATTCATAGGTGAGCTATAATATATCTGAGCTTACCCACATGGGAGCATTAGCAATTTAAAAACAATTTGAGCATTTATCAAATATACAGTCTCTGAGAACTTGGGCTATTCATTCACTAGGATATGGTCTTAAACTATAAGCAGTATGCTTCTAAAAAAAGAGAGAGAGAGAAAAGAAACGCAGCTAGAGAAAATCTCCCCTCCAATTTTGTGTTGTGACATTTCAAATCATTGGTTAGTCAGCTTCCATATAAAATATTTCCCAAAATGAATCTAACATTTTCATGTTAGTTGAAGGGTGCGGGTCCAAAATTCTAAGGGTGTTCTGTTTGCTTAAAGAAAATTTAGCTCTTTTATTTTAGGTGAAAGAGGGATTACTTATACGTTAAGTATCAATTTAATGAAGACATAAAACAGGCAGAAAATCATTTGAACCAAACTGTTACCCCACCAACTAATGGATGTTACATTTTAGAAACCGGGAGAGAGGCTCAAGCAGAGTTGACAAGGAATAGAACTGCTGTGACATTCCTAAATTATCAACCAGTAACAACATTTAATACTAAGTTAAAGACTCATGGAAAATGCATTTTTTCCTCACAATCTAAACCAGCAACAGAAGGAACATTCTGGGGATCCCTTTCCGCGTCTGCGCTGTGCATCCATGGATACTTACAGAGCACCGCGTTCTCAGTAGCCCCTAGGTGATCAATTCGTTCAGACCCATGTCCACAGCACTGGAGTCTCCTGGGCTGATAATTTGAACATTTCCAAGCAGGCTACTGATGCGAAAGGCAATACATCATTTACTGAGTATTCCCTTTGTAATTTTCCTTCTGAGGCTCGCGGCTGCCGGCACTCACACTATGTCACCAGAAACCAGAGCAAAGATCCAGCAGGGAGAAATTTACAGGAGAGACCGCTCATCTCGAGTTGAAATAAATGCTTAAAAATAAATGTATAATTCACAGCAGCAGAGTGAATTTGTTTTAAGTTCATAATCAGTCAGTAAGAAAGGCGGCATATAATCCAGTGTAGCTGCTGAGAACAGTGCAACCTGCGTGCTCGATGGTGCAGTCAGCAGTCCCAGCTGGGTAAGCAGAATGCTTCTGTGCACTGAGCTCGGAGAGGAACAGAAGGCGAGAGCGCCCTGCTCCCAGGACGAGTTGGATTCACAGCCCACAGGGAGGAAGAAAGGACAACGAGCAATGTCGATCATGATTCCCCCCGTGGTTCACATTTAGTTCTAAAATAAAAGTCATTGCTGATGATACACTTTCCGAGGATCCTTGCAAAGCAAAACTAAATTGAACTACAACATGAAGTGAAGAAAACACAAAAGGGCTCTTGAGCACATGTATGGTTAGTGCCTTTCTGCAAACACAGCCTAGGGCTTCTTTTTAATTGTAGTAACAACATTTAACATGAGATTTACCTTTTAACAAAAAAGTGTACAACACAGTCTCGGTGACTTTAGGCATGATGTGGCACAGCAGAGCTCTCGGACTTGTCCATTTCTTGTAACTGAAACTTTAAACCCGTTGAACACCAAATTCCCATTTCCTCCTCTCTCAGCGTAAAGAACAATGCTATTTCAGGCACGATGCTGCTTTGAAGAAATACCTTCTCATATCAAAGATCTCTTTGCCCCCTTCTACAGCACTTCCTAAAACAAAAAGGGAAATGGACCCTCAAGGTCTACTCTGTTCTGTTATCTGAAAAACTGAGGCTCCTGCAGCTGCCCAGCCTCACCAAGTTCTCCTTCTCTATGACAAAGGGGAATATTTTTTCACATAGCTTCTTTTTTTTTCACATTGTATGGGTTGACCAGTCTCCCTGGGAATACGGCGACTTCATAAAGAAGTGCCCTTCCCAGTGGCGCGGTCGTTAGTGCAGGTCTTACAAAGGTGCACCAGTAGCTCCAACACAATTTTGAGTCTTTCAGAAGGAACAGGGACGTAAACGCACCAACGCAGCACGTCATGTCGGGAGGATGGTTTGCTGCCACGTCTTTTCTTATGTGCAGCGCCAGGCACTCACTTTCATTCATCCCAAGAATTTGATGCGAAGTACTGTTTACAGAGCACTTTCTATGTGCCAAGGACTGTGCTAGACACTTATATACTCCATTTCATTCAATTCACTATTATTTCTGCCTCCCATAAAGAAAAAATCCAGACAGAAATGGAAAGCCTTTAAAAGATGGAGGCATAGATCGACAGCATTCCCAGAGATGTGTTCTGCGTGGCAAAGACAGTGACCAGGCTTTCACAGCGACTGGAATAGCAGCCTGGGTGGCATGCCCTTGCTACTTCAGCCTCAGCTTCCCCAGTCGCTGCTTTGCTTTCTTTGGTGACTTCGATGATGACGTTAAGTTGTCTGCAAATCCATTTATTTTCTGAAAACTCCCCGTCTCGTTCATTTTCTGTTGATAAGGAATTTCTGAAACAATCATTGAAAACCATCTCTACTGCAGACAGCCAGCGCTACTGACTGCAACAGGATTTGAGATCTCTTTTATTCCCAAAGGGGGCCATTATTTCCACTGGTTGTCATGGTGATGGTGCAGTATTGCTGCTGTGTGTTCGACTGCTTCCCATTGCAGTCACACCACACACTTAAATCAAATCCTGTGTTTCACATGGTACTGGCTATATAAAACTTAGTGAATCGAACTCTTAGCTTCATCTCACAGTGATGACGAATGGGGACAGATGGAAGTGTCCGTGTCTGCTGGTGTAAATGTGACGGAAGCAGCAGGACTTCAAAACAGAAAGATCATCTTAAAATACATTAATTTACTCTCCTTCACTGAGCAATTTAAGGACAGAATTCGTATTATTATCAATAACTTGAGAAATGGTTTTGAAAAAGCAGAAGTAATATGCCTAGAAATGAGAAACTATATTTTTTTGTTGTTAGTTCACATTCATTTGAACTTTTGCCATATTCATTTTTGAATATGCTTTGTTCTCCTATTTGTATATCTCCTTTCTTGTCTCTTATTTGTAACTAGTACACATAGCCACAAATACATGTACATGTACTTATATTAATTCCTAAGGTCTCCGATTTGTGAACTCTGGCTTTAAAATATACATGAATGTTAGGATTCTGCTTTTCAGTCTTCAGTGCCCTGGCTTCCTGAAGGATGTACTATTCAAGTGCTGAACTGAACTTGAACTCCACGACGCTGGTCCTCTGAGGCTGCAGCCCCTGAGTCCAGGTTGGGGGAGGATGTTGATGCCTCACAGCCAGCAGCAGCAGAGGGACTTGGGAGATTACCTTGAACATGGAGTCCCCTTTGGAGCATGTGGACGCCATAACTTTTCCTTGTGGGCAAACTCAGAGTTTACCTGGGTGTTCAGGGCCAGTTAGTGGTCAGCTGTCTTTAGCTTTCATTATAAATGCTCTTAAGAGCTGGGTTTGATTCCCGGGAAAAGCATTGATCAAAAGGGGAGAAATAATCTGGATTGTACTTCAGAGGCTGCTGTTTGAAAAAGACAGGTGATTTATGGGAGCCAAACTTCAAGGAAATGTTAAATCTAAGTTCGGCCCAAATTCATTAAGTTAACCTGATTTTGACTGTTGCACTGTGTTCTTTTTTTTTCTATTTGTTTTTTGCTTTGCATGTTTTAATTTCTTCTTTTTCTTTCTTTCTTTGTTTTGCCATGACACTGTAAGATTGGCCTGGTTTGAGGCTGAGAAGGTTTGTTGTTTCTGAATTAAAAAGAAAACTCTTTCCACATAGGAAAGAATGTTGTGGGGCCTCCAAAACTCAGGCTGCCACAATGAACAGACATGCTTCTTACACACCCACTTCAAAAAGAAATGAGAGTTGCAACATTCACAGGAACTCCCAACAGCCGGGACATGATGGCCCTGCTTCTGTGAACTCGGAGCCTGCGTGTGCCTGGATCCAGCCATTGGTGCACCTCTCAGCCTCCTCCTTCATTGGAAAGAAGAGTTTTCATGAGCTCAGCTGCTGACATGAAACAAGGCTGGAGGCTGAAGCCGAATGCCGGGAGGCATACTAGCTGGATGGGAAGGGGCTGGCATGGGTTCCAGTGAGGTGCCACAGTCATAAAAACTGGGGAAGCTGCAGGGGCATACATTCTGAAGGGGAGTCTCAGGTTGGAGGTTTTACTGTAAGGAATGAGCAATTTGAATCAACTTTAACAGGGCATGTACACAGTATGATTCTGGAAAAATGGCACCACTGCCTTCTTTCTCACCCTGTTTGCTGGTGTGCAACACGCAACCACTCACGTCCCAAACCCTCTCTTAGGTGTTTATTTCTATGGTGGAAAGCGATTTTGACGGGCCAGCTTTCGAGATCTTCCTTGTAATCTACTATTGCCTGAATGGGCATCTTTAGCCCTTTAAACTGCCTTTGGTGAAACATAGGTAAAGTTACGTGTTGCCAAGCAACGGAAGCTTCTGACATTGCATGTCCTTCTTAGAGAAGCTCTCTCCCTTCCAAATAATTAGACATCAGTCACTACTCCACGTCCACACTGGGAATAACACAGAGGACTCAACATCATCCTGAAATGAAAAGTGAATCACACTGATTCCTGGCAACAAGATGTCCATGAAATGAATTTTCCCTTAGAAACCAGGCTCTTTAAGACCAAGGCTGGCATCTAAGACAGCAGCATGTAGGCTAGATGGCTTGCTGAACCCTCAAAGAAAGCCCCCCTCCATTTCACGCTAATGCACCCTTTACAAATAGAGGTCAAATCCATTTAGTTCAAGGTGGTCTCCAATACTTTGCGTGCGTGTGTGTGTGTGTGTGTGTGTGTGTGTGTGTGCTCGTGTAGAGTTGGTATAAACATGGACAGAATGCTAAATGAGGCACCTAAGAATGATTAGTTTGTGGCCTGACAATTTTCCTCTGACACTCAGCAAATTCATCATAACTGCAAGCAATGCTTGCTTTAGCCACCTTGATATCCCATCCAGAAGAATTAATCAAATGTTGCAGCATCGTTGGAAAACAGGTTTTCATATCGGTGTTTAAACAACCTATTGCATGATGGTGCTGATGAAATCACAGAAAGGCTTGGATGCTATCCAATTCTAAACCCCACCGTCAGGGTCTGGACAGTCAGCTAAGCCCCAGCTGGGTAATTTTGCGGTGCTATTCTGGATCTGCAGATCCAGATCCCACTCCTCCTCCTAGCTTGCCTTGGCTTCTGGATACATTTAGTAAGAAGCAAAGCACATAACCATCTCCAGGGACGCGGATGGAAGAAAACCAAGAAGACCAGGTAGCATGGGCCACTTGACACTTGAGCCACCTCCCACTATGAGGAACCAGGTGGGTCGGTTTATCTCACAAGTGGACACGGTGCCTTTCATAATTCCCTCATCCTCAGAACTCACTGGGAGACACACTTTGGGTTCTCCTCTCTGAGAACAAAGATGTGTGGATCTGTGAAGCCTGAGTTTGAATGCCAGGGCCTCCTGGCTCTCAGGAGTGGTGGGGGTTGAGCCTCTCTTGCCAGCTGCTGACTCTCTGCCCTGATGGAATAGGCACCACCATGGGACTGGGCTGAGGTCAGATTTACTTTTTTTGGTGGGCGACACCTACAGGTTTATTGACCCGGAAGCCCTCACCTTAGAACGCATCTCCCAGTGACTGGTTCAAAACAAAATCCCTTTTCAAGACACAGAAGTTCAATGCTAGTAGGTGGCTTGGATTGGTGGGTACATCCCTTAGCTCTTAGGAATCCTAGGGATGGGGGCTGGGGAGAGAACTGCTATCAGAAACCCAAAGTGAACTGAAATGTGCAGTCTTGGCCCAGTTTGGGGCCAGTGCAGACCTGGAATGAGGCTCTCCCTTACGTTCCAGCAGGGAGTCAGGAGGACCAACAGCCCCTGCGACATCGGGCTGCATGGCCACAAAATAAAACAAAACAAATGTGGCCACATCAGTGAAAGAAATCACTGAAGCCAGTCTGGTGTTGGACAGAGAAAAATCACTGAAAATTGACTGAGCCACTTGGAGGTGTTAGTTGACTTCATGTATTTATTTATATCCAGCTTGCTCCTAAAAGGATACAAAGTCACGTAAAGACTATTCATTCATGCACCTAAAATTCACTGGGTGCCTCTCTCATGCCAGCACTTGTGCAAGGGGACAGAGGGATGGGATCCCTATCCTATGGGGCCTGCGTTCTTGCGGGTGAGAAAATGGGTAAATACCACAGTTCCAAATACTGGTAAGTGCTTTAATGACAATATAAAGTAAAACGGGGGTACAGAAAGTAACTTGGGGCTGGAAGTTGGATAGGTAACATCAGATAGAGTGGGCAGGGAAGGCCTTTCCAGAAACTAATGATGGAATCAGAGAAGAGAGCTCTGGCTGTGCTCCCCCGGAAAAGAAAGTCCTTCGCCAGTCACCATGGGCAGGACCCTGCAGGGCTCTGACCCTCACTTCTCGTACTCAGGGTGGGCTTCGGGAACACGAGAGCAGAGCAGTGCTCAGGCCCTCACTCAGAAGAGAGCCCCTCATGCTTGGGGTTTAATGCTCTGTAACTGCTACCTTCATATGTCATAAGAATTTTATCTCTGAACTTGTGTTTTGTGAGGGAACTCTGGTGGGGCAATGGGACATGTGCCGGGGTATGACCCCTCAACTCACACCTGGCCCACCTTCTGCTCCATCCCGCTGGGTTCTTGACTGTCCACTTCCTGCCCCGACCAGCAACTGAGACTCCCCCAACTCCTCAACAGGGAGGATGGGGGCTGGATGGATGCCTTCTACCTGCCCAGTTGAAGGCAGTGAGAGTATCCTAGTGCCTGGGGGAATGTGACATTAAATAGAAGGTCACACACACACACGCACACACACACACACACACCACTATGAAAGATCCAGAGAGAGAACACGAAGAAAGGAAAAAGCTTTTTTTCCTGCCTTTTGAACGAGTGACCCCGGGTTTTAAGTAGCCAGCCCTGTTTGTGCTAAGTGCTGCCCCAGGCTCTGTGAAGAATGCAAAGATACAACTGTCTTCTCCCTACTCCCCCTTCTTCCACGCCTGTTCATCCCCTCATTCACATATCCATCAGCAACGCAGGTTCCTGAGACCCGATGCATGCTGGGTGAACCCTGGGGATCCCAGGACAATGGGCTCCCTCGCCCCCTCCAGGAGCTGAGACCCTGGCCCCCCATCCCCGTCTGTGACAGTCAGGCATGGCTTCCACATCAACTGTTTTCTGTCCCTCTGCGGTGGCCCCACCACGCATTAGCTTCAAGTTATGTGTCACACATCATATAAATTATGGATAAAGTAGAAAATGGGAGTTAGAGAAAACATGCACTCTCTGATAGCGCGAATTGTCAGGCCATTCTCCGAACTTGACTTTTCATTTCTCAAGATTAGTAGTTCATTTCCTTCTAACCACGTCTTAGAAGAAAACCCTTTCCTGGGGATTTAAGAAACTTAGAAGAGGAGCCCCTGGGTTGCTGTGACACCCCTGATGTAGTTCTCTGTCTTTCATAGACCTGAATACGCAATTTCAGTGAGTCTATTTCCTCAACCCTCTGCTCATTTTCAATCAGGACCCTAGATTCTGTGACCGGGGCAACTTCAAACTTTTTCAGATATCCCAGGCACACTGTGATATACACAGCAGACACATTAAAAAAATGCACTACAGCCTCACTGAAATAAAACAATTCTTATTTATTTTTTAGCTTTATGATGAATTTCAGAAAGGGGCTACTTGTTCTGGAGAAAAATGAAGACTCCCACTTACGCGGTTATTACAAATGCCTGGGCACGCACCTGGCTTTCTGACCACATATTTGAGTTTCTGAAGAGGTATTTGGATTTGTTGCATGATACTTAGTTTTCTGAATGGGGACTTGGATTCTAACCAGGTATTTGGGCTCCTGATGCTGTATTTGGATTTTAGACCTGGTACCTAGGTTTCTAGAGCAGGTGTCTGGCTTTCTGATGCAGGTGCATCAGCAAAAGGAGAGGCTCCAGGCCTGCGGTCTGGCCCTGAGGGTAACTCGGGTGTTTCCTGAGTGCCCCGAGGCCCAGGAGCGTTGGTGAGCAGCTGCCCTGAATAGGGGGCCTCTTCACCAGGGAAGCTCGGCTTCAGGAAGCCCCGAGCTGAGGCCCAAGATGCTGGGCTAAGAGCAAATCATTCCCAAAGAAAGAGACCCCCAGCTGCCACCCTTTGTATTTTCAGTGTGCTATGAATTTCGTGCGAGAACTTTTCAGTTTCTTCTGAGGGCCCAACCTGGATGGCGAGAACCCTAGAGCCTTGCAGAGGTGACTCCACTGAGCAGCTAGGGAGACGGATGTCCTTAGAAGAGGGGTGACCTGCTGACCCCCACGTGGTTGCTTAGCACAGACATTCGGTACCTGAGCCTCACAGGCCCCACCTCTGCTCCTTTTCTGGTCATGTTGTTTTCCCCATGACTAACTCCTGAGTGCTCCACCTGCCCCTCCAGCCTCCCTTTCTCACCCCTCTGATCTGCACCCCTCCTGCCACCTCCTTGCTAGCTGTGTTTCCCATCCTCTAGGTTCTTGGGTTCTACTGGGTAAAATCTGATCCTGGGGGCCCCGAGGTGCTGGGCACAGGGAGGAGCTTCAGCTGCTCACCCGGTGGGCTCACTGGTCAGTGCTCAGGACAGGCAGGAGGGACTCACTGTAAAGATAGGGCGGCCTGTGCTTCAGAGTCATCCTGAAGGAGTGGTGTTGAGGGGCCCAGGAGAGGGAACAGTTTGGTAAGGGGTGGGGCCCAAGACAGGAGCTACATAGCTCTGGTGGCCACAAGTACCTCCGGTGCTATTCTAATAAAGATTATGGATCAGAAAGGATTGCCAGATCCCTGCTGGACGGACAGAGGCCAGTCAGAGTCATCAGAGTGGACAGGGGTGAGACCCTGCGAACACTGTAGGGAAACACCTGATATTACCAGGCTTCCCATTAGGAAACCTCCCACGCGACTTCCCAAATGGATTGGATTTGTATTACCCCCAGAAAATGTTTCAAAAAATTGCACAACTTTGGAAAATATTTTTATAGAAAGAAATGTTTTTGAAAGCTGAATGAGACAGGCTCCTTTTCTAGAGAGCATTCCATTCATGATGGCGTCATGCTTGCCGTGTCTTAAGAGCCTAGGTCAGGTTAAACACCCTCTCTTAAGTGATATTAACATGCCTCCTTGTCTCAAACACTGAGAACCACATTACTCAGCTGGTATCAGAAAGAATTTTTTAAAGGAAAATGACTTAATTCTCAGCTCAGCAGGCGGAAAATATACAGCCGTGGGTAGTGAATCACTCATTAAAAATTAAGTCAGTCCGCCCACAACGGGAAACAGCATAACAGAATGTCGGTGTTGGCTTCAGATTGGAAGGAAGCCAAAAACAGGTTTTGAAAATAGTGATGCCTTTGAATTCGATCTTGCTCAAATAGTCTACTTTTGGGATTTCTAACTTCATCCCGGTGACATCCACTTTCCAGTGTGTCTTCTGTTGAGAACTCCCCTAAGAGGGGAACAGAGTGATATCGAGGGTTTCCATGGTTTCTGACGAGATGAAGTGGTTCACCTTCCCAGTGAATCACTTCTTCTAGCAACATAAACCATCACGCGGCCCCCGGAACCATTTGCCAGAATGGCCCTCAGAACAGTGGGAAAAATACCTTTGTTTTATTAACTAACATTTCTGTTTGAGTTTTAAAATCAAAGCCCACGGATTCTCAGCTTTTCCTTCCTGAATAGAAGCAACATTATAAAAAGGAAATGACCATATTTCAAATAAAAATTTTCCATTAATAAAATGCTTTTTAAAAAAATGTTCTTGCTTCTTTTGGAGAGCAGTGAGAGAGCAAAAACAAATGAGCGAGGCAGGAGGAGGAAGCCCCTAGGCCAGTGCTGCTTTCTCATAGGAAGATGACAAAACATTCACCCCAAAACATGCAGACACATCCTGCAAGACAAGGGGATGAGTGCGGCTGGTCCCCGTCATGGCCGACACATGCAGTAGTTACTTTCTGGGGATTTCTGTTGCTAACTCCAAATCCAGACCAGCACCACCCTAGAGCATAGAACTCTAGGTCTTGAAGATGTCTTTAAACAATTCTCACCCAGCCCTTTATGTTTTAGACCAAGAAGGTGTGACTCAGAGTGATGAAGTGACAAGTCTAAGTCACTCCGCTTTCTTTTCTTTTCTTTCTTTTTTTTTTTTTTTTTTTTTTGAGGTGGAGTCATGCTCTGTCACCCAGGCTGGAGTGCAACGGTGCAGTCTCGGCTCACTGCAACCTCCGCCTCCTGGGTTCAAGTGATTCTCCTGCCTCTGCCTCCTGAGTAGCTGAGATTACAGGCACGTGCCACCATGCCTGGCTAATTTTTGTATTTTTAGTGGAGATGAGGTTTTACCATACTGGCCAGGCTGCTCTCAAACTCCTGACCTCAAGTGATCCAACCACCTCAGCCTCCTAAAGTGCTGGGATTACAGAGGCCATTCAACTTTCCAGAACTAAAATCTTTCTAATCAATCATTTTTCTAGGCTCCTGGGCAAAACACACATTTATACTTAGTAGAGAAAGGACTCAAACATTGGCTCTCTAAGCAATATTTCCTGAAATTAGAACTAGAATCAACCACTTCATTTTTCAATATCTTGCACAATTATAAGCTTGCAAGAGATACCTGATAAACCCGATAAACCCTCAGTGAGCGAATGAACAAATTACTGGCTGTGCTGGAAGGAAACATGCCAAGTGTGTGAAAAGAGATTAGAAAGCTGGATTTGGTCAGCAGATAACATGCAGAAATAATTGGGAACTCTGGCCAAGATCAACTCAAGTGATCATAAAACTGTTCCAAAATATAATTATCAACCAGCAAACCGTTTGCAGAATCCACAGGATATGTTCTTATTTGTTAATGTTCTCTGTCACTTGCATAACTGTCAAATAATATTTTTCATAACGGAAAAGTTTTTCTTTTGGCAGGTCTGAACTTCACCTTTGGTGGTGGTAATGAGAGCCGACTGTTTTTTCAGTTGGAGAGGAGCAGCGTTTCAGTCCGAGAGAGCACCGCTGGGGACTGGCACTTCCTTTCCACTGTCCTACAACTCACTTATCCAGCCTGCCTGGGTCTCTGTTTTCCCCTCTTTAAGGGAGAGGTGACAAGGCATGCCTGGACTGCTGCCTCTGCATGTTTAGGGGGCCCACTTGAGATCATGAATTTGAGCATGCTTTGTAAATAAGTGCTCCATATGTATGTGTCTTATCAGAAATGCAATTTTTGTTTAAGCATAAGGCATGTAAGTTATCTGGAAAAACAGGAAATAGAGCAAATCCTGTTTTTCTAAATAATAATTTCACAAACATGAGATTTAAAAAAATTCATTTCTCAGCAGCAACATGCTAACATGATAGCTTTAAATATATAATATGTATATGTAAAATATAATATATATAGCTTTAAGAAGCTATCTATATGTATATGTTATAGCACTTGAACATGAAATCTGCACCATTTCTGATAGCAGATGAATCTTGGTAGAGTTGTTTGAAATCAGTTAAATACTATCAACATATTTTTTAAAAGTTGTTAGAACTGAAACAGCCCTCATCATAAAATAAACACAAATCCAGTTTTCGTTTTTTTGCTTATGCTCATTTCTATTCAAAACAAGGAGAAAAGCTACCCAGAAAATCTATTACATGACATGTTTTTGTTCAGTAGTTCCACAGAGATCCTTCCTTTCTTACCATTTTAAATAATTTTTACCAAACTCTGCAACATAATAAGCAGTTTTAAAAAATGTTATTGTAGATTCGAGAGTATGTGTGCAGGTTTCTTACATGGGTACATTGCACAATGCTGGGCTTTGAGCTTCTATTGAACCTATCACCCCAATAGTGAACATAGTACCCAATAGAGAGTCTTTCAACCCTTGCTCTCCTCCCTCCCTCTTCCCTTTTGGAGTTCCCCGCATCTGTTGTTTCCATCTTTATGTTCATGTGTATGAGCAGCTTTAAAAAGTCACCGCAGGCCAGGTAGGGTGGCTCATGCCTGTAATCCCAGCACTTTGGGAGACCAAGGTGGGCGGATCACCTGAGGTCAGGAGTTCGAGACCAGCCTGGCCAATATGGCAAAACCCATCTCTACTAAAAACACAAAAATTAGCTGGGCATGGTGACAGGTGCCTGTAATCCCAGCTACTCAGGAGGTAGAGGCAGGAGAATCGCTTGAACCCTGGAGGCAAAGTTTGCGAAGAGCCCAGATTGTGCCAACGAACTCCAGCCTGAGTGATAGAGCAAGATTCAGTCTCAAAAAAAAAAAAAAAAAAAGAAAAGAAAAAAAGTCACTGCAAATGGTCATTTTTGAGCAGAATGTGATCTCCTTTCCTGTTGCTCAATCCACAGGGGGCCACCCCCAGGGGATGGTGCTGCAGTTGAGGGTGAGTTCCTGTATCAGGTAGGACTGGTCCACCCACGGCCCTTGCATTTGGCACGAGACCTCATCCTGATGCACCGCCGGGTCTGAGAAATCTCTCTGTAACTCATACACCCAAAAGCATTTATACATTTCTTGTCTTCTTTCTCCCAATATGAATGATGCCACCCCTTAGGCAGTTGGCACTCATCTGCAGCCGACAATATCGCAACATGAACTGCACAGGCAGGAAACCCTTACACACAGAGTGCCGGCCCTGGCCTCAGGAGCCTGAAGACAAGCTCCTTGAAGACCTGCTCATTGGCCTGCAGTCCAGGTCCCTCACACTTGCTCTGTGTGTCACTTAATTAAAATGCCACTTCAAATGAAAAATGAAGAGGGCAGTTTTGATTACAAAGATACAAAATGTCTAATTTACAATGGGTGGGATTTTCCCATGTCATCGAGCCGGCCTATGTCCCCAGCAATTGTTAGGGACTGTTTTTCTAAAAAGGTGAACCTCACCTTGGATTCTTGGCTGTCTGACAACCCACCAGGCCCAAACAGACAATGCCTCCATGCCATCCCCAGTGCACTATCGACTGAGGCGTGGTGGACTGGAAATGGTTTCCTGAAGCATAGATCCCAGATTTCCTGCACAGAGCTGGATAAAGGTAACTAAGAGGCTTGCCAAATTTTCATTTAACGACGCCTTCCTGGTAATATTCTTTAGCCTGATTTTTAGGTACTTTAGAAATTATATTAGAAGCAACCATGACACAAAACCAAAGAGACAAGAAAGACCCCTCTGAGCTCCCCGTTACCTCTTGTCTTCCTGGGAAGACGCTGGGAAACCATCCTGGCCTTGGAGAATCCATGTTTCCCTGACAGCTGAGAAAGGATTTCTAGAAGAATTCCAACTTTGAACTGGGTCTGCTGTGAACACGGTGACGAGACATGAGTTTATATAGGAAATCTGTGTTCCTATTTCCTCTTAGGGGAAACTGTGACTGATTAACGCCCATGCCTTTGCTCTGTGACAAAGGATTACCTACTAGGCTCTTTTAGGAGGCACTTCTTGAAAGAATGTGGAAACTTTCCGGGGGGAGGGAGGACTGGAAATGGAAATAAATGAAGGATTAATCTGTTTGTCATGTCAGATCCAAAGGCATTCTTCCAACTTACTGTCAACTTCTAATTCAGTCACCAGGAGAATAATTTGTCGCTGTGGCTTGGATAGAAACCCGTGGAATCCATTGGTGCTCATAAAAAACCCCAGTATAAGAAGAAGAAGGGAAATAGGAATCACATGTCTTAGAAAGTTTTAATTTTATATGTGCTCTGCCCACCAGGCTTCTCACTTGTTTCTGGGATTCTGAAGGCCGGCCCGGGGCATATAGCTCCTGCCCTGCTGGAAACGTCACCCCAGCGGATGCAGCCAGAAACCAGCTTGGGGTGGTCCCCCTGCCTGTCAGAACCCTGAGCTTTATTTTAAAACGAACAGATTTTTTTTTCCTGTCATGGTAGCCATTCAAATCAACATCAAGAAACACAAATGAGTCAGAAGAGAAAAAATCACACTTCTTAAAAGTGACAGAGGAGGAAACAGAGATTACTAAAGAAGAACAAGCGAGTGAAGGGAAGCCTAAGTACATTTTAAAATTGAAACTCACAGTTGCTGAATATTCACACGTTAATTTTGTTTTCTTTTATTCCTTGGGTATTTCCATGAACCAAAGTGAAATAGTCAAGTTACAGAATCATTTAATTTTACTTACTAGTGGATACCCTTAGGTATAACAATATAAGACCTCAAAGAGTCTGGAGAAAATATTTAAACCTTAACGATACGTCTTTTATAAATTCTTAATTCTGAAATTCCATTGCATTAAATACTATGCGAGAGACCCACAGAGTTGCAAGCTTTCTCCAGTTGAAGGAACTTTGGTCATATTGGATCACTGATACGAACTACAGTGTTATTTTCATAAATCTATTGTTAAAGACAAACAAAAAGGAAAGGAAAACATGGGAATGGGTGACTCCACTCAAGAGACCCTTCCTAATCCAGCTTAACAGGAAAAAAGACTTGACTCATTTTTTTGGATGTCAATTTTTTTTTAATTTTTGAGACAGAGTCTTGCTCTTTCACCCAGGCTGGAGTGCAGTGGTGTGATCTTGGCTCGCTGCAACCTCCGCCTCCAAGGTTTAAGCAATTCTCATGCCTCAGCCTCTCAAGTAGCTGGGATTACAGGCACCCGCCACCACACTCAGCTAATTTTTTTATTTTTAGTAGATACAAGCTTTCACCATGTTGGCCAGGCTGGTCTTGAACTCCTGGCCCCAGGTGATCCTCCCACCTCGGCCTCCCAAAGTGCTGGGATTACAGGTGTGAGCCACCGCACCCGGCCTAGATGTCAAATATTAATATAGTTTTTTTAAGTGAAAAATTGGAATACTGCTAGTAAAGGGAACTCCTTTTGATACCCACTATAGTACCAGCATATATGTTACAATCCACTTAAATGCCTTCCTTAAAAGTTGGAAACAGTTGCCATGATTCTGCGATGATGATCATAATAAGAGTAGCAGTGATAACCACAGCTAGCTTTTATTTATTTTTATTTTTATTTTTTGAGACAGGGTCTCACTCTGTCATGGAGGCTGGAGTGCAGTGGCACAATCCTGGCTCACTGCAACCTCCACCTCCCAGACTCAAGCGATTCTCCTGCCTCAGCCTCCCAAGTAGCTGGGATTACAGGTGTGTGCCACTACCACCCGGCTAATTTTTGTATTTTTAGTAGAGACGGGGTTTCACCATGTTGGCCAGGCTGGTCTTGAACTCCTGATCTCAAATGATCCACCTGCCTTGGCCTCCCAAAGTTCTGGGATTACAGGCATGAGCCACCACGCCCAGCCCATAGCTAGCTTTTATTAAATGCTTACTTTGGGCCATCTCACTTAAATGTCACATCACATCCTAGGAAGTGATGGATAGATGAGAGAAAAGAAGGCTTGCACAGGCTGATGTGTTCATCCAGCACGTGTGACTAGGTTCCTCTGCAGTCAGCTGCCCAGTGTGGGCGGTGGCTGTGGCACCATCTCCAGCCTTAGTGGGCTTAGCCGCCCTGCCCAAGGTGGACTATCTTTTTAGTTCTAACTGACTCAAAAGCACGTCTCTGAATCCCACAAGTGAGCAATAAGTTCCCTTCCATTAATAGATATCCTGAAGCTCTGTACACGTCTCAAATGCTTAGCAGTGAAAATGCAACAGGCTAATAGATCAGTCTGGTATTCTACCTTGGCAGCTGTGATAGTCCATTTTCATGATGCTGATAAAGACATACCCAAGACTGGGCAATTTACAAAAGAAAGAGGCCTATCGGACTCACAGTTCCACATGGCTGGGGAGGCCTCACAATCATGGCTGAAGGTGAAAGGCACGTCTCACATGGCACAGACAAGAGAAGAGAATGAGGAAGAAGTTAAGTGGAAACCCCTTAAAAAACCATCAGATCTCGTGAGACTTATTCACTACCACGAGAACAGTATGGGGGAACCGCCCCCATGATTCAATTATCTCCCACAACACGTGGGAATTAGGGGAGTACAATTCAAGATGAGATTTGGGTGGGGACACAGAGCCAAACCATATCAGTGGCCCAGTGGGCAGGTCCCAAACAAAGGCAGCAGACAAGGCAGCACAGATAGGAGACCCAGGCTTCAAATACCCTTTCCTCGTGTCAAGAGAAAGATTTCTGGAATCAGAAGTACCCTTAATCTAGGAACTCAGGATCTTCCTGAAGCAGAGCTTTACTTTCCCACTGAAATGGAGGCAGGGCCAGGCGCGGTGGCTCATGCTTGTAATCCCAGCGCTGTGGGAGGCTGAGGTGGGCAGATCACCTGAGGTCGGGAGTTCGAGACCAGCCTGACCAATATGCAGAAACCCCGTCTCTACTAAAAATACAAAATTAGCCAGACATGGTGGTGCTTGTCTGTAATCCCAGCTACTCGGGAGGCTGAGGCAGGAGAATCGCTTGAACCCGGGAGGCAGAGGTTGCAGTGAGCCGAGATCACGCCATCACACGTCAGCCTGGGTAACAAGAGGAAAACTCTGTCTCAAAAAAAAAAAAAAAAAAAAGAAAGAAAGAAATGGAGGCAAAGGAAGGGTGGGGCCAGGAAAAGGGAGGTGCCCCCTGAAGCGGCTCTGGCCGCCAACTACCCGTGGTGGATGCAGGGAGGACAGGAAGTCAGCTCCTGCACACACGTTCAGTGACCTTCGGGTGGGGCACCTACTTCTGAATCTCTTGCCGGTTTTGAGACAAGGCCGGGAGGTGGAGGAGCCCCGGAAGCACCTGTCACAGGATCACTCAGCTGCGGGAGCTGCTGACTCACTGATGGGGAGCAGGTCAACTTGCTGGGAGGAATAGGAAATTTTGGAAGCGGCAGAAGGCAAAATGGGGTGCGGAGGGGCCAGTACTGAGTGGAGAGACAAGGGGTGCAAAGGTCACACACTTGTAACAAATCATAATCTGAGCCCTGTATTTCAAAAGGAGCTATATCTGTGGGATCTGACACTCAAATATTTCATTCTAGCACGGTAGGCACATTTGCATTCGATAAAGCACGCAGCTGCATTGCTTTTGAAGAAAGCCACATTTAATAAGCGTTCAAACCAGTATCGACCAGCCAACACCCCTTGTATAGGATTCTGAGGCTATCAGGGATTGTAGATTTCATATAGTTAATCCTCCATCCCATAATATGATTCCAGTAACGATCCTTCTCTTTGATCCCACCGCTGACATTTACCCAAGAAGAGTTCCCCATTCAGAATCAACAACGTCTTATAATGATGCAATGGAGAACATAGACAACAAAATTAACTTGGTAGGTGGCAAACGAAGGCATCCCTCTTCTCTAGCTTAATCAATCATTACTTTTATTTAACATTCCTTATCAAGAAAGAAAGAAACAATCCACACAGTCAAAATGCATTTCATCACACCAAGAACGACCATAAGCATTTATGCCCAGATGGAACAGTGCCACAAAGGGCACCCTGCCTAAAAAAGAGGGCCAGCCAGGGAACAATAATTGATCCATTGACCTGAAAATGATTTCAGAACGGAGTCAGTGCCTTTCAAACAAGGCAATACATTTAGGAAATACAGCTTCCTGGTGACCGGTATCATGGTGCCCGCTAAAAGCAAGCACACCCAGAAGTCCACGTGCCACTCACCTGCACGCTGCAGACACTGCGAAAGCTCTTAGATTTTCTTCCTTCGATTTGTTTAGGAAATTTAACAGCATTAAATTGATTAAGTAGACTGCAAAAGGGCTCTGTTGTTTAAAGTTTTCTTTTTCTAAGGACATCAAGGTCATGGAATTTTGCCATTGCCTGGACCCAAAAGGCATAAAATTATGCGACACCACTGACACTGCTTTTACTGAGCATGCAATCCGGAGAAGCTCCTTTTCAGCAGTTTTCTCTAGAGCAGATCAATTTAAGAAGCAGTTACCATCAATGCAATTATGTGCCCCTGCGCTCCTGAACGCTGGTCAGATGTGTGCCATTGAGATAAGGCTAGGCCCTTTTAAAAGCAACGACACGTCAGTGAAAGGAAAGCATGTAGAAATTGTGTCCTCAACAATACATTTCAGGAGACCAAGCAGCTGAGCCAAATTTCACACACACACACACACACACACACACACACACACACACACGCAAATGATGTAACAAAAAGGTGTGATATGAGCCTGCTCAAGCAAGGTAAGGCATAAAATTCAAATATAACACACTGACCATATGGCTTTCTTTCTCAAGAAAACAATGCTCTTCTAATAATTAAATCCCACATATTATTTTAAACTAGTTATCTGTACATCAAAAATAATTTTTAAAAAGTTTTGTACTCACCGAGGGAAAGTGAAGGCTATAGTCTGAAGAAGAAAGAAGAAAAAAAAAGTCAGTTTTCTGGTTAACAGGAGTTGGCTGCTAATTCTAGCCATTTCCTTCTGTACAGCACTAGTCGACTATCCCATTTTTGCTTAATTGTTCAGGGTCTTCTGGAGACCTCTTTATCTAGATGATACTTCTTTTGGCTGCAATCATCAGCTTTTAACCATGTCCTACCCCACACTTTAATACAACCTCTAATGATCAGTTGATGGTGGGGTGTGGCCACTGACCTAGCCCCCAAGATGCTCCATCAGTCAGCTGCCTCTGCTGTGGCCTATAGGGTTCCCTCCCCTTCAAGTAGTTCCTTTAGCCCATCCTCCCCCCAGAAGAGCCTTTTACAACCTGGTCTGGGGCAGCTCACTTTCTCCAGCTTTCTAGCTTAATCTTTATCTAGCCTGATCAATTCCATTAATTAATTAATTTTTTTTTTTTTTGAGACGGAGTGAGTCTTGCTCTGTCGCCCAGGCTGGAGTGCAATGGAGTGATCTCAGCTCACTGCAAACTTCGCCTCCCAGTTCAAGCGATTCTCCTGCCTCAGCCTCCTGAGTAGCCAGGACTACAGGTATGTGCCACCACGCCCTGCTAATTTTTATATTTTTAGTAGAGACAGGGTTTCACCATGTTGGCCAGGCTAGTCTCGAACTCCTGGCCTCAAGTGATCTGCTCGCCTCGGGCTCACAAAGTGCTGGGATTACAGGCATGAGCCTCCATGCCCAGCCTCCCATTAAATTAGCTCTCATGTTATTTTATTTTTTAAAAAAAAACAGTTTTATTGAGACATAATTTTCATACGATAAAGTTCACTTGTTTAAAGTGTGCAGTTCAATGGTTTTTAGTATATTCACCCAGCTTGAAACCATCAATGTAATCTAATATTAGAACATTTTCATCATTCAAAAAGAAACCCCACACCCACTATTAGCTCACTAGCTCCCAAGCTCCATCCTGTCCCCAGCCCCTGGCAACACCAATCTACTTTCTGTCTTTATGGATTGGCCTATTCTGAGTATTTCATATAAATGGACTCACACTATACGTGGCCTTCTGTGACTGGGTTCTTTCACTTATAATAGTATTATTTTTTGAGATTTATCCCTATTGTAGCATGTACCAGTACTTCATTCCTTTTAATGGCTGAATAATATTCCATTGCATGGATATACCACATTTTGTTGACCCATTCTTCAGTGGATGAATTTAGCTCGCTTGTTTTGTTCTGAGTGGTCAGCATGGCAGCCTCACACTGGGATTATTGATTAGGCTGCTATCTACCTGTGAATGAGACCTTGCTCAGTCGTCACTGCACGTCTGCACTGGTGAAGGGTGGAAGCATGTTTTGATTGTTACTATTTTTAAATAGTGAATGCAGTACATGATGTTTTCCACTAAAATAGACTACTTGCTATCTTAGTCCTGACAAAACTAGATATTTTAAATCATATCAAATAAAGACTCTACAGCACACAATTAAAAGTTGTTATAAATTGTTATATTTTTAAAAAATTGTTTAAATGTATATTGTTATACATTTAAAAGCTGACCCATGAGGTGTGTTTGAAGCCCAAGAAGCAGAAAAAATACTTCTGGTAACTAAGGAATTTTAAGTCTATTTGGGCAAATCTACAGCTCAAATTATTCTTAATGGTGAAAGACTTAATACCTCTCCCCAGCACTGGGAACAAAGCAAGGATTTGTCCCACTCCTATTTAACATTATCCTGGAAATCATAGCCAATGCAATAAGTTAGGAAAAAGAATTAAAAGACATAAGCATTGAAAAGAAAAAAATAAAACTTTATTCTCAAATGACATAATAGTCTATGTAGAAAATCCCAAAGGATTCAAAAATAGCCACTAGAGGCAATATATGAGTTAAGGTCACAAGGTATAAAGTTACTAATACAAAAAAAAAAAAAAGGATTTGTATATGGAAACAACAATTATAAATAAAATTTAAAAGATAGTCTATATAATGCCAAAGCACCTACTGGGGCAGCTATATAAAACAACCGGGGAAAATCTGTTGAGTAACATATTAAAGCACAGAGGGTTTCCAGGGTGCAGTGGAACCCAGTATTACATAGAGCATGATGGCAGGGGACTGAGAGGGCATTGGTTTTTGGGCAAGAAATGATTACTTGAGGATCACTGCAGATAGGGGAACTGCTTTTTTGTAGGAATAACTTATTACAAGAGTCCATCCTTTCCACTCCCCAAAATGAACCAGAAAAGATGCTAAAAAGAGTGACTCGTGATGTTTGACTGGGGCCAAGCAAGGGAAGAAGCCAGGAATGGAAGTTATACCTCCAATATCTCAAGAGGATTGATAGAAATGATCAATCTTCCAATGCAATGCTGATTTATTTTAATGTAAAATAAAACCCAATGCCATGCAGAAGTTTCTGGAGCAGGGCTGCAGACAGTGGCAGCAGGCTTGAGTCAAACCAGACTAAAACCACATGGGAAAAGACCAATTTTGGTAGAACCTGTTGGCACTTTGCCAATGGTTGCACGATTGACAACCCCAATCAAACACAAATCATAACTTGAAATTAAACTTGCAGCTGATTTTTAAAAAATAAGGCAAGAATACACTGAACTCTTGCCTTATTGTGCAGCGGTGCAATCATGGCTCACTGCAGCCTCAACCTCCTGGGCTCAAGCAGTCCTCTTGCCTCAGCCTCCCAAGTAGCTGGGACTACAGGTGTGCACTACCACATTCCGCTAATTTTTGTACTACAAATAGATCAGGTATTTTATTGGTTTGTGGCTCACACATGATAGTAGGAAACCACAACTATCAGTTTCTTAAAGAATTAGAGCAAAAACCAATCATAATGTTCTCTAAAGTAAACCTTTACCAAGTGAAGACTTCCATTAGGCCAACACTGCGACGCTGATGGCTACTGTAATATTGAGCAACAAGTTGGAAACTGTGAAAGAGGCACATTTAAAAGCTGGGGGTTGGGGAGGTTGGTTTGAGCAGACAGATCCGTGAAGTGGGGTCAGTGAGAAGCTGACACAACATCCTTCCACTCATGGGAAAGCTTCCTGTTGTTCTCTTGAACGTTGTTGTCCTCCAGCAAGGGGAAGGAGAGATGAGCTTAGATTTCTCGGGCTGTGGAGTGCCCTGGGCACTGCTTATGGCATCTCTCCCACATCTAACAACTATCCTAGTAGGTAAGGCAAGACCCACTTTATTATTTTTAAATTTTTATTTGTTTATTTATTTTTTGAGATGGAGTCTCGCTCTGTAACCCAGGCTGGAGTGCAGTAGCGGGATCTTGGCTCACTGCAGCCCCTGCCTCCTGGGTTCAAGTGATTCTCCTGCCTCAGCCTCCTGAGTAGCTGGGATTACAGGCACACACCACCACACCTGGCTAATTTTTGTATATTTAGTAAAGATGGAGTTTCACCATGTTGGCCAGGCTGGTCTTCAACTCCTGACCTCAAGTGATCCACCCTCCTCGGCCTCCCAAAGAGCTGGGATTACAGGCATGAGTTACCAAGCCCGGCCGGTGAGACCCACTTTAAAGATGAGGACACTGAGGCTTGGTGAGGCTCTGGACCAGCATCACAGAGCGAGGAGACAGGGCAGCGGCAATGCCGGCCCGGGGCTGCTGAACCCACTCCTGGCTAGGCCTCCCGGAGGAAGCCATCCTACATTGCAATGTATGTTTGTCTGCTTGTTTTATTTTATTTTTTTTCTTAAACTGAGAGAGGGTCCCACTCTATAGTCCAGGCTGAAGTTCAGTGGCACGATCATATCTCACTGTAGGCTTGATGTCCTGGGCTCAAGCCGTCTTTCTGCCTCAGCCACCCCCCGAGTAGCTGGGACTACAGGTGTGCGCCACCATGTCCCACTAATTTTGTATTTTTTGTAGAGACAGGGTCTCCTGATGTTGCCCAGACTGGTCTCGAACTCCTGGGGTCAAGCGACCCAGCCACCTTGGCCTCCCAAAGTGCTGGCATTACAGGCGTGAGCCACTATACCCAGGCTTGTCTGCTTGTTTTTTTTTGTTTTTGTTTTGTTTTGCTTCTTTTGTCTATATCTCCTTCCTCCCAGTGAAGCTGTAATTCCTTTAGTGTAGGAATGGTGTAGGAAAGGCATTCTGCAGATGGCAATAATGATACTGGATTATTCCTTAAAATATTTTCCTGTCCTAGAGGATGCTCCATTATGTTCTCTCCTCCAGAAAGGAAAGCCCCGGGATGGCCATATATTTACTGTGGGAGAAGTGGGTCTTTGGAAGTAGCCTGGCCCACAGAGGCCTGGACCAGCCTGGCCACAGAGTTGGAGCTTTGGCTGGAGCTTTGGCTGGTGAGTCCCTGGAGCTCACAGCTGCAGCCACTCTGCTTCCAGGGAACAGAAGCAGGGAGGGAGCCCGACAAGGCCCTGGGAAAAAGCCATGGTGACAACATCGGAACAGGGGAAATCCACCCTTAGGAAGGGGGGCAGGGGCAGGCAAGGTCAGGCCAGTGAGGGCGCCCACAGGAAGTGGCCAGGCTGCTGGGTTGGGTCCTGATTACTCACAAGATATGGAAAGACGGAGCGACGTTATTGTGCATCCTAACCTTGCAAAGAAGAAAATAAAACTACAGCATTTAGAATCAGTCCCTCGGAACTATTCCATTTAAGGGAAACATTCAAATTACTTCTGAGATGAACAGAACTGGCCAATCTTTCCAAACTCGGACAAAAGGAAAATGCCTTTTACACACAACCTTGGCTTAAGGCGCCACAAGCATTCGAGTGGGCAGAATGTAGGTTGCTGAGTGGCTTGTGTAGCATGCGTATCTCCAAGCTAGTCTTTTAAACGAGTAGCAACCTTGAAGAATTTTTTGGAAGTGCATTTACATTTTATTTTAACATGTTTACATACATGTTTCTATGAGTATATCTAAAATGTGAACTTTTCATGATGTATTAAAATTTTATAAAGAAAGGATATGGAATAAAACTCCACTTCATGCAGTTAAATGCCAGAGATACTGACCTTGAAGCAGTCTTACTGTGAATGACCAGCTCCCGGAGCCAAGTTCCTCAATCCTGGCTGCCTTCTCTTGGACTCCAGTTTTTCCCAAAAGACACTGAGCTGTCCTGATCAATTAGGGCACTGGGGTAGCAAGAACTGTCATTCACCCTCAATCACAGTAACGCTTAAGCACCATGACTATGACCATTACTTTAGATGGACTGGTCAAAGAGCAGGATCATTACTCCAAATAAAAAAATAACAGAGACCTCATCACTTTAATTAAGTGTAGTGGGGAATGGACAGAACCGCAGCCACGGCCCCTGCGGCTGTCTCTGCATTCTATCGGACAACTTCATTCTGCTTCCAGTGGGTAATTCAAATGATGGAAGAAAGCAAAACGTTTCTGAATCATCTAGGCTTCAGATTCGCACTGATATCATACTCACAGCTTCCTTGTTTACCTTCCAGGCAACAGTAAAGCTGTTAATGTCTATATTTTCTAATGCATGAAAGACAGGACAGAAGGAGCTACTGAACTTGGGGGAGGGAGCCCTCCCTGACATGAAGGAGTTTAGTAGAATCTTATCCTGCCTTCCCCACAGCGTTAAACCACCTTGAAAAGGAGATGAAATCTTTAAAACAATGTTGCTAAGCCTGGGGGAAGAAAAAGACCCATTTTTCTCAACCATCCTTTTTGCCAGTCTATGACAGACGAGCAGGACTTCTAAATATTTGGCAACTTTTAGAAATTATTCATGGGCAGCTGCTCAGCACAGATCCACGTGCATCCCTGCCTGCCTCTCAAACTCCCTCCTCCCCCGACCAAGGCACACACTCTCTAATTACTCCACGGTTGAGGCACCCTCTTTGGATTAGGAAACATGCAAATTAGAAAGCCAGACAAATCCTCCTTTGCAAGTACGAGTGTCTGCTGGTTTCCATACTGCCTCGTCTGTCTATGCCATTATTATCAGTATCAAATTTGGAAACATGGCAATTTGATTCCAGGCTCCCTTCCGAGGTGTAGGGGTGCCCTCCAAGCCCCAGAGGGGAGAGCTATGAATTTGTTCACCTCTTGGCGCTGGGCATGGACACTTCTCAGATACTGACAGTCACTGTCATGTTTTTTAAAAAAATCTTTGCCCTATGAGTAGCTTCTTGGCAGGGGATCTAGTGTTTGAGGACAGGGATGGACGGTGTTAACTGCCACCAAGAGAAGACCCTTGCAGAAGAAACAGCCACTGTAAGGACAGGAACTTCATGCCAGACTCCCCGCCAAGCACCCAACAGGGATCACTGCATCCTCTCAATACTCATATGAGGAGTTTGTTATTAGACCCACTTTGCAGAGGGGGAACTGAGGCTCAGAGATATAGGGTAGCTTGCCACAAGGACTCCCCACACTGGGTAGTGCAGTGGGACTTCAGAGCAGCAGTCCTCGAAAACAAGGCCTGTTTTACTCCCCTCTACCTGCCTCGCTCCTCCAATTGGGCTCGGACTCTGAAATGTATTCAGGACAAGCTTGCTGGGTGCCTGACGCTAATGGTAACTGAACACGCTAAAGATGTTTTTCTTGAGCTAATTCCTGTTCAGTGAGCCCCAGAGAAAATGATTGATCTCTAATACTCAGATATGTTAAATCAGTGTTTTCAGGTTTTCTTTTTCAGCGTGCCAATTGGAAACACACCTGCCTTTCACCAGGTGACCCTAGGTCTGCGATGAGGCTAAGCATGTGTGTGAAGGGCCTGGTTGGTGATGATCTTGACACTCGGCTGTCCACGGTAACCTGTGGCCAGAGGCCAGGGCAAAGCAATATTCACTAAGGCAGAATGGATGAGCTCTGGCATTAAATAATTATTCAGAAAGATCATTTTATTATGAAATAATAATAATTATTATTCACGAATAAGGGAAATAGCATGTTTGCTGATGAGATTGGCACGGATAAGAAGAGTAGCGTGTGTTGGTAAACAGCCCTCTGGATTGCTTAACAGGTTTGGAAGCTCACAGGAAGAGCATCAAGTCGGGCAGACACCACGGTGATCCACCTTCTAGAGGCCGCTCACTCACACAACCGTGTCTCACGGGGCTCCAACACAGCACAGTCCCCCTGCTTCCCTCATGCTGCTCCCTGTCCCACAAAGCCTCAGTCTCACCCAAACCCACTAGACGCCAGGTGATCCAGTAGGTCAAGTCCTACTCTCTCCTTGACATCTTTTCTGAGCCCTCTGGGCTGCCCTGGTTGTATCCCTCCTGGTGCCTAGCTGTTCCCCGCCCGCCCCTTCCATCTTTATGTGTCTTCACGTCTCTACAACAACACAGTACAGTAGGACTCTGGATTAACATTAAGGATATTTGCTGCCATTTCAGCTGCCCTATGAGGTGGGGAGGTATGATCCACATTTTACAGATGACGAAGGCAGGTGCAGACCCTCCCCAAAGACAGAGCATCTGTGGCTAATTTGGTGATTTCTGAATAGAAAACCTGCTATCTCTAGCTTGAACATCTTCAGTATATGAAAAGTTCTGTGCATGTACCAGAAACTCATAAAATACTAGTTGAATGAGTACATCAATATGCTAAACCAGCCATTTAACATTAGTGAGCATCTACTATGTGCTATTTCTGTGCCAATTGCTTAGGATTTAGAGATTAAAAAAAATACATGGACAGAACCTCAGCCTCCTTACCCTAAAAGAAGTCCAGAGGACAGGCTTATAAACAGATCGTTGAAATGCAGGGGTGAGCAGTGCTAGGTCGTGGCAAGCCCAGGGGCCATGAAAGATGGAAGCAGAACACTAACCTGTGTTTGGCTAAAGTTAGGTCATCTTTCTCAAGAAGAAAATTCCCAGGAAGAACACATAAACAAAAACCGGGAAGCCAGAGAGTGTATGGAACATTCTGGAAATGGCAAATAAGTTGGATCCTGGCTTTGACCTTGGAACAAGTCACAACAGTTTTAAGCCTAAGTTTCTTCATCTGCGAAATAGAGATAATAAAATTTCCTGCTGGGTTAGTAAAGGAGGTAAGGACCGGACGCAGAACTCAGTATAAGGCCTGGACCCAATAAATCACTGCTGTGAGCCTGGGATGTGTGGTGGGCAGATCCCGGAATGCTGCAGAGACCTTTGGCTTTGGGCTGAAGCCACAAGGGGGCTGCAGAAGTCTGCAAGCCTGGGCATTCCCATTCTGCTCTCTGCAAAGTAGGTCACTGTGATGGCTGCAGAGAAGAATAAGGGGCAGGACCATGCTAAGTGTGGACTGTGGATTCCTGACTAATGAGGCCACACCTGTGGTCCAGATGCAGGATGAACAGGTGTTCTCAAGGGCAGTGGTGGGCGGCCGGGGAGGGGGCAGCCATTTAACAATAGAGGAAGCAGAGCTCACAAGCTTTGGAGGCATGTGAGAAGTGGGGAAAAGGGAAGGAAGCTAAGCGTGACCGTGGGCTTGGCTTGGGGGCCTGGGTGAAGCGTTGCCATCGACAGAGGTGGCGTTCAGGCGCAGAGCTATCAGAAAATGATGCATCCTTCACAGGCATGCAGAGGATATTAGCGAGAGACTAAGAAAATATATTAGCCTGAGAAAAGGGGAGACCCATCCTGAAAACAGATCAATTTTTTTTTTTCAGGAATATGGTACTCAGAGCAGAGACGTTTGTTAGATATTCCTCAGGAAGATTCTGAAAATTAGGAAAGCTGATGAATGAAAAATCTGCCAATCGACTAGCCACTTTGCTGAAACATTTGTAAATATTATTGTTTTAATGATCCTCCACCCCACAACAACTGGCTGATCTGAACCATTTAAACTAGTTCATAAATAAGAATCCCTATAAAATGCACAAAAAAGAGGCTAGCTTGAAAACAAATGAGAGATAACAGAGAAGATTCTAGGTATCTGTTATATTGTCTTGAAGAGGAAAAGCTACATGTCTCTATTTAAAATAGAGCTCATAATAAAAGGTAAGCTGTCAGGGAATTCACAAATCACTGTGCTCCTAACAGAAATGTGTCTAGGCTTGATACGCATTGCTGAGGACAAGCACCTATTTTTTCCCCACCACTGAAAAAGTTCTGTGAACCAGTAATGAATCCCTCCTCCACATAAAAGAACACTGCAGTATTCATTTAGAAACAAAAACAGCATTATAGCAAAAATATGCAGTGCTCCATTCTGGAACAATATACTGCAACAAAAGTGTAATGTTTGACAGGCATTCTGTTTTGTCTACCTAGAAAGGTCAGCTCTCCTCTTCCACTGCTAAGCAGTGCATCCATCATTCTCAAGGAGATTTATTTTCTTTCTTTACAACTCAAGGAATCATCCCAAAGTGTATGTGCTCGAGCCGCTGCACCACACAGCTGGACAGTCCCAGGCCTCTGTGTGATGTGGAGACATTAAAGGCCGGTGGTAGAGGGGGCTGATGTGTGTCTGCTCATACCTGCAGAACCCTAGGCCTCCCACCTGCCACCTGCATGGCTACTGGTCTCTCCTGTAATCCACAGTCCAAGGGAGGGAGAAGCAGCAGCGTGTGCTCTCCAGCCAGATCCCTGCCCACTGGGTGACCTTGGTCAGCCCCTCCACCTCTCTGTGCTTCAATGGCCACTACACATGAGGTCACCGATACTTGCTGATGATCCACGGCATCATGGTAATGATCCAGTGAGAGAATGTTGGGTGGACGAGCTTGGAAATAGAGGAGGGTAAAGCCCAGGTAAGGACAGAAAGGCTGCTCTTCGCACCGTGGGGTTGGCCGTGGGTGGGGCCACATGTAGCACTGCCTTGCTACCTAATAATCACATTTATGAGGACAAATGGTCCTTGAGGCACGTGCTAGACACTGTACATACAGGATCCTGTCTGATCCTCACGGCCACCCTGAAGTAACATGCGTGAAGTCACGTGGTCAATAAGAGGTTGAGCCAGAAATCAAATCCAGCCAGATCTGACTCCAAATCCCATGTTCTATGCCACTGGGCAATAATGTCCTCAACATTAGGAAAACCCTGGGCCCTTGGTGCCTGGGCCTGGAATTGCTTCCTGGGAGATAAGTTGTGTGTGGAGGAGCAGTCCCCAGGCAGCGGTCAGGGGAAGTGGTCACTGCCCAGCCAACCACAGACAGGATACTGACAAGGATTCCTCCTCCCCCATGTTACCCTCATGGTCAGGCAGCATCATGGCTTCGAAGTGCACAGTTCATCTGATGTGCCCCTGCCTAGGATGCTGAAATACCATCTTCCCACCCGGCTCCAAACTCATCTAAGAGTCACGAGCAAATTGAAGAAAAGTTTCTGCTGGGCTTCTATAAACTAGGCTGGGTCTCTGAAAAGGTAAAAGCTCCGGAAGTTGAATTTAGGAAAACGGCATGAAGTTCAATGCTGCACCTGAATCTGCCAGGAGGTCTGAGGTCTGAAAGTGCTAAGGGAAAGCTCTCCTGGTGCCCATGGCCATCCCAGCAGGAACATCTGACCGGCCTGAGGGAGCCACCCACATGGCTGGCCGGGATCTGTAGCCAATGGAGAGTTAAGAGTCTTCTTCTAGAGCTGCCAAGATTCTAATAAACCTCCTTCCGTTTAAACTAAACTGCAAATCGCGCACGCTGGAGGCTTTCCCCAGGAACTGCCTTGTGAGGGGCAAGCACTCGCTGCAGGCCGGGATGGGCACACATCTGACCTTCCTTACTCCAGTGCTCATTCTCTAAAGGAAGTGGAATGCGCTAGTACCTGCGAGGACAGCAAGGCCAGGGCACCATGCATGGGGCTCTCGCACCTCAGGGCGGCACCGAGTGAAAACACTGGGCAGGCTTCATCTCACCGACTCCTCCACATAGTGTGGAGAGCTAAGAAGGGCCCTCCCTGCCTTCCAGAGGAGGAAACAGAGGCATCGAGAACATGGAGACGCCCTCCAGGGGGGTGCCAATCCCCACCCTACTCCAGGTCTCTTACGTAAGACCCATGCTCCCAACAGCTCCCTGATACTTCGTCTTGGGCTGGGCTCCCTATGCCCACTGGGGTCCTTTTTGGGATGTGAATGTTTGAAGTGAACCATTTGTTCCAATGCGCCAGCCCCAGCGTGAGTGTCACATTAGCCTCGTATGGACACTTGACAACATGAAGCTCTCAGTCAGGTCATATGGAGACTCCCGATCTAACTTTCAGTTCAGTGAGACTTACAGGCAGGGTCTCTGCATGGGACAAAGGACACAGAGACCTCTGCCGCTGTGTGTAGACAGTGAGCACCTTCCTGGGTCTGCCACAGATATGGGACAGGATAATGACTGCAGCTGATTTTGCTACATCAATTAATTTTAATGACATAGAAGCTTATCCAACCATGAGTCCCAGATAAATTTAACCTGGAGGGATGGTTTATTTTTGAAATGACTAATCATTCAAAACATAATTGAAATGAAGTGACCCTTCCCCAGTAAATGATTCCTATGATACGAATAGGAATATGATCCACCTAAAATCTTCCATAGTAACAAGGGGAAAATATCAGGTGATCTTTTTTGTGAGCGCAGCCATGATGGAAACTTGAGTGTCCATTAGTCAGCTTAACTCATTGTAGGATTAACAAAAGAATAGTCCAAACTGTCAGTTTTCAGAGTTTGATATAATAAAACAGGAGTTTTGTAGGAGGTTCGTAGGCATCATTTCATCGGTGGCTCTACTGTGTAATCCACGGCTCAGCAGATATTTATTGAATGCCCACTGTGTAGGTGCTTCAGGATACATGAAAAAACGCAACAGATGAGTTACCAATGGTGTGAGGGGAAGGTCTGTACCTGGGGACAGGTAATGAGGGAGGAGAGCTCAGTTGGCCTTACAGGACAGGAATCCAGTCCTGGGGTGGGTAGAGGGTGGGAGGACATTCTAGGCTTGGAGCTCTGATTCCAACGAATTCTGCAAATACAACCCTTTCATCCGCAAAGCTGTGCTTACACTGAAAAGACCTTACCGTCCTTCCATTGGATTGGCTAGCTTCTGAGATTTAGGGTGCTCTTGGGTGGCAGCTGGGTTCCTGGAGGCCCTGGAGTCTCCTAAGGACCTCATCATTGTGGGGTGTCCCCCACCCAAGTTCCCTCCCTCTTGTGTCTCCCAGCTGGAGTCTGGGAGTGTGGGCTGGACTTCCAGGCCACTGGGGGCCTGGGAAAAGCCCTTGGTTACTGGCTCTTTTTTTTACGCGTGTGTGTAAGTACTTATATGAAAAACAAAAAAAGAACTCAGCTTCAACATTTTGAACATTCAGCTCGAGGTCACAAAAGAATCCAAATTCTGGAATTTCTGTGCAAAGGGAGAGAGGAGGAGACAGCTTTGCCTCCCCAGCACCAGAGTTTCTGAAGAGCTTGTGACTCAGGGTCCCCATGGCCAGCAGCCTGAGGAGCAAAGCCACGGATGCTCCAGAACCAACAGCCTCCTTCATGAAGTGCCGGAGGCACGTGCCAGCATCTCACACAGAGTTCACGTTCACCATGATTCTCCAGATGTATAATTTTGTAACAGAAAAGAGCCCCAGTCTGACCGTCTCCTTTACGTGTGATATGACAAGAACACACACAAAGCTCATGTCTGCATCATCCCCCCGCCCCCCTTTTTTTTTTTCTTTTTAGGCAGAGTATCGCTCTGTTGCCAGGGTGGAGTGCAGTGGCCCAATCTCAGCTCATTGCAACCTCTGCCTCCCAAGTTCAAGCAATTCTTGTGCCTCAGCCTCTCGAGTAGCTGGGATTACAGGTGTGCACCACCATGCCCAGCTAATTTTTGTATTTTTAGTAGAGAGAGGGTTTCACCATATTGGCCAGGGTAGTCTGGGACTCTTGGCCTCAAGTGATCTGCCAGTCTCAGCCTCCCAAAGTGCTGGGATTATAAACCTGAGCTGTCACACCTGGCCCATCCCCTTTATCCTCATGACGACCCTGCAAAGGCACCAGGATGTCTTCACGGCCCCTGCCCTCTCCACGTCCCGAGCCCAGCAACAGCACTGTATGGAGTGAATGGAGGATTCCCTTTGTCACTCCAGGCTTGCCCTTTCCATTTACGTTCTTATCATAAGATGTCCAGTAAAAAGAGACGGTGAAAGAAATGGAGCAACAGAATGCAATTCCAGCTCCATGGCGTTCGCCTTCCGAATTTAGTGTTGCACTATCATAACCCCAGATTAGTATTTTTTAAAGGATTGATACATGCTATGGAAATAGAAAGGGGAATTCTCCATCTTTTGGGGTGAAAACCATTGTTGGAAACCCTGACTGAATCATTTAGGCTTGCAAAATAAAGTTGTCTTAGAATGTAACACCAGGAAAGTGTTTATATTTCCTGAAAAACTAGGGACATTCTTTGAATCAGACTAGAACAATATAAGCCATTGTGTTTCATTTTTGCCTTGTCAGCTAGGAAGCTTAAAACAGAACTTAACGCACAATCACAATCACTTCTTATCTCCAGGGAAAGGGAGCTGGCATTTATACTATGGTCTGCTCATGCAAAGTGCTGCCACAACATATTTTTAAACTTAATGCTCACAACTACCCAGTTATTATTATTCTGACTTCACAGATTAGAAGCCCAGAGTTCAAAGAAGTCAGGAGTTCAGTTATTTGACAAGTGAGCAGTGAAGACAGCATCCATACCTTAATCCACCTGAATTAGAAACCATCCTGATACAACGCTCCTTCCACAAATTGCCTCAAACCTTTCTGTGTGGGAATGAGCATGAATTGCCCAGAAAGAACGATCTGCAGAATGGAGGCTGGGGAGGCCCCCTGCCCTGAGCTCTGGCTGACTGCTCCCAGGACATTGGAGGCAGAACTCGCCAGATGGCCTCAATGGGGAAGGCTTTTTGTTGCGTAGACCCTGGGGCTGGAAGGCAGTGATCTATTTGGATTGCTGTGTCTTCACTGGACATCAGGTTTCACACGGTGGCCCTTGTACAAGAGGACTTGTGAAAGTCACCTTCCCCTCCCCCCACCAAACCTAACAGCAACTGCCTCTCTTCATTGTCCTGACTTGTTTACTCAAGCCTGGAGTGCAGTTGACTTCAGCATTCAGATAACTTTCCAACAACATAGGAACCAAATTACCCTGTTGAATTCATAGATATGCCACATTTAAATGACATTTGCATGGCAGCAGTGCCTTCCTGAACACACACAGGATGTGAGCTGGCCACCATGTGAACCTGCCTTTTGAGGGCTGACGGCTAAGACAACTGTGTGACCTATATCCAGGGACACACACACACACACACACACACACACACACACACACCTATAGAGCAACCTGGGAGGCATTCAAAACCAAGTCATTTAGATTCATTGAATAGCTAGGCAAGGCCTTGCACATAGTAGGTATTCAATAAACATAAAAATACTTCGATATAATCTATGATCCAGCTTATAGAAAGTTCGAAAGCAGGCGAAACTAATCTATGGTGTCAGAAGTGGGGACAATGGTTACCCCTGGAAGGGAGGCATGAAGGGACTGGAAGAGCAATAAGGGGATTGGGCTGGGGGAATGGGCCTGTCACATTCCTTGATCTGGGTGCTGGCTCACTTGAAAGTTCAGAGCTCTGTGTGCTTATGACTGGTGCAGACTTTTCTGTAAGGATGCTGCATTTTAATATAATTTGTGTGTTAGTCCATTTTCATACTGCTATGAAGAAATACCCTAGACTGGGTAATTTATAAAGAAAAAGAGGTTTAATGGACTCACAGTTCCACATGGCTGGGAAGGCCTCACAATCATGGTGGAAGGTGAAGGAGGAGCAAAAGCATATCTTTATATGGCAGCAGGCAAGAGTGTGTGTGCAGGGGAACTGCCCTTTATAAAACCATCAGATCTCGTGAGAATTTATTCACTATCACGAGAACAGCACGGGAAAAACCTGTTGCCATGATTCAATTACCTCCCACAGGGTCCCTCCCATGACACGTGGGGATTATGGGAGCTGCAAGTCAAGATGAGATTTGGGTGGGGACACAGCCAAACCATAGCAATTTGCAAAATCATAGCTTGAGCTACTATTTTGGAGTAGAGTGGGTATTGCTTTTTACTCTACATGAATAAGCAAACAAATTCATTAATTTAATTTGTCTAAAAACTCAATTAAAAAATACGGTCAACTGAGAAACACTGAGCATGTCATCTGCCCTTAGCAGTCTTCACACTGGGCGACAAATGACCATGAGCATGGAGAGACTTACCGGATGGCAGAGAGCAGGACGGTTGGCCTGACTTTGCCCTTGAAGTGTTTGTTTGTTTGCCACAAAACGCTTTATCTCTTACAGAGCAAGCCTTTGTATCTTTTGGCATAAACTTTATCTGAAAATAATTTTCTGATTTTAATCATTTTTTTCAAAAGAATTAAGAATCTCAATTTTATCACCTAAATCTTTTCAAGGTGTTGGTCATATGGATGACCTTGAGACTTCCTTCGCAGGAGGGACTGCTCTTCATGGCCATGACAAAGGTGTCGTGGTCAAAAAATGTGGCTTTGGGTTCTGACAGGTGTTGGTCCAGGCCTCAGCTGCACCTCTTGCCATCAGAGCAGCCTGGGCAGTTACCTCAACTCTCTGAGCCATGGGTTTTCTATTTACAAAATGAAGGTAAGTCCATCTTAACCTTGGGGTGGCGGGTGGGGTGACCAACTTACCTTGCTTTGCCCAGGACCATCCCTGTTTTAAAACTAAAATCCCCCATCCCAGCAAACCCCTCAGTCCCTGGCTAAGTAGGTGGCTGGTCACCCTATGGCTGCATGGGGTGTATGTGGTAATGTCTACAATGCACCCTTCATGGTGTCTGCCACATATCACAGGCTCAATAAATACTGATTTTTATCATGGCCACAACCTTCCCCAAAATGTTTCCCTCTATGTGTATTTTGGCTGTAATATCTGCCAATATGTGATATCTGAGAAACTTCCCATCTTTCCTTCAGCCTATTGACCCATTTTAAAAGATAAATGATCAGTAACTGTCATGCAATTCCTAGCAAGATGTTGTGTCCGGAGGGCTCCACACACCTGCTGAGGGGGATGGACACTGGCCTCAGGGGTAGGGGGTCCCAGAGGCAGAAAACCACACTGACCCCAGATGCAGCATAGGACCTCTTTGAGCTTCCACTTCCTCATGGATGAAATGAGGATAAACATGCCTGTCCTCTCTTTAGGGTTGCCCTGAGGCTTAGTGAAGATCTGGTAGATCCACACTTACTGTGTTCACTTCCTTGTACAGTGAGTGTGGGAGTCATGACTGTGCTCAGCTGGGAGCACCCATAGCCCACCATCAGGACCTGCAACTTTGCAGAGGCATTCATGGCCCCCAGCGGACCTCAGACTGAAGGCCAGGAGGAGGTCAGGCAAAGGGCCAGTGTGGCAGAAGATGGGAAAATGCACATGTCCAGGTGTCCAGGGTTGTGGCTGCAGTACCAGTGAATTTGGTGTGCAGTGTTCTGCTCCAGAAAGAGGTGGAGACTGGCTGGACCCTGAGCCAGCAGATCTCTGATGCTGTCCAGCAGGAGCTGGGCAGATACGAGGTTCACAGGCTCAGACCCTCACCGCACCCAGAAGGGGCTCCACACTCAGCACAAATTAAGCCAGTGTTATCCTCTAACATCTGGCCGCTAAAATACATTTATATTCATTGTTCAACATAAAGTAAAAGAGCAATTCAAAATGAGATAATTTATATGTTTATGTTTTAATATCCACTGCAAAAGGAATACAAAGGTAAATCACGACTTCTTCCTAAGTTAAGGAAACTTAAAAGGCTTTTGCTTAGGGACGAACCCTGACCTTCCACTGCAGACACTGGCAAGGAATCAAAAGAAGAACATGGCTTATAACAAAACCCCCAAACTCCAGGTGGAATGGATGTATATGGGATCCAGGCTTTTTTCACATTTCCACAGGGATGTAAATCAATTTAAATACTTAAAATAGCCACAGAAAGAAAAAAAAAAAAGATTGAGCTATATTGGTTACCATGGGAATTCCTAACTGAAGAACTTCTTTTGTCTTTTAAAGATCCTTGCCATTCTTGTGACATTTAGAATGATAAAATTACGGGAGTCAGCATCTATTTCCTGCCATTTGATAATTACAAAAATATGGTTATGGAAGTTCAAATTAAAGATGCTTCTTAAGAAGTAAAAAAGCCAACTTGTAATAATGATGTACTTATTAAGGAATTGGACTGAATTTTAGAAGTCAAGTGCAAGATCTTCAAAGGGTTCTGAGAAATTAGGAAAAAAGATGCTTAAAACCGAAATGCCTTCATACCATGTCAGTGGGAGAATAAAAGGTTCACGGCACGGTCCCTGTCCTTCATGGAGACAGCTTCTTCCGTGGGGTCCAGGGAACTCCCTGACCTTCCAGCAGCAGAACGCCGACACCAGGAGCCCGCTGATGAGCTCGGCTTCTGACAACTAGACAACTGGCTGCAAGCGCTTACTGAAAATGAAACTGTTCATGGCATTCACTGGTGCAGAGAGATTTTTTTCAAAATCATTACTTAAACAGAGTTTGTATTCCCCAAAGTCATATTCCCAAATATCACCAACCTGTGTCTCATCGAGAAAGAGTAATTGCCAGGTAATGCGAGTGCCCTTTGAATGTGAAGAGTTTCGGAGACAGTGAGACTTATTAATACAGAAGTAAATCTTTCCCTTACAATTGAGAATTGTCCACAGTTAGTCAAGGGCGAAAAAAAAAAAAATGGAACTAAGAACTTCATTAATTCTTAAGGACGGCTAGAAACACATTATGAAAATATATTCCTAGAAGTTTACATTTGATAAAAGCAAAGGAGGCCGGGTATGGTGGCTCATGCCTGTAATCCCAGCACTTTGGGAGGCCAAGGTGGGCGGATCACCTGAGGTCAGGAGTTTGAGACCAGCCTGGCCAACATGGTGAAACCACAATCTCTACCAAAAATTCAAAAACTAGCTGGGCGCGGTGGTGGGCTCCTGTAATCCCAGCTACTCTGGAGGCTGAGGCAGGAGAATTGCTGGAACCCGGGAGGCAGAAGTTGCAGTGAGCCAAGATCATGCCAATGCACTCCAGCCTGGGCAACAGAGCAAGACTCTGTCTCAAAAATAAATAAATAAATAAACAATAAATAAAATGAAAGCAAAGGATACTCTGCCAGCTGGGAGGGGGCGACGGACTGCAGTTATGCTGGGTTCAACTTCAAGAGCAATCATCTTTGCAAGGAGTGGTCTCAACAGGAAAGAGGCTGAACATCAGATGGAAGATTTCAAAACCTGGGGGCCAGCACTAATCCTGTGGCTCACTTTAAGAAAGTATTAATAAAACTGAACTCCTTCTCCATGAAGGAGAAACCATCTTTTTTATCTCAGGCACAGAGGGTCAAGGTAGCTCTGCAAATGGGCTGAAGACCACTGCCTTGGCCCACTGCGGACTCCCTGTGCAGAACTTCTGCCCCAAGGGTCATGGGCTTCCCAGACAGGGACACTGAGCTGTGCTCAGCACCAGGATGGTGTGCTGGTTGTCTCACACTGCTAGAGACTATCCCCAGCCCCGTGGGTTCCACACGTGTGTGCACGTGTGTGTGCACGCACGCATGCATGCACACACACACACACACTCCACCCCAGGTGAGATCGGAGGAAACAGGCTCGCCTACGGTGCTTCCCCACAACTCCAGGATTGGAGACAATTTCCCTGCCCACTTTCGATGTCTCAACTCGGCTCTGCCTATACACACTGTAAAGACGCCTATGTTATTTATCAAAGACAAAGCATAATCATTTAAAAACCACTTTCTGGGCATCTACTATGTGTTGGGCTCTGAAGACACCAGGATGCATCCACCCAGAAGCCAGTTAATCACATGCTCATATTAACAAAGGATGTAAATTACATACAGTTCTTTGAGAAGATGCAACCTGACCCAGAGCAGCAGTCAGGGAAGGCATCCTGTAGGGAGTGGCCTTGGCTGACAGGAGAGGGAGGAATGGGAGTTAGTGAGATGCAGGGGTGCTGGGGGAACATGCCAGATGTTTCTGCTGGTCTGTGTGTGGTGTGGAGAATGGGTCCATACAGTTGCAGGCCCTCAGCTGTGATCACTCACCCCAGCCCTCTCTTGGGTGGGAGCAGGACCCTAGGATATCATGGGTTACCTGCATTTCCATAGGCCCCAGGGGGACCGAGCTGCCTCAGTGTCTGGCCTCCACAGGCCTGCTCCTCAGAGGCACATCTTTCCTGCAGCCTCAGCCAGTGTTTCTCAGCCAGAGACCCCTAGTCAAGGCCTATAGACCCAGGTTTCCACCTCTACATAGGAATCCAAGGGCACCCCAACTTGGGACCTCCAGAGCCCCCAGCCCAGCTCTCCTCTCTCCCAGCCCCTGGTTCCTGGGATGCAAGATCCTTCCTGTGCACCTGGGCGTGACCTAAGCCCAGGATTTCTCCACCTCAGCACCGTGGACATTGCGGGGGCTGGGGACTGCCTGGTACTGTAGGCTGTTCCGCTGCATCCCCGGCCTCTGCCCACTAACTGCCAATGACACTGCTCCCTCCTTGGCCATAACAATCCAACCTGTCTCCAGACACTGCTGATGTCCTGGGCGTTGGGGAGGGCACAGCCGCCCCGCTGAGGGCCTCCGGCTTAGACTCCTGCTCCCCTGAGCTCCCTCGGCTTCATTGAGGCCTCTGTGGTGCAAGTACTGATGCAGAACTGAGCGGGAGGCCTGACCCCGCCCTGCAGAGCCCATGTCACCAGGGCACACTCCATCGACCCCTCCCCGTTCAGATGCAGGGTGGTCTCTGCTTCCCCGGGGAGGTCTGTGTCCAGCGGAGCAGCTGCGGGTGCACAGAGCACTGGCCCTACAGTCACTGTCCTGCAGCTGAGCCATCAGAACAAGTGACTTTGCCCTTTGAGCCTCGGTCACCTGGCCTGCCTCATGGGGCCTTGAGAGTTACAAGAAAGGAGCCCCGTGGCCTGGCATGTGCCGCACTCACATGCCGTCTGTGCCAGCCTTCCCGCAGGTTCAGGGAGTGGTACCTGGGGCTGCCCCTCCATTAGGGGCTAGAGCCACGTGTCCAGGCAGCAGGGACCTCTGCAGCCTCTTCCTCACCCCCCACTGGCACCCAGCACCATGGGCTGCTCCTCCCTCAACCTCTGGGCCCTGGCAAAGAAGAAGAACAGAATACTTACTGTGCTTCCCTTTGTTATTTAGAGCTTAAGAAAACAGGTAATAAATTCCTATTGTTTGATGAAATTAAAACAGCCCAGTAATACCCAGAGAAAAATGGAGTCTCTCTCCTACCCTGGAGCCAGCATCTCCTGAGTGGTAACTGCAGGCCGCACATCCTGCAGAACCAATTTCATATATTCTTTCACTCACTCATCTATCCACTCATTCATTCATTCCACAGGCACCTGGGGAGTACCCCAGGGGTACCCGGCCCGGCTAGTCCTGGCGGCAGAGCATGAGCAAGACAGCCTGGGTTCTCAGTGCTGCCTGCAGTCTTGTGGGGGAGACAGGAATAAATACACCAAGGTACAAATAAATATGTGACTACCAAGTGCAGTGACAGGTAGGAAGGGACAGACAAGACGCTGGGGAGAGTCACACAGTAAAGGACAGCCAGTCCTAGCGGCCCGCTTTCTCTCGCTGGGGGGTGGAGCGCTTATGCACAGGTGTCACCCAGCAGTCTAAGGCGGGGCCCACCCTTGTGAAGAAGTGAAGAAGGCTGTGCCTGCCAGCATCAGTTCATTCTCAAGTTCCAGGCCACCCCAGGGGCCTCCTGGGGGCCCTCCTTCCCTGTCCTGTTGCATCTTGCTGGAGAGAAGAGCCCAGGCCACTGTGGGTCTTTACCGTTTCCTCTCCCACCCCCACCCTGCCCCAGAGAGAAGCTTCTAAAGAAGGCTTTTCAATTCTCTGTGCTGGGTGCCTTACAACACCTCCCCAACAAGCCCACACTGTTCTCATCCTGCCTCCGGCCAACCCTGCTCCAAAAAGGGGACGCTGTCACCAACAACCATAGGAAATAATTAGACTGCAGCTGGGATATTTTGCTGAATGTTAATCGTTTTCATTTGTGTGGTCTGAAATAAGTACTTCTATGCCCCAGGAGAAGGCCACATACATGCTGGACACGTGTGGCTGAGAAAGACCCCTCGCAAAGCCCCGGCTCTGCCCAGAGAAGCCCGTTCCTTGGCATCGTCTGAATGCACACTAACAGCAGAGAGGAAGGGTGAGTGGGAACTACTTGTTTCTGTATTTTTTTTTTTTTTTGACAGAGTCTGGGTCTTTGGCCCAGGCTGGACTGCAGTGGTGCTATCTCAGCTCATTGCAAGCTCTGCCTCCCGGGTTCACGCCATTCTCCTGCCTCAGCCTCCTGAGTAGCTGGGACTACAGGTGACCACCACCACGCCCGGCTAATTTTTTTTGTATTTTTAGTAGAGACGGGGTTTCACCATGTTAGGATGGTCTTGATCTCCTGACCTAGTGATCCGCCCACCTCGGCCTCCCAAAGTGCTGGGATTACAGGCGTGAGCCACCGCGCCCGGCTGTTTCTGTATTTTTTGAAAAGCCTCACGTATTTGGACTAATGGCTAAATGCTGATAAATCAGAGCAAGATCTGGGCTATGGCAAGTTTACACATTTATTGAGCTAGGAGGTCCAAGATGACTCAGACCAACTCCTGGGGCTGTTGAAAGATGGAGCAGCCCAAGTGCTCAGGCTCACAGAGAACCAGGTAAAGCTGCAGGGAACGGTCAGACCGGACTCGGGGGAGGCACGGCTGCCAGAGCTGAGTGCTGAGGGGCAAGAAGGAATCCACCAGACTTAAGTGCACAGGACACAGAAGTGATCAAAGGGCCCAAGGCCAGAAGAATTTGACAAAGGATCTTGCAAATGAACAAATAAGAAATCTTTGCTATTAACGATAGAGGGGTTTGTCTGCTGCTATGCATTTTCTTGAACTCTCTCTCTGGAATCTAACTCAGCGCTCACTTGCTGGGTGTCTGCAGTATGAAAGCACAGCACAGGCAGCAGGGAGAAAGGTCTGCTGTCACACACACAGCCAGCCTCGTCCTTCAGTGTCCACCCCAGATGCCACCATCTGATCATTCAGCAACAGGATCTCGAGTCCCTGGGGCACCCGCATGCCAGCAAGCATGCCCAAGCTGGAGGGATTGGTCTCCTTTCTGACCTGCGTCTGCCATTCACTTGTTTTCCCAGGTCTTTTATTACTTCCCATCTTACATAGTAATAATCTGCATCTGTCCTAGCTTCCCCAAAGAGTTACATTCTCCAAGAGGACAGGCACTAGCTTTGATATCGTCACATCTCTTACAGCACTAAAGAGAGTATCAGTAAATCTCCCTTTGAATGAATTAATAATAAAGGTAAGAGCTCCCATCAGTGCCCTGCCAAGCACTGTGCTAGAAGCTTCATAATATCTCATGGACCCTCACAAGCAGCCTGCAAGGTGGGTCATATTATTTGCACTTTACAGTCAGGGAAAGGAGAATTAAAGAGACAAGGAGACAATCCTAAGTCACCCTGCTGGGAAGTAGCTGACCCAGGATCATACTGGGGAAGGTCTGACTCCACAGTTGTGCCCTCAACACTATGGAGAAAGTGCTTAAAGCTCGTTGAAAAGTGTGTGGCTTTGGACACAACATCTTCCCCACAATGGACTTCTGCTTTAAATTTGCCTGGCAATCACTTTCTTTGCAAATTCAGAAAGGTCACCTTCTGTCAAACTTATTTCAACAATTATTACAAACATAAATTAATGAGTCTGAGTTATTGGGGATGTATATTTACACATTAAAAACAACCACAAAAAAGTAATTCAAGAAAATGCCCAGGAAGGCATAAGAAAGGCATATGCTATCATCTTGAGGCAGGACTTATTTCTGGTAAATGGGTTCAGTAGGAGGCTATTGAGTGAATTACCAAATGAATGAATGTACAAATGAATGAATGAGTGAATGCATGAACTGGGTAAGCTTTTAGGAAACTCTTGCACTGTTTTTCTCCACTCCCCTCAAGTCCCAACTTGTTGTTAACCTGGATTTCTGTTTAAAAAAAGAAAATAGGCAATTTCAGCCGGGCGTGGTGGCTCATGCCTATAATCCCAGCACTTTGGGAGGCTAAGGCAGGCGGATCACTTGAGGTTGGGAGTTCGAGACCAGCCTGACCAACATGGAGAAACACCATCTCTACTAAAAATACGAAATTAGCGGGGTGTGGTGGCGCATGCCTGTAATCCCAGCTATTCGGGAGGCCGAGATGGGAGAATCGCTTGAACCCAGGAGGAGGAGGTTGTAGTGAGCTGAGATCGTGCCATTGCACTCCAGCCTGGGCAACAAGAGTGAAACTCCGTCTCAGGAAAAAAAAAAAAAAAAAAAGGCAAGTTGAATAGAATTATATCTATTGAAGAAAATAAATAAATAATTAATAATCTTCTAAAACAGAAAGGACCAGGCACAGATGAGTCACTGGTGAATTCTACCAAATATTTAAGAAATAAATTAAATCAATTTTCTATGATCTCTTCCAAAAGATAGAAGCATAGGGAACACTCATTGTATGATGCCCATATTACCCTCAATACCAAAACCAAAGGCATTCCAAGAAAAAAAACAACAACACTATTGACCAATATCTCTCATGAATTTAGCTGCATAATCTTCAACAAAATATTAGCAAATCAAATCCAAAATGTATAAAAATAAGTATTCACCATAACCAAGTGGGATTTATCCCATGTATAAAAGGTTGATTCAAATTTGAAAATCAATTAATGTAATCCATCACATCAACAGGCTAAAGAAGAAAATCACAAGATTATATCAACAGATGCAAAAAAAAGCACGTGACAAAATTCAAAACTGACTCATGATGAAAACTCTCAACAAACAAGGAATAGAAGGAAATTTCCTCAAGTTGATAAAGGACAGCTATGAAAAACCTACAGCTAATGTCATACGTTAATGGTAAGAAACTAGACATTTTCCCACTAAGATCAGGAACGAGGCAAGGATGTCCTCTCTTGACACTCCTTTCTGATATCATATGGGAGGTTATGGTTATTGCAGAGACAAGAAAATAAAATAAAAGATATACAGGTTAAGAAGTAAAAAATGCAAATATTTTTGTTCACAGATTACATGATTATCTATGTAACAAACCTGGAAGAATAAAAACAAAACAAAAAAACCTCCTGGAACTAATAGGTAACTATAGTAATGTTTCAGGGTATAAAGTTAATACAAAAAGTTAGTCACTTTTCTGTATGCCAGAAGTGAACAAGTGAAATTTAAAATTAAAAACACAATCCTATTTATATTAGCATCCCTAAATATGAAATACCTAGGCATAAACCTAACAAAATATGTACAAGATCTATATTAAAACTCTGATGAAAGAAATCAAATAACAACTAAATAAATGGAGAGACATTCCGTGTTCACGGATAAACAAATTTAAAACTGTCAGGATGTCAGTTCTTTCACTTGATCTACAGATTCAATGCAATCCCAGTCAAAATCTCCACCAAGTTATTTTGTGGATGTCAACAAACTGATACTAAAGTTTATACAGAGAGGCAAAAGACTCACAATAGCCAACGCAATATTGAAGGAGAAGAACAGAGTTGGAGGACTGACACTACCTGACCCCAAGACTTAACTATAAAGCTTCAGTAAAATAATCAACATCATTGGAACAGAATGGAGAGCCTTTCTGATATCATACAGGAAGTCATGGCTGTTGCAATGAGACAAGAAAATAAAAGGTATACAGATTAAGAAGTAAAAATGCAAATATTCTTGTTCACAGATTACATGATTATCTATGTAACAAATCTGAAGGAAAAAATCCAACAGAATGGAAGAGAAATAGACCCACATAAATATGGTCAACTATGTTTAACAAAGGAGTGAAGGCAATACAAAGGCAGAAAGATTGATGGTCTTTTCAACATACGGTGCTGGGACAACTGTAAATCCATATGCAAAAAATGAATCTACACACAGGCTTTATACCCTTCACAAAAAATTAACTCAAAATAGATCATAGACCTAAATGTAAGATGCAAAATTATAAAACTCTAGAAAATAACAGAAAAAAATCTAGATGACCTTGGATAAGGGGATGACTTTTTAGATACAATACCAAAAACATGACCCATAAAAGAAAGAATTGATACATTGAACCTCATAATGATTAAAAACTTCCTGCTCTGCAGAAGACACTGTCAAGGTAATGAGAAGACAAGCCACAGACTGGAGAGAAAACATTTGCAAAGAACATATCTGATAAAGGATTTTTATCAATAATGTACAAAAAAAACTCTTAAAACTCACAATAAGAAAATAAACAATCCCATTAAAAAAACAGGCAAAGACCAGAACAGACACATCAACAAAGAAAACATATGGATGGAAAATAAGCATACATAAAGATGCTCATCATCATCTGTCTTTAGGGAATTGCTAATTAAAGCAACAATATGACACCACTACCCACCTATTGTAATAGCCAAAATCCGGAACACTGACAACACCAAATGCTGGTAAGGATTTGGAGCAACAGGAACTCTCATTTATTGCTTCAAATGCAAAATGGTACAGCTGCTTTGGAAGATAGTTTAGTGGTTTCTTATAAAACTAAACACACTTAACATATGATCCAGCAATTGCACTCCTTGGCATTTGCCCAAATGAGGTGAAAACTTATGTCCACACAAAAACCCACATATGTATGTATATAGCAGCTTTATTCTTAATTGCCCAAACTTGGAAGCAACCAAGATGTCTGTATTAGTCAGGATTCTCCAGAGAAACAAAAATCAATGCAATGAATATATAGACATATGAGAGGGGATTTATTAGGGAGATTGGTTCACACAGTTGTGGCTGAGGAGTCCCTTGAGAAGCCGTTTGCAAGGTGGAGTCCCTGAGATGCTGGCAGTGTGGCTTCTCATCTAGTCCACTTGGACTCAAATGCTAATCTCCTCTGGAAATACCCTCAGACAACACCCCAAAATAATGTTTTACCAGGTTTTTAGATATTCTTTAATATAGTCGACTCCTAAAATTAACCATCACAAGCCCACCCCTTGTCAACTTGGCACCTATATATATGCAACTCCTGAAATCATACTTAATTTCCAGATAAGATAATAATAAGGTAATAGTTTCACCTGACAGGATGCAGCTATCCTGCGTACAACCAAAAACACATTAATCCCTGATATAGTTTCGATTTGTGTACTGCCCAAATCTCATGTCAAATTGGAGGAGGGGCTTGGTGGGAAGTAACTGGATCATGGGATGGATTTCCCCCTTGCTGTTCTCATGATAGTGAGTGAGTTCTCACGAGATCTGATGGTTTAAAAGGTGACACTTTCCCCTTCTCTCTCTCTTTCCTGCCACCACGTGAAGAAGGTTCTTGCTTCCCCTTCATCTTCCTCCATGATTGTAAGTTTTCTGAGGCTTCCCAGTCATGCTTCCTGTTAAGCCTGCAGAACTGTTAGTCAATTAAACCTCTTTTCTTCATAAATTACCCAGTCTCAGGTAGTTTTTTACAGTAGTGTGAAAACTGATGAATATAATTCCTTCTTCAGAAAAAGTCCTTGCATGATGTTTACTCTTCTCCTTATATCTCATGACTTAAATACTATGATACAAAATTAACAACACTTAAATACTAATATAAGTTCAGAAAATCTTGTTACATGATAAAAGAATAAGAGAGGAATGAAAATAAAGATCTTTGCTTACTATATGCATCTATACACATGGACATATTCTTAACAAAATAGGGAGGAAATACTCATAACAGTCTGTTTCTGTAACTGGTTACATGGGCATAGCTGGTATTGATAAACTGCCGTCTTCTACTACCCATTCTGTATTCTCTTTGCCTTCGATAAGCACCTCACTGGTCATGATTTTATGTGTGTATGTATATATGTATGTATGTATGTATGTATGTATGTATGTATGTACACATGTATTTATTCTCTGCATCATATGATAGTCATGGTTCTTTATCTGGAGTTACCTAAACCTTCATTCCTGAAGAGCCTGGGCTATTACTTGTCCTGCCTAGATTGGTTTGTTGTAACTTCCAATTGACCTTAATCACAGGGTATGGTAGTACTAAGAGGCACCCTAGGGGATCTTCTGTATTCCAGAAGATCTTCCTTGCCTCCACTATGGAGTAGTAGTCCAATTTCCCATTGGTAGTCTGGATCAGTCACCGCAGCCAACACCGTAACTCCCTGCTTAGCCTGTTGACTCAGAGGCATGAGGAACCCCAAGGGGCCAAGTGGCATCCTTATCTTCTGCTTGAGTGGAATCATTGTTGTGTCTCCTGGCGGAAGCACTCCTCACTCTGGAACTAAGACCTCTAGGCCAGCAGAGCTAACAGTCATGGGAACGGGAAGCAAAAATTTTGCTAGTGGGTCACTAGGAGTAATGGTGAGTAGTGCCATTTCCATTCCTGACCCTTGATTCCTGGACCTGTGAATCCCGGCTATAGGAGAAAGAGCATCATATGTTGGACACTGATTTAGAGCACCTACAACCTTCTGAAGAACCTTGCCTCAGCCTGCAAGGCATTGTCACCTAGCTGGTGCTGTAACTGTGACTTCAAAAGGCCATTTCACTGTTCTACCAAACTGGCTGCTTCAAGGTGATGAAGAACATGGTAAGACTAGTGAATTCCACGAGCATGAGCCCACTGCTGCACTTCTTTGGCTTTGGGTGAATTCCTTGGTCAGAAGCAATGCTGTGCAGAATGCCGTGATGGTTGATAAGGCAATCTATGAGTCCACAGATGGTAGCTGTGGAAGAAGCATATCCATATCCAGAGTGTCTATTCCAGTAAGGAAAAAACACTGCCCCTTTCACAATGAAGGTGCTGCATTGTAATCAACCTGCCACCAGGAGGCTGGCAGATCACCCCAAAGAATGGTGCCATACTGGGGACCCCATGTTGATCTCTGCAGCAGGCAGAGTGGTCACTCAGTGGTGGCTGTAGCCAGGTTGGCATTGGTAAGTAGAAGTCCATGTTGTTGAGCCCATGAACAGCCTCCATCCCTGCCACCATGACCACTTAGATCACGAGTCCATGACAGGGGTGGCTGGGGAAAGAGGCTGACAAATATTCACAGAACAGGTCATTTTCTACCCCTGATTATTTCAGTCCTCCTCTGCTGAGGTCACCCTTTGGTAGGCATTGATATGGAACACAAATATCACTTCCTTTGCCAGCTCAGAGCAGTCTATCCACATACCTCTTCCTCAAATTTCTTTGTCACCAATTTTCTAATCATGTTCCTTCCAAGTCCCTGACCTTCTGGCCAAATCACTGGCTATAGCCCATGAATCAGTATATAATTGCACATCTGGCCATTTCTCCTTCCAAGCAAAGTGCACAACCAGGTACATTGCCCAGTGTTTTGCCCATTGAGAAGATTTCCCTTCACCACTGTCATTCAGGGACATCCCAGAAAGGGGCTATAGTGCTGCAGCTGTCCACTTCCTGGTGGTGCCTACATATCATGCAGAACCACCTATAAAGCAGGTCCTGGTCTTCTCTTCCTCTGGCAAATGACCATGGGGTGCAGGCAAGAGAGAGAAGGCAGCATAGCAGGAGTAGGAACCATAAGTATTTGGGCCACTTCTTCATGTAACTTACTTATGCCTCCAGGACCTTTTCTGGCCCAATCACATATATACACCGCTTCCATTTTATCATAGTGTGCTGCTGTGCATGCCCATCTTTATGGTTTGGTGGGTCAGATCACACCCAGTTCATGATGAGCAGTTCAGATTGCATGGTAACTTGGTGGCCCATAATCAAGTGTTTCATTTCTACTAAGATATAGCAGCAGGCCAAGAGTTGTCTCTCAAAAGGATAGTGGTTACCTGCAGGTAGTGGCCGGGCCTTTCTCAAAAATCCTAAGAGCCTTCACCGTGATTTACCTATAGGGGCCTGCCGAAGGCTCCAAACAGCATCCCTATCGGCCACTGACACCGCAAGCACCACTGGGTCTGCTGGGTCATATGGCCCAAGGGGCAGAGCAGCTTGCCCAGCAGCCTGGATCTATTGCAGAGCCTTCTCCTGTTCTGACACACTCAAAACTAGCAGCTTTTCAGGTCACTTGGTAGATGGGCTGGAGTAACACACCCAAAGGAGAAATGTGTTGCTTACAAAATCCAAATAGTTTCACTAGGCACTTTTTTAATTGTAGGAGGGGCCAGATACAACAACTTATCCTTCACTTCAGAAGGGATATCTTGACATGCCCCATACCACTGGACCCCTAGAAATTTCACTGAGGTAGGAGGCACCTAAATTTTGCTCAATTTATTTCCCATTCTCTGATATACGAATGTCTAACCTATAAGTCCAGAGTGGTTGCTACTTCATGCTCTCTAGGCCCAATCAGCATATTGTCATTGTGAGAAATAAACTTACCCAACCAAACCCAAAGAATGGACTCAGAGACCCAAGGAATAGCAAAAGTGAGACTTTTAATGACAGTCTTGCAAGATTGAGTGTCTGATAAGCAGGCACACCCAGCACAGTTTTAACAAGCACTTTATCCCCTAGTGTGTAGGTCCCTCCCCCGGTTCCCTATAGGCTGAGTACTATGGGTTTACAATCTTCCTGGACATCGCCTATTGATTGTTGGGTAGGGGCTGTAGGTGATTTTTATTAGGGTTGTCTTGCTGCATTTTGTTGCAGCCCACAATGCACTGCAATCCTTGTCAGCTCCCCTGAGCTTATAAGTAAAATACTTAACTCTTTAAGTATTTGACTTATGACCTAAGTAGCTGGGCAGGCTGATAAGAATAGAAAAAGGGAGCTATTTTGCAGGCTAATAAACTTTCATCTTAGACTAAACTTTTTTTGGTTTGGGTGAGGGCAACTAAGGGCTAGGGGGGGCGGGGTGGGCACAACAAGTAGGCATTGGCTATCTAAGCAGGGGCATATTACATCCTGTTTCTTCTGTAGTTTTGCTGACCTAAGCTGATTTAAGGCACTTTGTCTTGGAAATGGATCACTGTATACATAAGTTCCTTCAGTCATCAATATAGTGGACCAGTGTGATATCTTATTGAAGGGAAAAGTGATCAAGATTCCTGAAAACAATTGTGACATAGGCTAGAGAACTGATATACCCCTGAGGTGGGAGAGTGAAGGTATATTGCTAGCCTTGTCAGCTGAAGGCAAACTGCTTCAGGTGGGCCTTCTGGACAAGGATGGAGAAAAAGGCATTTGCCAGATCAATAGCTGCACACCAGGTATCAGGAGATGTGTTAATTTCCTCAAGCAATGAAATCACAACTGGTACAGCTGCTGCAATTGGCGTCACCACTTGGTTAAGCTTATCATAATTCACTGTCATTCTCCAAGAGCTATCTGTCTTCTGCACAGGCCAAATAGGAGAGTTGAAGGTGGGAATCACCATTCCTGCATCTTTCAAGTCCTTGATGGTGGCACTAATCTCTGCAGTCCCTCCAGGTCATGTTTTTGATTTACTATTTTTGTAGGTAGAGATAGCACTAATAGCTTCCATTTACCCTTTTCCATCATAATTGCCTTCACTCCACAGGTCAGGGAGCCAATGTGAGGATTCTGCCAGCTGCTGAGTATGTGTACTCCAATTATGCATCTGGAACTGGGGGAATGACCGCTGGATGGGGTCAGGGACCCCCTGAGTCCACTGTAAATTGGATCTGAGATAAAACTCTATTGATCACCTGACATCCATAAGCCCCACACTAACTGGGGGGCCATGGTGACATTTCAGGTCTCCTGGAATCAATGTCAGTTCAGAGCCAGTGTCCAGTAGTTCCCAAATTGTCTGTTTATTTCCCTCTCCCCAGCACACAGTTACCATGGTAAAAGGCCATAGATCCCTTTAGGGAAAGATGGGAGAAAGATGAACAGTATACGTTCTTTGTAGTCTACCAGAGTCCTTCCTGGAGGGAACCCAGCCTCTCCTTCACCCAAGGGGTTCTGGGTCTATAAACTGGCTCAAGTCTGGGAATTCATTGAGGAGCCACGACTCTCAGTTTTTATGATTTGAGTTGGACTTTTGTGCAGTTGACCTGAAAGTTTTATGCTTATACAGATCAGGTAAGAATTTAGTAGGCTTCCTATCTATTTCACTTTATTTATTTATTTATTTTTATTTTTTTGAGATGGAGTCTCCCTCTGTCACCCAGGCTGGAGTGCAGTGGCGCAATCTTGGCTCACTGCAAGCCATTCTCCTGCCTCAGCCTCTCAAGAAGCTGGGACTATAGGCGCCCGCCACGATGCCCGGCTAATTTTTTTGTATTTTTAGTAGAGATGGGGTTTCACTGTGTTAGCCAGGATGGTCTCTATCTCCTGACCTAGTGATCTGCCCGCCTCGGCCTCCCAAAGTGCTGGGACTACAGGCTTGAGCCACTTTGCCCGACCCTATTTCACTTTTAGAAACACGTGATTAACTAGCCAGTGCCATAGATCTACACGAGTCAGACCATTTTGATTGTTGCTTTGCTCTGCTGTACCTTACAGTAACTACATCCACCTTGCCTTTGACAGTTGAGTGCTGCCACTTGGCCCCTGCCACCCCAGGATCCAATTATCCCCATAGCATTTAAGTTTCCTAATTGAGTGACTGAGGTTCCCACTGTAAAGTCCAGCCTACAGAGAAGAGCAATCGCGGAGCTCTTCAGGGATGCTGGCACTCCCCCCAGAAATCTGTTTCTCAAGGTTTTGGTGAAAGACCAGTCTTCTGGACCCTCCTAGTGTGTGGGAGTTGGTTTTAAGTGACAAATCCACTCTAGCATTCCAGCCTCCCTAAGCCTCTGGATCCCTTCCTTTAAAGTAAACCAAAGGAGATCAGGCATCTCCAACTCAGTCATGGTGGACCATCTTTTGACCCACATTTCAGCCAACCAATAAAACAAACTGAGCCCCTCCCCAAATTCCCTGCGCTGCAGCATTAACTGCAGAATCTCTGCTCAGTGGGTCCATATCAATAAATTCAGTCGGCTCCCTTTATGTCTCTGTTAGTCCATACCCTTAATATCCACTCCCACACATGTTCCCCGAATTTCTGCTTGTATAAATTAGAAAACCAAAGTAGTTCTTTTAGAGTGTAACCACCTCCTCATGGGGCACACTGTGTACCTCACCTGTAGGGGCTGCTGGGACTTCAGTCTAGTTACAGTAGGTCTAGAAGGAAAGAGGGTTGGTGGGGGCGGGTCCAGAGATTCAGCACTGTCTTGCCTGGCAACTGGCTCAGGGGAGGCTGTGAGTCCCATCAGAGTTAATCCCCTCAGGCAGAGGTGGGATTTATTTCTGGGATAGGGGAGGTCACTTTTAGCAAATAAGACTCATCAGAATTTCTGAGCTCAATGTCTCTAGCCTCATCAAGGTCTCCCCACGTTTCCCCATCCCAAATTTCCGCAAAGCTGAGACTCAGCTTTCGCGGTAATTCAGTCAATCGAGGGACAAAGGCTTGTGTTTGATTTTCAGCAATTTCAGCCCTGTGGCTACGGGAGAGAAGATTCTGACCCAGGGCACATGTAGAAACTCAGGTCATTTATGTGAATACCGGAGCTCACCCCTTTCTCTCATCACTTGGTTTAGCCGTGCTAGGAGCAACCAATGAACGTGGCATATTCTTTGGTTTTCCTCAAATGTTCAAACGTATCAGGTATAAAGTCTCTAAATTATTTGCCTTTTATAAGTGGTGAATTAGGAGTATGGATGTATTTATTTTGCATATTTACAAACAGTAAGCACGTGATCTATCAGTGCTCTCTGCGCTATTAGAAGTAGAGTCTCCAGCATTTTTAGTTCTAAACAGGTTAGAGAGCCAATTCCAGAAACTCCAAAACCAAAAATTAAAATTGTTTCCTCTAGAACCACTCCTGGTACCAAAATCTGTATTAGCCAGGGTTCTCCAGAGAGACAGAACTAATAGAATATGCATAGCTAGATAGACACATGGGAAGGGATTTACTTGAGGGTTGGCTCAACCCTTCTAATTAGGGTTGGCTGAGAAGTCCCACAACAGGCCATCTTCAAGCTGAAGACCCTGGCACACTAGCAGCATGGTTCAGTCCAGGTCTGAAGGCTGCAGAACCAGCGAAGGTGTTGGTGAAATTCCCAGTCCGTGGCCAAAGGCCTGAGAACCAGGGGATGGATTGAGGGTGGGGCACTGGTGTAAGTTCTGGAATCCAAAGGCTGACAAGCCTGGAATTGTCCAGGGTCAGGAGAGGCAGGGTGTATCCCAGTTCCAGCAGACAGATCGACACAGTCACCTTTCCTGTTTTTGTCGTGTCTGGGTCCCCAGCAGATCGGATGTTGCCCATGCACACTGAGGGTGAACCTTCTCCACCTAATTCACTCAGGCTCAAATGCTAAATTCCTCTGGAAGGATATACTCCAAAATACTACACTACCAAGTTTTTAGGTATTCCTTAATCCTGTCAAGTTGGCACCTCAAATTAACCATCACAATGTAGGTGACTGGCTAAATAAACTGTGGTACCTCCGGACAATAAAATGCTATTCAGCGCTAAAAGGAAATGAACTATCAACTCATGAAAAGCCTGGGAAGAACCTTAAATGTGTATTATTAAGTGAAAGAAGCCAATCTGAAAAAGCTACATATTATATGATTCCAACCACATGACATTCTAGAAAAGGCAAAACTATGGAGACAGTAAAAAAATCAGTGGTTGCCAGGTTCACAGGGAGGGAGAATAAATGGATGGATCACAGAGGATGCTTAGGGCAGTAAAACCATTCTATATGACACGGCCATGGTGGATACATGTCATATATCTGTCCAAATGCATAGAATGTACAACACCAAGAGTGAGCCCCAACACAGACTATGGACTCTGGGTGATGATGACGTGTAGGATAATGAGAGTGGGGAGGCTGTGTGTGTGTAGGGTTAAGGGGCATATGGGAAATCTCTCTACCTTCCACTCAATTTTGCTGTGAATTTAAAATGCCCTAAAATAAAGTCTCTCTTAAACAAAAAAAAAGGAGGGGGTGATGGTGTGTGCACATCCCCAAGCTCAGGACTCTGTGCTGGTCTTCTAAGCCTAGGCTCACCCTTCCCCATCTGCTCTCCTGGGGGCCAACGGAGTGGCCCAACACACATCTAAGCATCTACAGGGCTCAAAAGCTTCAGCAGCTCTTCACCCCTCCTAGGAGAAAACCCAAACCCTTGGGCATGGCATGGGGCATCCTTCACGGTGTGGCTCGCATTTAGCTGATGGGCCTTTCCCATCTCACGTCCCATGCTGTCACATGAGAAGGTATTTATTGGGGGGTTGGCTCAACCCCTCTAATTAGGGTGGGCTGAGAAGTCCCACAACAGGCCTCAGTTTCCCCACTCCCTGACCTACTTCCCTGTACCCCAGAGACTCTGAACTTTGCCCATTACACAGGTCCAAGACAATGTCAGTTTCTCTTGTAGACTGAATTTTAAGTCCGAGATTTTTCTTGAGCTCATGTGCTCCAGTCCAGATTCTTTCCATAAAAGAACATGACAGGTGATGCCCTGGCAACCTGCAAGTCCCTCGGGTGGTCATGGTGGTCCAGGGAAAGGAGGCCTCCTTTAACATATGGGAGAATAGCCGGGCACAGAAAAGTTATGTAAGAGCATATCTTTTTAAAGCATACCTTTTAAACATTGTGAAAATTTGTCCAAAGACAAGGTAAAATGTCAGAGGCATCAGAGGATGTAAGCATTAAGAGATAAATAAAATGTAAACCCATGGGACAAACCTGAATTCTTCAGAGCAAGAGACAGACTTCTAACACACAGCATAGGGGAGAATGGGCCTCAGGGTGTGGCAACACCTCAACACTATTTCCTAACAGTTGAAGAAGACAATCAGGGGAGGTTTTCCTAGGAGAGGAGTTTTGAATGCACGTGAATCTGGCTCACTTTAGATAAACATACCTCTGAGAATTTTTATTTATTTTGTTTTCACATCTACACTTATTTAATTTTCCAAAACTAAAATATAACCTCTTTTCCAATCACTAAATAAATGTGATCACTGTATTATAAAAACAATTGAACAATGCACAAGAGTATTTTTTTTAAAGTCAAACTGAAGTGCTATCACATTTTCGTGGCTGTCCCATGGCGTAAACCCTTCTCTGTGTCTATGCAATTTTACACAAATCACACTATAAATGATATTTAAAAACATATAGCTTTTTTTTTTTTTTTTGAGACAGGGTCTCATTCTGTCATCTAAGCTGGAGTGTAGTGGCACAATCATGGTGGCCTTGCCCTCCTGAGCTCGAGGGATCCTCCTGCCTCAGCCTCCCCAGTAGCTAGGACTACAGTCACAAGCCATCACATCTGGCTTTAGTTTTTAGCAGAGCCAGGGTCTCACGATGTTGCCCAGGTTGGTCTCGAACTCCTGGGCTCAAGTGATCCTCCCACCTCAGCCTCTCAGAGTGCTGGGATTACAGACACGAGCTGCCGTGTCCTGTGATTCCTTGTTTCTTTTCTTCCTACTCCTCCCCTTTTCTGTACCCACTTTCACTCTATGCCTCTATGCAGTCTTTGTGACCTGCAGTGTGTCTGCACACACCTTTGTCCCTGTACCCACAATTACAGATGAGCAAGTGTGCACAGGTGCAATGTGCAAGCGCATCTTGCTCTTCTCTCTTACCAATGCGGGGTGGAAATCCCTCCCTGCCAGCCTGCGAGGTCTGATGAATATCTCCCAGGGGCTGCAGACTGCTCCATGATGCAGATGCAGAATCAATCTCTTTTCAATCTTTCCCTGTTGACAGGCCTTGCCATTATAAATTTAGTGTTTTATTTTTTGCCGCAATAAACATCCTTGTATATATATCCTTACTTATTTGCCCCAAAATGAGGGCTGAGAGTTCTTTTTCTTCCTAGGCCCTTGAGCAGGATCGGCCACATAGTAAGTTATCAATATCAGTGAAATGGTATATACACGAATAGCCATTCATTCTCCAAGCATTTTGATGTGTGTTTTCTCTTTGTACTTGGGCCCTGAAAGGAAGATTCAGAAGAAGGAAGTCATGCAGCCTGCACCCCTTGCTGGCCTCAGCCAGAAACAAACTCCCAGGTGCTTCTCTGACAGGCACTTCCTGACCCCACAGCATCTGACCTTCTTCTCCAGCCACCTCCTATGCTCTGCTGTGCTCCTCCTGGATCTACTCCTGGCCCATCTTCACCTCAAGGTGCCAGATGCAGCCACACACCAATGCCTCTCAGAGACCCACAGAGAGCTCTGTAGGGGATACTCCATGGAGTCATAGTAGGTCAAAGGCAGAACATCCTGAAATGGTGATTTACAACCTTTTCTTCATGAGCTACAATATGCACGACCAGAAGAGAACTCCATGATGTCAGCGACCCCACAGGGGTTAGCAACGATGAAGGATAAAACAGAGAATGTATTTCTGTGTCCATTTGCCTCAGAACAAGCAGAGGAGGAGAGAGGGGTGATGAATCTTGAGGAGGAAAACATATCACTGAGAAAAACCAAATGACCTGTTGGCCCGCCCTTTGGAGCCTTGAGAGGAAGAAAGCCCTGCTCAGCCCAAACATCTCACACTCACAGGCCTCTCTGAATACCCTGGGGACATATGACCTACTTCCCTGAGAACATGTCATAACAGTGAGTCTTTGGATCACTGCCAAACCCCATTCCTGTAGAGGAAGGTGACACACGCTCCATACATCAGCTTCCTTTGAAGCATGGCATTCATTGTTTGTGACATTTGTTCTGAGACAGAGGCCTCCTCAAAGGAGAGCCCAGAGCAGACAGTAAGACACAGGTGTCCACAGGCAAGGAGCCCAAAGTCTGGCTGGCATGTTGCCTTGGGCTTCAGATATGAGGTCAGGCACAGAGGCCTTTTCTCCTCTACCTGCTTGCCCTGGAAGATTCTCCACATTGAGTTGCCAGTTCCGCAAGTCACCCCTCTCACCCCCATGTATGAATGTTGCTACAGCAGCACAACTAAGCAGGGAATGATCTTAAAGACTGTCTAATCCCAGATCCATATTCACTCTTTAGTCCAATAACTTCGAAAACCAACCAGGTACTGGGCACTGCACTAAGCTCTGGATGTGCAGGGGAAGGGTGAGGAAGCTGGAGGGTCTTTCCTGAGGTCCAATGAAGGAGATAGGCTTATAAACAGATCCATGCCACAAGGCACTCCTGGCCCATGACAGTCACAACGATCCATCCCTAGCCTTCTCTTCCTTTCCCCCATTATTTTGATAGAAGGTGCCACCATCCCCCCAGCTGTCCAGCCCACTGGGGGTCACTCTAGATGCCGCCCTCTTTTTCCCCACACATCTAAAGAACAGTCACTGATTCCTGATCTTCAGGCTTTCTAAAAATGTGTGGAATCTGCCCACTCTCTCCATCTCATTGCCACCTACCTAATTTTATGCCACTATCTTCTTTCACTGCAACAACCCCCTAGCTAGTCTCTTGCTTCCAGTCTTGTACCTACACCAGCCTGCTATCCACGTGGAGCCACAGAGATCTTTCAAATACACAGTTCCATTTGTCACTCTCCTGCTCAATCTCCTCAAATGACCTTCTATTATGTGCAAAATCCTTATAGGGCCTTCATGATCCAGTTTCTGCCTACTTTTCTAACCTCACTAACCTATCCATCCATCTATCCACCCATCCATCCATCCACTTATCCATCCATCCATTTATCCATCCATCCACCCATCCATCCATCCATCCATCCATCCATCCATCCATCCATCCATCCGTCTGTCCATGTATCCATCCATCTGTCCATCCATCCATCCACTTATCCATGCATGCATCCATCCATCCATCCATCCATCCATCCACATATCCATCCATCTGTCCATCGTCCATCCATCCATCCACCCACCCACCATTTAGCCATTCAATCAATATTTATCAAGTACCTCCCAGAGGTGCTCATCCATCCCTGACTATCATGCTGCATGTGACACAACAGCTGTGGTCTTCCTCTTAATTCTCAGTCCTACTTTATACCCCAGTTCTGGTCCCTGGATTCTTATCAGGCCCTCTGAGCAGTAATATTCCCTGGACTTCAGTCCTTCCAGCAGCAGAACCATGATTTGCTGCCACTCTCCACCCTGGCCGAAAGTCAAAGCTTGGCCATTGGCTGACTCACATCCCTGACAGGAGCAACTTTGTGTGCCCTTAGGTTCTGTCGTGCACAAATGCCCCACTTGTTGGGCCAACACTATTGCTTCTAATTAGACTTCCCAGCCCCAATGCCCATAGGAACTACTTCCTCCTCCTTCCACCCAGAGTCCACAGCCAGGTCAACCCACACACACTCATACACCATGCCCAATACTGCCACCCCAGCAGTGGGCACGGTCATTCCAGTCTGCCTGTCCAGCTCGTGAGGAACAGGCCTCCTTAGCTCTGTTCTGAGACTAGCAAATGTGAGGCTGGGAAGGTCTGGAATTAAGAGAGTTTGGAGAAGACCAATAAAATCCCCTTGGGAAGTGCTGACCAACTGCAGAATAAAGTGGCTGAGTCTCTCCAATACCATCTGCCTGAGCAAATGAAATCAGAGTCACCTCAGCTGCCCTGGAAGCCTCCTGCGCATTCCAGGCAGCAGAACTTCTGGGGCTTGGGGTGTTGGTGGGTGGAGCTTCCCCATGACCACCGCATTGTCTCACTGTGGGTGGGGTCTTCACCGACCTTCCTTCAACCTAGACTCAGAGGCTCAGGTAGCCGTCTCCCTCCTGCATGGGAGAAGACGACGGGAAAGTTCTCGCATGCACAGACAAAGAGCTGCAGGAACTCATGGAGCCCCAGTGCCTTCCAGGCTGGTGGCAGAGACACTCTAGGAGAGGATTAGCAACCTACTCCTCAACTCGAGGGTTACAGGGAGTGTGAGAGACTGGCAGCCAGGCAAGTTTGGGGGTTCCTTATAAATAATTTTAAAAATCATCTTGAAACAATCCAGATTTTTAGAGATGAACAAATACCACTGTGACGCTCAGAAAAACAAATTTATGAAAAGTTGCTATCGACAAGAGCACTTTTTACTCTGAACTACACATTTAGGAATGATTTCCTTACATGACCTCTGGAGTTTAAACAGTCTTACTGTTTTCATTAGACAGGATGTGTGGATGTCTGGCAGAGCTGGGAAGAGAAGAATAAAACACATGAAAACAGTGTTGGTGTTTCCATGAGATCAAAGAGATAAGAAAGTCACCGGTTTCCTGGCCCACGTGATTAAAATTGCTTCCGAGTCTCAACAGTGCCATGGTTTTATGATAACAGATGCGGCCCTGAAATTCCTGCTCTTGTATGAGTTTTTTAAATTGTGGTAATGTACGTGTAAAATGAAATTGAACATTTCAACCCTTTTTGAGTGTACAGTTCAGGGGCATTACGTGCATTTACACTGCTGTGCAACCATCATCACTACCTCGCCCCAGTACTTCTTCCTCTTCCCAAACTGAAACTCTGTCCCTCTTAAACATAACCCTCCATCCCTCTCTCTCCAGCCCCTGACACCCACCATTCAACTTTCTGTCTCTACAAATTTGACTACTCTAGGGACCTCATGTGAGTGGAATCATACAGTATTTGTCTGTGTGTAACTGGCTTATTCCACTCAGTACGTCTTCCAGGTTCATCCGTGTTGCAGCAAATGAGAGGAGCTCCTTCCTTTTTAGGACGGAACAGCATTCCATTGCATGTATGACCACATTTTGGTTATTCATTCATCCCTTGATGGACATTTTGTAGGATTTGGTTTTTAACCTAAAGACAAAGGATCAAGTTGAGTGCCCACAAAGGCATAGCTTTGTTAGTTGATTTGCTTTATAAATCGAGGATGTCGTACAATTTAAAGAAAAACATACTTTAAAAATTTCATTTTAGACAGGTTGATGAACAGCACCCAAACCTCTGATCACCTTTCCTCAACATTCTTCCGTTTCTGATAGTGATTAGAGCCTCAGTTTGCTAGCAGATGGAGACAGATTCCTTGGTTCCCTGTGCTTAAACCATCTACCTGGATATCACAGCTCTCCTTCTGTTTCTCTCATTCTCATTTCTCTGACATCGTGGTCTCCAGCTTCCTTCCATGGCAAGTGACACTCGAAATGCTCTTGACTGGACTATAGGAGGCTTGCCCTGCATTTCAGGGGAGGCTGACCTATTTTTTTTTTTCTATGAGATAAAAAGACATTCAGCTCTGCAGATAAACATCAATATTTTGCCTGTTTTCTTTGCCTTTTCCCTTACCAGTGACACAGTCTGGGCCACACTGATGAGATCAAGGGTTGCCCAACTTCTCACTGGTGGCTCTGCCCTGGGCCCAGCCCTCACCTGTCCCCTACTCTGCAAATCAGAGTGAGGGATTCGGGGTTTGTGGCCACAAACCAAGGAAGCCTGGATGTACAGATCAAGGCTTCAGGAGCATCAGTGGGAGCTTTAGTGAGATGGAGGGGGTGGGAGTTGTATTGTAGAAAGAGCAGGGGAATGGAGATCTGGAAGTAAATAAAAAACCAAGAATGGTTATTTCTTTTATCAATCAAGGTGGAAAACTGGCTGTCCAGAAACCAAGTGCGGCTAGGAAATGGCTCCTATTTAGCCTACCTGGTGTAAGATTTGTTTACATTCATTGTTTATATTTTTAAATTGTAGCATTTCACACAAAAATCTAGGTGCTCAGCTTCTCTTGAAAAATCAGAAGACGTGCTCCTGTGAGCCCACAGCGGGCTGAGCCTGAGCAGGGCACCCCTGTGGCCGGGATAGGTGTTGCTCCCCTCGGCTCAGGCCCACCTGGCTCCCCTGGCTCATGTATGATGACACCTGCCTGACTCTTGCATTTGTGACACCTCCTGGGGCTACTGTGTCAGGGCCCAGAACAGAATGGACCCTCAATAAATAGGTGTTGCTCCCACAATTGCTAAATGGCAGCTGTTCAGCAATGCTGACATGGGGAAGGAGTAGGCAGAGGGGAAGTTTAATCTGAAGTTCTTGATTCTAACATTTGGAGAAATAGCCCTGCCAGCCCAGTGGCAGTGACCTTGACCTCAGATGCCACAGGGCCTCCACCTCCCACCAGGCAGGGAAGACTCACTCCACTGCTCTTCTCCATCCCAGGCGGCCTGCATGTGGTTAGCACATCATTCTCCAGGACACAGTACATCTGGGACAAGACCCTGCCCTGCCAGCTTGGTGCCTCCTGCCCTGCTTGCCGTTCTGCTCTGCATGGACTCACTGGGGGAACCTTTCTTGTCTTCAAGCATTTTCTGGACACTACCTGCCTGAGTGCACTGAGGGTGCAGATGAGAAGGTACAACCCTGCCTGCAGGAAAGTCATAGTCTCCTAGGGGACACAGACAAATGAACTGGGTCACAGCACCTTGGGACGAATGTCAAGGCAGACAACAGGCAGCTGGGTGCAATGGTGTAAGCCTGTAATCCCTACTACTCGGGAGGCTGAGGTGGGAGGATAGCTTGAGCCTGTGAGTTCAAGGCTAGCTTGGGCAACAGAGCAAGACCCTGTCTCAAGAAACGATGGACAATAGGCCTAGAACTTTACTCTGTCTCCTGACACTAAGACATCCATCTGGGACTCAGCTGTGTGTTCAGTGCCTGGCACCAAGCCTGCCCAGCAGCAGAGGTGCAGCAACACCTGATGAAGGAAGGAATGTGCTGGGTGCAGGGGAAGCAGGGGGACTCTGCCAGTGCAGGACAGAAAAGAAGTCCCTGGGGGCTTCCCAGAGGAAGGCAACTTGAATGAGAGGTGCATGCAGGGGACCAGCCCGGTGCACAGGTGTGGTCCATCAGGAAGGCTGTGAGCCTGCAGTACCTCAGGGATGGTGGGATGTGAGCTGTCCTAGGGGTTGGCTGGGCTCTGGTAGAACCCTCATTCACTGGGCTAGGCAGACTGGATTATTGTATGAAGGAGACGAGGAGCTTCTGGGGTGTTTATTCAAGGAAATGCCAAAGTCAGAGCAGAGTGTTTAGAGAGAGGTCCTGGGATGGGTGTATAGGATGGGCAAGAACCTCAGCTGGGTGAAGCTGTCAGCCACCTCAGGCAGCTGGCATCCTCTTGCCTCTTCCTGTCTCCTGCCTCCACCTGCTCACATCTGCCTGCACCTGCCCGCACCTGGCTCCTCTTACCTCATCTTGCCTCCTCCTGCCTCTACCTGCCTCCATCTGCCCACATCTGTCTGTACCTGCCTGCACCTGCCTCTTCCTGTCTATTCCTGCCTCCACCCGCCCACATCTGCCTGCGCCTGCCCTCACCTGCCTCCTCCTGTCTCCTCCTGCCTCCACCTGCCTACATCTGCCTGCATCTGCCCTCACCTGCTTCCTCCTGTCTCCTCCTGCCTCCACCTGCCCACATCTGCCTGCACCTGCCCTCACCTGCTTCTTCCTGTCTCCTCCTGCCTCCACCTGCCCACATCTGCCTGCACCTGCCCACACCTGCCTCCTCCTGCCTCTCCTTCCAGAGCCTATCTCTTCCTTCTGCTCATCTTGGCCCTGCCCCTGCTGGGCTCAGCTGGGGCCCACTTGCCCTAAAAGCCCTACCCGGAAGCCTTGGCTCATCCTGACCATGTGGAAGAGCAACCCAACTCCTTGGGTTGCTCTTTCAATTTCTGTGTATCAGAACTAGACTGGAACATGTTTTTTTTTCTCCATGTATCCTCCAGCACACCTGCACCAAACTGGCCCTTCAGATTTGTGCCCAAATTGCTAACGACAGTGAAGAATCCTGTGTTTGGGCCTCTGGCTTGTTTTTATTCTGGAATAACTAGACTTAAAATGTGAGATCCCTGTTTGAAAAGTCACATACTTCATTCATCTTCCAAAGATGAAAACTAATATGCACTCGTGTTTGCCACAGCAGAATGGGAAGTTTGCTACAGCAGAACGGGAAGTTTTAAAAGTAAAGCATGATGAAAAACCAGAGGATTCCAAGATGAATTCTTTAACTGCGGGAATGATTCCCTTTTATTAGTAAGAAGAAAAATTTCTCAAGTCATGTTACTGAAAAAGCTATAACATGAACCACAAATGATTTCACTTGCTGAAACGTCTGGAAAAGGATTTCAATGGCATGTTATGCTATTTAAATGTAATGAATGATGAGGGTTAGTTCATATTCTTTGTTCAGAAAGGCATTCATAAAATTTTTTTCAAAGGGAGGGAAAAATGTAACTGTAGTGGCCAGCTTTGCATGCTGGGTTCCTTGCGTTCTTCAGCGAAGATCTGGTAACACACATCCAAATTTACTCCAATGCAGAGTGCCCTGCTTCAGCGAAGATCTGGTAACACACATCCAAACTGATTCCAACGCAGAGCGCCCTGGGATTGTCAGGGTCCAGGCAGGGTCAGAGAAGAGAGACCTGGGTCCTGAGGATGAAGATATTGCCTGCTGGCAATCTCTACTCTAAGAAAGGTGACTGGCACTGCTGCTATTTAACCAATTCCAGGTAGTTACAATAGCATTGATACTAATTTTATCAATTTACACACTCCAAATCTGTAGCAAAAAAATATATATATTAAGAAGTAATATCGATGTGAAATATGCCTTAAAGCTATAAAAAGTAATATCAATTCTAAAAATGTTTTGAATTGAAGAAAATACAAACTTATTTTTTAAAAAAAGTCAATTTTTGTTTATTCTGTCTCCCCAAAATTGCCCAAGCTAGCCTTGTACTCACAGGCTCAAGCGATCCTCCCACCTCAGCCTCCTAAGTAGCAGGAATCACAGGCTCACACCACTGCACCCAGCTGCCTGTCGTTTGCCTTGACACTCCTCCCAAGGTGCTGGGACAGGGTGAGCTGAGCCCACCCTGTCAGCTCACTTGTCTATGTCTCCTAGGAGACTATAACTTTTTTTCTAATTGTTGACTCTATCCAACAATTAGAGTCCTGACTGATCAGTGAGAGCTCCCTGATTGGAAACAAAGAGTGTTTCAGTGACACAGCACACTCCCCCTAATTAAGGGGCTGCTATGCTGGCTCCTTTACAACGATTATCTCATTCAGTGATCTTTTTTATTTCTGTCAACTCCCTTCACAGGAAAGAAACTGGGTCCCCAGTACACAAGAGATTTTCCACACAGTCGTGGCAGCACTTGGCAAGAGGCAAGGTCTCCTGTGACCTTTAAGTCACATCACACCCTAATTGACTGCCATCCTGAAATATAAGGAATAAATATTTTCCTTCTTTCTTTTTTTAAAAAATGTGAGAGAGCGTTACCTACTTGAATTATTCTTACACCTTTATGAATATATCCAGGTCACACGCCACAGAGATTACACACATGCATGTACACACACACACACACACCCCTTACGAGTAGCTTATTTTACTTTTATTTTTTTAAGACAGAGTCTCGCTTTGCCTCCCAGGCTTGAGGGCAGTGGTGTGATCTCAGCTCACTGCAACCTCAGCCTCCTGGGTTCAAGCGATCCTTCCACCTCAGCCTCCCAAGTAGCTGTAATTACAGGCATGTGCCACCACGCCCATCTAATTTTTGTATTTTTAGTAGAGATGGGGTTTCACCATGTTGGCCAGGCTGGTCTCAAACTCCTGACCTCAAGTGATCTGCCTGCCTTGACCTCCCAAAGTGCTGGGATTACAGGCATGAGCCACCACGCCCAGCCACAAGTAGCTTATTTTAAAAAGTATAAGCAAAAAAATTCCCCCTTTTCTCTACCGAGATATTGATCCTACCTGGATCAGAAACAACCCTGGGGCCTCTGTTTCTTCATGTGTAAAATGCCATCCCTGGTGTGGGTAATCACTAGAACCTCCTTCCAGCTCAGAAAATTCAGGATTCATATTGTCAATTCCACTCATGGTTTAATTTGGGCAAGTGTGGAGTTGCAAATCACCTGATTTTCAACAATTCCAGTATGAGTGGATGGTACAGAGTACTGGAGAGGAATTTTAATCAAGTGACTCATGAAGAGATGCCCTTTTTTTCTTCCTAGGGGAGGAAGAGATGCAGATTTATAAAAAGCCATTATCATGTGAATAAATACAAGTTAAGCCACATTCTTGAAGGCTTGATGCCATGAATAAAATGATGCAGCTAGGTCACTGGCATCAACACCTTCACCTTGGATTTATTTATTGTCCAGGCATTTTCAGGAGTGAGAATCTCAGAGTTAGATCTGCAGGGAATGGAACTGCCTATGGAGCGAGAAGGACTGAGATTGGGGGTGTTGTAGAGTCTCAGATCTCAACATCCATATCGATTCCTAGACAGGCCACCTTCACTGCAGCAAGAGTCTTTAATAAGGCCCTTTAGAGAGCAACAGCAACAAACAGCCATGTTTAAACTAAATTAGAATTAAAAATCCTCAGCTACTTGCCAACTAGACCATCCTCCAGGGGACGATGGTACTAAATATTCAGTGAGTCAGGATGGGAGGTTCTGGTGGGGGGTGGGTCACAACATCCACGAGCCCCGGGTTTCAGCCTCTCCAATAGAGTTACTACCATTAGAATAATTCATGACACCTCTCAGCCCCACGGACTCTCTGTAAAATGGGACAACGCTTCCCTTATGGGATTACTGCAAGGGGGAAGCTGGGGATGCTGGAAGGCTTCGTGATTCTAGAGCCAGATTCTCTAGAGCCAGGAGAGCCCAGGGCACCACCTTCTACCCCTATCTGAAGACCCCTGTGGAGTGGGCTGTCACTTCCAGACAGAAGCAGGTTGAGGCCCTGGAAATTCTGTGTCAGAAAGAAAGGCAAGGACCAGCGGTCCAGGCAAGCCCAGACATAGAAAATACACACTATTAATTAATACCATAACATCTATTCATAACATCTACAACATAAACAGCTCAAATTATGTCAAGTTCCAAAGTACCAAAATATGTTTTTATTAAAAAAACCAGCCCCCAAATCCATACCCATTTATGAAACATGACATAACCTTTGCTGTGGGGTTGCCTCTCCCATGCTGTGGTGAATGATGTTTGTAGCTAGTGGTTTTGTCTTTTTAAAGTGTAAGATAGAAAATGGCACTGTCCCCCTTTACAAGATGACATCAACCCCTGGGATATCTTACAAATGGAGAGTGACTTCCAGATTTTAATAAGAAATGAAAGTTGTATCCCATTTGATGAATGAAGGGCTAGGCCACAGCTTGGAGACGCAGAGACGGTTTTTCCTATGCAGAATGCTTTGCCGTGAAAGGAGAGTGCATCCCAGAAGCTGCATGCCTGAGCTCAGAGGCAATCGTCACCTGCACATTAGGAAGGCACCTGAGGTGAGAGCAGAGGGAAGAAGGCCTCGATGGCAGACCCAGAGAAATCGCTGTATTTGCTTCACAGTTAGAGGAAGGAATCATGCAGCTCTGAGGCGTAGTCTAAATGTTTGACCCCTTTGCATCACCCCTTCCGGAAGCTTCTACCTTATGGTGGACTTCAGGTGGAGGGGTCCCTGTGAATGTCTGGGTTTGTAGCAGTGCTTGATGTGCCTGGGCACTGAGGGGACACGGCAGCCCTCAGGGAGGGACTGTTCAAAGACTGATGCCCCCAGCACAACCCTGGGAAGGAACAGGAAGCGTCATCAAGCCAGGGTACTCCGCAGAAGAGGTCAGAGAACGTGCCCTCGGGTGGAGACAGGGTCCTGCCAGGGAGATGAAAGGGTCCCCGCGGGAAGAAAGGGGAGCAAAGGATGGAGTTGCAGGGCCCAGATGCCCTCAGGCTGGGAGGAGCTGAGTCACAAACAGCTGTCCACAGAGTGGCCAGCTGCATGGAGACACAGTGGACATCCATCACCAATCTGGGAAAGGACAAGAAGGATCGGTTGCCCCTGGTAATGGGATTCAAGCCTGGGATGTGGGTTGGGCTGAAATGATCTCACACGCCCACCAGCGCTAGAGCCTGAGATGCCCCGGGGTTGATTTTGGTCACAAAAGCTCTGCTTACTCCTGACGCAACCGCATCCTGCCGCCAGCAAAGGCCACGTTTGCACCACGGGAGCTGGAAGCCCCGGCAGCCTGGGCAGTGGGAGGGGCAGAGAGCGGGCTAAGGAAGAAGCAGGGTGGAGCCCGGAGCCCACACCCGACAGACTCAGAGGGGACTGCTGGGGGAGACAGCACTGTCAGTCACGCGTCCTGGTGCCAGCCTCTCCATGGAAACGGGAGGAGAGAAGGGCAAACACAGATGGGAGCACCTGCTAAGAAAAGGGTTTGCAAATGCCACAGAGGTATGTAGAGGCACGGACAGGGATTGGGGAGGAGTGGAGGCTATGCTCATAGCGGGGGCCCCAAACGTCAGCAGCCCTTTCTTCACAGGCTTAAAAATGGACGCTCCCAGGGGGCGCTGCCCCCAGAGCCGGAGCCTTAAGGGAACCCACCTCCTGAGGCCGTGGCTCACGGATGACCACCGTTCCATGGCTAGAAGGGTCATTCCTTCCTTCCAGCAAGTTCCCACGCACATATGCTGACCACCTCCCAGGTGTAGACAGTGCCCAGAGCCCCCAGGCACAGAGCGGGGAAGGCTCGGCCCCTGCTTCCCGGTGCTCCACAACCTCAGCAGAGCAGGCCAGTGGGGTGGCGGCGAGCTTCTCCTCCTTCGCCATGGAAAGGAGCATGGGGTTGAGGGCTGGGAGACTGGATTCTAACTTCCGGTCCAGTGTCCACGTGTCCAGTGTCGAAGCCCCATCATCCCCCAAAGACGTGACTTATCCTTGGGGATGAGTGCGGCATTCTGGGAAACTCAAACCGTCACCGAGCTTTCTGTGAAGTACTTAGGTTTTCCCATGTAGAGAGGTAGCCCAGCTCAATTTGAGGATAGCGTCTTACTTACTGAAAGGCAGATCTCAAAGCCATGTCCCAAAAGGCAGGGAGTCTGACTCTCTCTTCAAAGCAAATAGATATTCTAACACATGAAGGACAAGAATATCACCTTAATACAACAAGGTTCACATTCAGGCTCTCAACGGTGAAGCAATACAATGAACACCAGTGAGGTGTGAACTCCTCTGCAGACATGGTTGGTGCTCTGCAACCTCAGTGAACACCCCTATAGTGCAAAGAAAAAAGGGAAATCAAACTTCATCTTTTTTTCCAAGATTGTCCTCTGCAAAGAACCTTCATTTCAGAAACCCAGAAGTTTTCAAAACAACTGTGGGAAAGAGAGATGAGTGAGTTACAATCACCAGTTGTGTGTGTGTGTGTGTGTGTGTGTGTGTGTGCGCGGGGGGTGGGGGGAAGGGGGATAATGTATGTTTACAGGAGTTGTTTAGCAAGCATCTGTGCTTTATAGGTTACAAAGTATTTTCTTTGATATGACTTCATTAAATCTCAAATCAGGATTATCATGCCCATTAGGGAAATCGAGGTTTAGGGAAACCACAGGACTTCGGTAGGGGCCTGGAAAGAGAAAATTCAATCCAGACCTTCTAACTCCAAACTCCAAGCTCTTCCACTCTGCCACCTGGGGTGGATTTGTCAATCCCAGCTAAGAGAGGTCACCCTGGACAACTGCATGGAGGAAAATAATGATGTATGTTTAGCATAACTTTCTCTGTTAAATGCCAGGGAGCCTTAGATACATTCTTGATATTGTAATTAAATAGCTTTTTAATATTAATTTGTGATTATGCTTGCAAGGAAAGTCCTAGGAAACTTAAAATATGCTATACATCTGAGCACATTTTTATCGCACATCAGAATTCTCGCAGAGTTTAATTGGGCCCATGGTGTAAACAGTTCCTCATTTTCATCCAGAACGCGTGGCATGCTGTTATGTTTTCAGGAAAGAGAAAATTATCTTAATTTATGTAAAGAGTATTCCTAAAGATATGTATAATGTAGTCCACGAGGATTAAACACCAAATGTGTAAATATCACAAACTTATCTCAGCACATATTGTCTCTGAAATGGAAACAACTTTCTTTGCTGCAAACAGTCACTCAGGAGAGCCTTGAATTTTGTCATTTTGCTGTTTATGTGTGTATGGAGGGGGTGGTAGGCAGAATCCAAAAATGTCCCCCAAGATTTCCAGTCCTGTTTTTTTCCATCAAACAGTAATCCAGGTACCGTTGTGAAGGGACTTTGCAGATGGGATTATGTTTGCTAAACGGCTGACTGTAAGTAGGGAGATTATCCTGGATCATCCGGGTGCACCCTGTGTTACCACATGAGCCCTTAAAGGCAGACGAGGAGCAGGAGAGCCAGAGAGATGAGGGAGAAAGGGGGTCAGAGAGACTGGGAGCACATGGCGGGCTTTAAAGATGGAGGAAGGAGCCACCCGCTAAAGCATCGGGACAGCCTCTAGCTCTGAGGACCTCCCCCAGCCCACAGCCTGTGTGGAAGCTGAGACCTCAGTCCTACAACCTCAAGGAACTGCATTCTGCCAATACCTGAATGAGTTTGGGAGTGAATTCATCCTGAGCCTCTGGAAAGGCACATGACCCTGCAGCCCGTCAACTTCGTCAAGTGAGACGATGAGCAGAGAACCAGCTGGGCCAGGCCAGGCCCAGGCTTCTCTGACGGTGAGCCACTGAGTGAGTGGTACTTTGTCACTGCTGCGTGAGGAATCTGAGCAGGGAGTGTTGAGTGGGAGGGTGGCATGAGCACACACAGCTGCAAAAGAGCACAGGCGCCCTTCTCCACCCTCCTGTCTCTGTTGCTGCAGGGAAAGCAGAGTAAAAAACTGCAGCTGCAATGATGAGCCTGCGTGCCATGCGCAAAAGGCTGGAGAGAAACTCCGTGCAGCCCTTCTTCGCCACTGTTCTTACCGTTCCACCTGTGTATGTCTTCATTTCCCCAGAAGAACTGTACACATATGGAAGGGAACAATCTTTTTTTATAGCTCCTATACCCCAAAACATAAGCACTTAACGTAAGTTTGCATATATTTGGCCACAATAGGCCAAATATAAAATTTAGGACATCCATTTATCGATAAAGCTAATTCTAAAGCAACAATATCAATAATTAACACATGGCAGAGTTCTTCAACGCGGCATGTTAATTTTCAATATAGACTTTGCGTGTAATTTGCTTTTTCAATGTTTTTTTCTTTTTGATTCGAGGAGGACAATCATAAGTTGAATTCAAATAAAAATAATACAGAACCACTTTCTGTGCCCTATATTCCTTCTTATATTCCTTAATAGAAGAACTGCAAAATAAAATTAATATATTCATCATAAATAAGCTTTATGGTTCCAAGAAACGTTAACCATTGAAGACGGTATTGAAACTTGACTTAAAGAATGAGTGATGACTAAGTCAAAACTTGGCTGACCATATAAAAGGGTCCACAAAAGTCTTTTAAAAATATCCCAAATAGTTAAAAACCATTTTTGCTAGGAGATGAGTCCCTACTGGGAAGCTTTGATGAAAAAAATGGAGATTAAGGCAGAAAAATATATCAAGCCCATGGTGTTGTGGAGATAAACAGTAATAAAATGTGCATGATAAATGATGATAAAATACACAATCAGATTTTTGTCCTGCATTAAGAAAAAAACTCCTAATTCCTAAGGTGGAGTGGGGTCATTTTTCTGGAATATGTTAGTTCACATTTTCCCCACAACCTAGGATTCCTTCCATTTGGGTAACGATGCAAAGGGGGCGGTAGAGTTTCAGAAATCAGAATAGAGAAATGGCTTGCTGCTCCTGGGAAGGGGGCATAGGAATGCCCACACTTGGCATTTGGAAATCCCTCTTCATATACGAAAAACAGAAAGAAAGAAAGATGGGGTGGGAAATATTCTATCACAGGCCAGCTTCTGCCTTGAGGCGGACTTTGAGCAAAGTAGACGTGTCACGAGAAAAGGCAAAAATGTAAAGAACATTTTAAAGTCAGTGTGTCTTTCAAAGGTTCTTAATATTTTCTGGAACACGAATCCTTTGGGCCATTTAGGGAAATATCATCAGAATAATGCTTTTAATTGCATACAATAAAATATATAGCATTAACAACCCAATTTTAAAAACAGGCAAAAGATTTGAACAGATACTATTAAAGGAGATAAACAACTTTATATACAAATAAGGGCCTGAAAAGATACTGGACACTGTGAGTCACTAGGGAAATGCAAATTAAAACTGACATGAAATACTACTACTCACCTGTAAGGATGGCAAAAACTTACAAAGGAAAAAACAACTGGCGGGCCGGGCACGGTGGCTCATGCCTGCAATCCCAGCACTTTGGAAGGCCGAGGCGGGTGGATCACGAGGTCAGGAGATTGAGACCATCCTGACCAACATGGCGAAACCCCGTCCCTATTAAAAATACAAAAATTAGCTGAGTGTGGTGGCACGCGCTCGTAATCCCAGCTACGTGGGAGGCTGAGGCAGGAGAATCGCTTGAATCCGGGAGGCTGAAGTTGCAGTGAGCCGATATCGCGCCACTGCACTCCAGCCTGGCAACAGAGTGAGACTCCATCTCAAAAAAAAAAAAAAGTAAATAAATAAATAAAAAATAAATAACTGGCAATAGCAAATGTTGGCAAAGATGCAGAGCAACTGCTGGTGGAAAAGCAAATGGTGAACCCATGACAGAAAGTAGTTGGGAAGTTTCTTATAAAGTTAAACACACTTAACATGTGAGCCAGCAATCCCATCCTATCTACTTATCCATGTGAAATGAAAACCTAGGTTTATGCAAAAACCTACATGCACATGTTATAGCCATTTTATTCATTAAGTGCCTCAAACTGAAGACAACCCAAATGTCCCCCAACTGGGAAATGGATAAACAAACTGCGCTACATGCATACAACAGAATGCTACTCAGCCATAAAATGGAATGGACTATTGATACACACAAGGATGTTTCTTAAATCCGTGTGCTAAGTGAAAGAAGCCAGACTCAAAAGGCTATAAATAATTCCACATATATTACATTTCAGAAAAGGCAAAATTACAAAGATAGAGAATAGATCAGTGGATACCAGGGTAGGGGTGGGGTTACAGGGTCTGACATAAAGGTGCATGATGACAGATTTTTTTTTTCGGGGGCAGGGTGGTAAAATGTGCATGTCTCGATAGTGTTACTGGTTATACAACTCTGCATTTGTTAAAATTCATGGAGCTGTACGCCAAAATGAGTGACTTTTACTCCAAGCATGTAATTTAAAAAATAAAATCTAAAAACAATGCTTTTGTTTTCTTTCTTTCTTTTTTTTTTTTTTTTTTTGAGATGGAATCTGCCTCTGTTGTCCAGGCTAGAGTGCAATGGTGTGATCTCGGCTCACTGCAACCTTCACCTCGCCTCTCGGGTTCAAGCAATTCTCCTGCCTCAGCCTCCCAAGTAGCTGGGATTACAGGCATACACCATCACATCTGGTTAATTTTTATATTTTTAGAAGAGATGGGGTTTTGCCATGTTGGCCAGGCTGGTCTCCAACTCCCGACCTCAAGTGATCTGCCTGCCTCAGCCTCCCAAAGTGCTAAGATTACAGGTGTGAGCCACCACGCCAGGCCTAAAAACAATGTTTTAAAGGCATAGAGGATATGTAGGATTGCAAAAGAAGCCAATTACTTGGAAATAAAAGTGCAAATGTTTTCTCCGTCTAGATTTGCAGGCCTTCTGAACTCTACCCACAAACTCTCAAGAGAACCCACCCGCTGCAGCCTGTGGCTCCCAACTGTCCTGCCTACGCCCAACAGGGAACTGGGGATCCGTATTCCAGGGAACCCTCTGGAAACGTCACACTCAGTTAGCAGATTCTTGAGGGCGGTAACTATAGTTTTCAGATCTTTGTGTCCTCTGTACCTGGACCAGGTAGAGACTTGATAAATATCTGTAGTTGTTAAATAAATGAAATGTTTATCTTTGCTGATCTCTTAAAAATAAATCAGTTTTACCTACTTGCCATGCAACTCACACTTCCAAGTAATTTGCTTAAAATACTTTATTATATTAATATTAAGGATTTATGTAATAATTCAGATGTATTAAGGGATATGTAAGTTCACTATTTACACAGCATACATCATGGAAGACATTAACCTGAAACATTACAGTTGACTGAACCTAATTACATAAGCCGCTGTGAATGCAAAGTACCCCCTAATTTTATTTTACAATGCATATTAAACTCATTCCTCCAAATACAATGGTTCCATATTGTAGCTTGAAATGTAAACCAGTCCAATGTTTAATTTTGCTTTTAAGATTAAGTAGCACGTGTGTAATTTAAAAGTGACTTGAAACAGCAAGCAGTGTCACTGGGCTTACAATTAATGAGGTGTTGTCAATTGCAAACAAATTGAATACATAAAGCTGTTAACTACAACCTCTGTACTTAACAGACATTCGCTTTCCGTAGCTACACAGCTAATCTTTGTTTTCCTGTGTGAAAGGCAACTGACCATGGCCTTCGTGTCTGACATGTTGTCAGTGTTTTGTTCAGCTACAAATATTGGGCTGAATGAAGATTGATATAAAAATGAATGCTATGATGTTTTTCTAAGTGAATTCATCAATGAGGCCTCATCTACCAGTGTGCTTTCCAAGATGTTATTTGGAAGGTAGATATAAATTTCCAAGTAAACACCTCCAAGTTTGTACCCACAGTACGATGTTTGCTGTTCACTCAATCAGCGTTGTAGATGAGTGCAGGATTCCAGATAAGCCTATGAGTCTAACCCAGCACAGCTAATCTGTCCTCCATCCAGGAGACATGGGTCTAGGTGCGTGGAATTAAGCCATCAAAGCTATGCAAAAGGGGAAATGAACTGGCACTGAGCACTTCCAAAAGAAGGAAGGATACATCAATTCAACCGATGGTCCCTGTACATTTGAAAACAGTAAAAGAATTACATATCTGCATTAAGTTTCCTAGTATTTCCTTCCCGCTCAGGAATTCCAAGCTCCAAGGAAACAAACACAGGCCTGTTGATAGCAAACAAGATTTACTGAAAGAGGGAGCAGGACAGGAAACAAGGGCACAGAGATGACCAGATAAACAAAACAGAAACTCATCAGAGAACGTTTCTGTGTTAAATTAAAGGAATTTTAAAGTCCGTTTGGATGCTGCATGAGACAGGCTGGCCAGATAAGCGTAAACAGTGAACACTGATGACGGGAGGTTTGTGAGTCATCCACTTTACCCCTCTTGAAGTTTTGCTTTAACTATAAATCTGACGGTCACCACTAATGCAATTTACAATCTTGAAGAAAAAAAGCAAATCAGGGTTCTTATCTCCAGGAAATCAATATACTCTCTAATAGTTTTTGAAGAGTGCATCAATTGTGTTAGCCAAAACACGATGATGATTTCTGTGTTTTATACTTAAATGCAATATGAAGTATGGAAAAAGCTGTTTAAAAGAAAGCCATCATGCTTTCAACAATACTGTACAATAATAATAAATAATGAGTCATTCATTAAAACGCACCAGGTAAATAGGTATTAGTATTCTCTTTTAAAAGTACAATCAAATCAAGAAAGTGATTCCCTTTCACTGATACGACTAAACTACCCACTCAAAAATGTTACTTTCTGAGTTTTCTTCAGCTGTGTATTTTACTCAAAGACGTGACAACCTCCAAATCACAGTCTGCAATTCCAGAAGGTGGCACAAAACTAGCTGCCCCAATTCCCAGGCAGCACCCCCTCCAGAAGGCTCCTCTCCATGAGGAGGGGGACTGTTCAGGTCTGCAGAGATGCCCTGGGTTGGGGAGACAAACTGGGGCTTGATCCCAGCTCTACTACCCTCTGGTTACATGGCCCTGAACAACTTAGTTTCCATCTCTGAGCATTGGTTTTGCTAACCATAATATGGGCCCACATCTTACATACATTAAAACTGAGAAAACTCAACCCCGCTAAGTGGATCCACCATTACCCACTATGCCCTCTCATGCGGAGTGTCTTGCCACATTGAGTAGGATTCTGGTGTTTAAAGGAATACAAGCCAGTACTTCATCTGGCATCAGCCAATGATAGTTTTGTGTTCCAATGCTGGAGGAAAAAGTAGCCGAGTTAGACATATGGAGAAATACGCTACTGTTCAACATGCTATCTCCCTAATGGTGAGCGAGAACCCAACCCCCGGGGGGGTGGGGGGCATCCAGTGTACCTGCCTGCCATTGTCACTCTCCAGTGTACCTACCTGCCATTGTCACTCTTGGATTAAGAGAGACCTGGCGCAGTGGCTCATGCTTGTAATCCTAGGACTTTGGGAGGCCGAGGCTGGCAGATCATGAGGTCAGGAGTTCGAGACTGGCCTGGCCAACACAGTGAAACCCCATCTCTACTAAAAATACAAAAATTAGTCAGGTGTGGTGGTGCACACCTGTAATCCCAGCTACTTGGGAGGCTGAGGCAGGAGAATTGCTTGAACCTGGGAGGCAGAGGTTACAGTGAGCTGAGATCACACCACTGCACTCCAGCCTGGGTGACAGAGTAAGACTCTATCTCAAAAAAAAAAAAAAAAAAAAAAAAAGACAACTCTCTTTCCCTTGGTCTCTCTCACTTCCCCTCTTTCTCCCCTCTGGTCTTTGATTGTGACAGCAGCTTCCCAACTCGTCCCCTGTCTAGTTCCTCCCCTGCTAGGCGTCTCCTTTCCTGTGGCCACCATGACTACTTCGGACACACAGAGCCCGTCGCTAGACCTGGTGGAGCAGAGTCTAAACCTCTCAGGCTTGCTCCTCACGCCCACACCAGCCAGCCTCCCAGCCTCCTCTCCCGGCATGCTGTTATCCAGGAAATGTGAAAGCAACTCTAGGAAACCGAACAAAATACCTCCACTATATATAGTCTCAAAGCTCCTCACAGAAGAAAAACAGAAATGTTGGAGGTGAATGTCCAAATGTGCTTTGCCGCAGAACAACTCACAGCGCCTGCTTCTTTGCTCATTCAGATCCTGCCATTCTTAGTTTTAAAATATGCTCATATTAAAACAGCCTTGCTGGTAAGAATGAAATCATACATGCTCTTTAAAATTTTCAACAATCTGTACTCCTTGCAAAAGACAGTTGATTACAGTGGAGATTTAAAATGAAGGAAAAAAACTCATTGTTTTTTCATTCTGCATGAGAGGCTGCAAGCAGCTTTCTATAAAGTAACATTTCCTCACCGTGAGCAAAAGGGAAAACTTAAACACTGGCTACTCTGCCTTGAGAAAACACAATAGACTCCTAATCTTGAAAGAAATAGTTAAGAAGTGACCATTTGTTCTCTAAAAAGATTAGCTGCTTCACAAAAGGATTAGCTATGGTCTTCTGAAAGGTATTAAGCTTACCCAGTGTATATAAAGCACAATTCCAATTAACATAACTTTTCAGGAGTATGTTAATACTGTAATACCAGGTATACTTGTAGTCAAAAATGACACTTGAGCTCAGTATAGACAGGGTAACCTTTTGTCCTTTGTGGGCTGGTGAGGTGCCCTTTACCTATCAGCTGCTGCTCCAAAGTGCTCCACCTCCCAGGGGAGGTCCTTCCTGTTCACTCACATTCCCTCCGCCAAGCAGTTAGGATTTGTCAGGGGGTGACACAGACTCCAACCATCAATCCTACCCAAGATGTTGGTCTTTAGGGTGATAGCCCCAGGGATGCTTTGGAACTGTTGCAGAGGCCACAGCTGGAAGGGCCTAGCAGGCTCAGTGGCCGTGGACCACAGGCCACATTCTTACTAAAAGCTTCCTGTGGCCTGGCCTCGACCATGGTTCAGGCTGCTAGCTTCCTGGGCTCCTCCCTGTTTTCTGAGCCTTGTTCTCCAGCTTCACTATTGATTCTGAGAACTCTGCGGTAGCCGTCTGCCAAGCTCCCTTTCTCACTAAGTTAACCAGTCAGATCCGGGATATTGCCAGGAGCCACAACTAATCCACCCGGGGTCAGAAAAGAATGAGGATCCCTCACCCATACATACTGTTTGGAAAGAGCCAGCCATTCTTTCCTGAAGGAATAAGGCTAAATCAGGTGACAAATAGGATGTCAAAGAAACAGCAGAATACAGCTTCCCAGGCTAGGTCCTAAAGACACTGTAACGTCTTTCTTGCTTTCTCCTGGATCACTCTCTCTGGGTGAAGCCAGCTCCCAGATCATCAGGACACATAGTCCTGTGGATAGGTCCATCTGGCAAGGACTGAAGGCCTCCTGTCCATGGCCAACATCCTCCAGCCATGGAAGTGGATCTTCCAGCCCAAGCCAAGCCCTCAGGTGTGCTGGCTTCAGGCAGGTAAGATGGGGCAAAATTGCCAACCTTGCTCTAGAGCTCAGAAAACAGAAGACTGTGCTGAAGATTGAGTTAGCATAGTTCATAGGAACAGCCTCTGCAGTACCTGGGAATGTGCATTTCCAAGTATCCCAGGGAGCTCCACATGCCTCTGCTTAAAATAGAGCTGGTACCAATGTCTGAGGTTTTCTTGCTTTGCTTATTCATTACAATGTCCGCTTTCTAGAAAGCTCAGCTACTTCAATGCTCCATAACTTCTAGATTTTAAAATTATACATTATTGAGACTTTGCAGAAAAGATACAAATGCCAAGTTATATGGGTCAATTTTTCTGTATTCTGCAGCCCAGTGGGACCTTATTGAACATTAAACTGGGTTATCTCAGTTAATCTTGTAAGTTTTTATTATTGGGTCATCAGATATTCCTTGAGTACAGTGAGGGAAGTTGGGCGGAGGGGAACACATTGACTGTTACCTGATGGTAAAAATCCTGCTGACAATCCCATGTCTGCCTGATCTTGTGGTCTTAAAACAGCTCACCTGGCCAGATGCAGTGGCTCATGCCTGTGGTCCTAGCACTTTGGGAGGCCGAGGTGTAGGCGTAGGATCTTGAGATCAGGAATTTGAGATCAGCCTGGCCAACATGGCAAAACCCTGTCTCTACTAAAAATACAAAAATTAGCCAGGCACGGTGGTGGGCGCCTGTAGTCCCAGCTACTCGAGAGGCTGAGGCACAAGAATCACTTGAATCCGGGAGGCGAAGGTTGCAATGAGCCGAGATCGCACCATTGCACTCCAGCCTGGGTGACAGAGGGAGACTCTGTTTCAAAACAACAACAACAACAAACAAGCTCACCCACCTTCGCTTGCCCTCCCTGCTGAAAACAGTCATGCCTGTCACCCTGTAACTTGTCCCTATTTCGAGCACAAACTCTTTCTCTACAAAAAAGCTTAAGAGTTTGTTCTCTTGTGTTCCTTTCACTTGTTCACTCAGTTTCCCAGAGACATCTTCTGCCATGCACCACGGTTAAGTTTATTTGTATGCATCTTGACACAGTATTTAAACCTCCACCAAATGTACCCTGGACTCATCATGGATATTTTCCAGCTTAAGCCTTCTGTGGGAACATCACTCCCTAAAACCCAGACCAGACATGGAAAAGTAGCACTCCCAGCTCTCCCTGGATCTGTTCTGATCCCTCAGGGGTCTCAGCTTCCACCAACCAGACATCAGGCAGTGGGAAATGAATGCAAGATCCTGACAGAGATACCCGGAAGTAAACTGCATGTGGTTTGAATCCTGTGTTAAAGGAAGATTGTGTCTCCACACTGGGCTGGATGATATCTTGATAGAGTTTCTGTCAAAACAGAAGCTCTCCTTGGAGCCTTTAAAAATAATTCAAAACTTTGGGAGGCTGAGGCAGGTGGATCACGAGGTCAGGAGTTCGAGACCAGCCTGACCAACGTGGTGAAACCCAGTCCTTACTAAAAATACAAAAATTAGCCAAGCATGGTGGCGGGCGCCTGTAATCCCAGCTACTCAGGAGGCTGAGGCGGGAGAATCACTTGAACCTGGGAGGCAGAGGTTGCGGTGAGCCGAGTTCGTGCCACTGCACTTCAGCCTGGGCAACAGAGCAAAATTCCGTCTCAAAAAAAAAAAAAAAAAAAAAAATTCAAACTGGTTTTCACATCAGGATCAAAACAGGCAAGCGATTCCATTATGAGGTTCTTCCCAGACTTGTAGCACTCGCTCTGGATAGCCAAGACTCCTGGGGCCAGGTCAGGGTGTCCCCACACTCTGTCTGCTTCTGGGAAGCCTGCCCCACCCCTCACCTGATAAGGTGATTGGATTATCTCTTTGAAATTGGGCAACAACAGGGAGAAAACACTGGACATTTCTTGGACTTGCTTTGCTATTACTCATGTCAAAAGAATGGCACGCCAGCCGCTATGCCGGGCTGAGCACCAGCTCTCCAGGCCTCTGCCTGGGACAGGAGTGCAGGCTGGGAATGCCGCCAGACGCTCAAGTTAGCCACAGCTGCCCACAGAGCTGCCACTGTTGCCACTAAGGGCTGGGTCTGGGGTCAGAGCAGTCCCTCCACCAATGCTGAGGTCACTAGCTGAAGGCCTGAGGGAGGCCGAGCTTGGCTGGGTCTGGGGTTCTGGAAGACGAGGTCCTAAGAGATGAAGCTGAGGATGGGAAAAGCCAGAGAGGGCAGAGGGGGAGGGAAGATGGGAGCAGGGAGGGAGCCAGAGAAAGGAACCTGGGCAGAAATGGCCCGACAGAAGCCGCTGTGCCTGGGGCTCTCAGCCCACCCACCTTGGTATAGAGTTCAGTCCCCTTTCTATGTTGTGGCTGGGAACAGAGTGGCAGGAACACACATCTCTTACGGGTTCAGTGGAACTCTTTAGAAGAAGGCCTAGCAAAAGTGGTATCATGTGTGGCAGATGGGGTTCTGTGGAGCAGAGAGCTGGGCAACCACTTTGTCCTAAGTGCCCACTTGGATGACAGGCCCCTAATGAATACACATGGCCCCGGCCCACCTGGAAGAGAAGAGCACAGCTCCTGGCATGAGGCCTTCTCAATCCCACACGGACAACACAAGGACCTCAGAGCGGCCCTCGATGGCCCCCTGGCCCCCTTGCCCCACGGAGTCTCCAGAGCAGGGCTGAGCTCCGCACAGACAGCCCCTTACGGGACTGCCTCCCACAGGACCCCCAGATTCAGGTTAGGTGTCCGGCGGCAAAGAATGCAAGGGCACCTATGGGTTTTGTTCACCATTGGAGTCTCAGCACCAGAAGGCCTTCCATTCACATGTGTTAAATGAACTTGAGACAGTGAATGAATGAATGGAACTGTGTAAATGACCATGTGTGGTGGCTCCTGTGGCTTCAGGGCTGCTGGGAGTGATCTCTGTCAGCTCAGCTGCCTGACATCCCAACATCAGCAACTTGTTTATTTAGTTAGCCTTTCTCCAGTAGCCTTCTTTCAAAAAGCAGCTCTTAAAATTGGACTTCATGAATTCACTAACAACTTGTCATGGATTAGTCTATTCCATTGCTTTCCTTTAGCAATTTCCTCCAGCAGTTTCACTTCCTGCAAGAGCAAAGTTCCTGCCCAGCACAGGGCTTCAGACTCAGCATCGATGCCTGCCTTCCACCGGCACCCTGAGCCACAGCACCCTGTCCATTCCTCCTGGACTCCCCTCCTGCCCTCTGCATTGAAGAAAGTCCTGACCTCATTCTGGGACCCTACAGAAGACCCTGGCATTCTCCACCCTGGCCACACTTGGAATTTCCTGGGGGAGCTTTGTAAAAAATGCAGCTGCCCTGGCCTCACTGTAGAACTTGGAGCCAATCATGAGAGCAGGGTCCAAGCAGGAGGCTCTCGGGAACCTCCCCTGTGACTCTGAGGCACAGCCCTGCTGGGCAACAGCTCAGTGAGCCTCTCCTGGCCCCCAGCTCTGTGCCCCCAGCCCAGTCCCTATAGACGTCCACATCCCTGGCATCACCTCCCCCAGTTCAAGATGGAGCTCACGTCCCTCCTGTGATTCTAAAGCCCTTCCCAGGCAGGTCCAGGTGTCTACCCCGGCCTTCCATCTGACTGCTCCCTGAGTGAGCCTGGAGGCCACAGGACGCCTCTTCCCACCCCATCCCCAGCAGCCGTGTGGCCCCTGCTTCCACACATAGGCATCACTCCTCCGTCTTGGGGATTATTGGTCTCAATCCCTTTTCAAATCCCTGCCCTGCTGCTACCCTATCTGGGCCTCCAGTTCCTTCTGTCAAAAATGCACTAATTGCTGCCCTCACCTGGTTTTGCAGCTGTGAGCACTGACCGAGTTAACATGTCCAAGTGCTTAGAGCAGGATCTGGCTGGCACTCAGCAAGTGCACCCTCAACACCAGTGATCGCTGGTATTATCGTAACGAGTATTTCATTTATTGCCCTGGACCCCCACTGAAAATAGGACACTTGCCAAAGGAGCTGTGTTTCCACCTCTGGCCCCTGGGAAGACAGAGGGCCCAAGCCTGGATTATCAGAACAGGGCAAGCCCCAGACACCGAGGAAGCTTTGAGGTTGGGCCAGTTATCCAAGCCTGGCTCGTCAGAGCCAAGGAGACTCATGTCTGGGTTGATCTGTAGGGAAACGCCCTCTCCTTACACAGGGAAGACAGAATGTGAGTTTGCTGGAGGCCCCACAGGACTGAGTCTGTCAGAGCACATATGAGAGAGAGCCAGGGCCTTGGTGGCAACATCTGGCCATGTGGATCCAGTTGTACCTGAGCTTTCAGTTTTGTAAGTCAACGCCCCTATGAACTTGACTGAACTTGAGTCATATTTCCATCTCGTGCATCCCTAAGGTCCCTGACTGATACGGAACCCAACCTCCCTTCAGCCCCGCCAGTGTATGGGGTGGTATCACACAGCTGCATTTGCACTGAAACGTCCTGGAGAGACCAGGGAAGTCCACGAAAGAAGAAGGGTTGCCCCAGGCTCGGGTACAGTGCCTCTAGTAGACTTACCCATAAATGCAATCTGGGTGGACTACAGCTGAGTCAGCCATGGGGGTTGGTCCCTCTGCCCTGCCACTGGGACTCCCCCACCTAGGAGCTTTGAAGAAGCAGGGCAGGGTGCTTGGCCACATGAGCTGTCACACGCCCACCAGCAATCTGGGAACTGGTACCCTGGCTGGGGTCAGGGAGCAAAGTGGACCCTCAGCCAGACCCAAAGCAGAGGCAGCAAGAGACCCCTCATGCTCCAAGGGGCTGCCCCTTCCCAGTGGGACTCAAGGTGCTCTTCTCACGGAGGCTTTCCAGCCTTCACAAATGCCTTGTGTCATTTGTTACTAGAGGCTGAGCTCAGGGTAACCAGCTATCAATTGCTTCCCAGGCTCCACGCACTTTCTTACCATTAGCTAAGCCCATTGCATTCAAACAGTTGAGTAACTCCCACCCAACATCATTCTAGCCACAAACTCGCAGCAGTTACCCTGAGAGAGCATGGCCACACTTCCTGCCTGCTAGGGCTAAAAATGGACACAGCACGCCGAGCCTGGCTGCTCCAATTTCCAAGATGCCAAGCCACTAAAGAAAGCATAACCTCCATAAAGCATTTACAAATTACTACTACACTGAAAAGGAAAAAAAAAAAATCCACTGCTAAGTAAAATAACCACGATTGATGTCACTGATTTCTACCCAGCACTGCCCATTCATTCAGGATGTGTATTTTGACATAACCAATAATAAATCATTTGTAAACAAAAGCATGCTGCACATAAGATGTTTCCACACGCTACTGCCTTCTCAAGCATCTCCTGGAAGTAATTTGCCAGGCGGAAACCACACCCAGAGGACTAGGGCCAAGCAGACAAAAGATGGATGCACAGTAATGAAGTCATAGCTTCTCACCTTCAGATCCTGCTAAAGGTTGGAGTGCACTTCTGTCTAAACAGATGAATAACCCGGGCTTTCTTCTTATGGATGCAGATGAGGGACCTCCATTTCCTGAGGCCCAGCACCATAAGCCGTGTTGCAGGCACAGGAAGGAGGGATAAGGGGTCAGTCCACTAGAGGCAGCACAGAACAGAACAGGAAGAAGGCAGCCCACGGGTGGCAGGAGCAGGCAGCGTGCCCCTGGGCAAGTCTCCCTTTCCTCATCTGCAGCTGGCCTCCAGCTCTGGCTCTAAATAAGGAGATGGAATTGTTCGCCAAACTTCTCAAATTGTTAACATCTAAAGCGCAAGGGTAGAATTTAACTTTGGTTTTTGGTGAACTGAAAGACTTGGACAAAAATTATGTTTCTAGTTATATTCAAACCTATGAGAAAGGTTATTGAGAAAATCACCAGAAATGAGTGAAATTTTCATTTTTATTTGAAGACAATGCATTGAAGGGCTGGTCCTTCAGTGTGCAATGAAGTCCATTTCCTGGGCACACCAATGGAGCCAAATCTGCCTCAGTCCTAGGCACTGCCCAGCACAGAATGGTACCTGGGTAAGGTCTGATGTGTAAAATAAAGGTACAAAATGAATTTTTGCATCTTCAAGATACACCTACAACTCCTATAATAGACTTGTCCATAAATGCACCCTGGGTTTCCAAGAACCATGACTTTGAGATGTGTTCCAGCCCAAGGAGGCCCCAGTTAAACTTCCCTCTTCCCTGAAGGGAAGATAACTCTTGCACTTCCCAGTCAGGCCAGTTCTTTGCAATTTTGCAAAAAGACTCCTTCATACTCCTTGAGAAATACACATCCACGCTCAACAGCCGTGGCTCTTCCTCGCGGGCAGGCCCTGCCTTTGCTCTTGCTGTCATTGTGTGTCTGTCCTCCGACTCTGCCAAAGTGACAACTGCCAGGATGCTGACTGGGCAGGGGTTGCCCAACAGCCATGAAGCCAGCCCTGGGACTTGGTTTGCATGAACAGCCAAGATTCTTTCAGCCTTTTCCCCAAGCTCCTTCAATAATTTTCATTTCTTCCATATAGATTTTCTCTCTTTTTTTTTTTTTTTTGAGATGGAGTCTCGCTCTGTCGCCCAGGCTGGAGTGCAGTGGCGTGATCTCGGCTCACTGCAAGCTCCGCCTCCCGGGTTCATGCCATTCTCCTGCCTCAGCTTCCTGAGTAGCTGGGACTACAGGCGCCCACCACCATGCTGGGCTATTTTTTGTGTGTTTTTAGTAGAGATGGGGTTTCACCGTGTTAGCCAGGATGGTCTTGATCTCCTGACCTCCTGATCTGGCCACCTCGGCCTCCAAAAGTGATGGTATTACAGGCGTGAGCCACTGCACCAGGCCGATTTTCTCCTTTTTTAAAGGAAGTTTAAAGGGGGTGCTCCAAGCCAGCCTGAGGTCTTTAGATAAGAGTCATGGGAGCCAGAGAGAGAGCAGGGTGACTCCTGTTTGTCCCCATCAGAGGCTGAGGGTCACCTCATGGAGCTTCTCGAGATCATTCTCACCTACTTTGTAAGTGGGAGCAGGAGACATCACCCCCTGTGAGCCGACTTCTCTGATGACAACAACCATCATTATATGGCTTTTTTTTTGAGATGGTGTCTCACTCTGTCACCCAGGCTGAGTGCAGTGGTGTGATCTCAGCTCACTGCAACCTCTGTGTCATGGGTTCAAGCGATTCTCCTGTCTCAGCCTCCCAAGTAGCTGGGATTACAGGTGCGTGCCAGCGTGCTCAGCTAATTTTTGTATTTTTAGTAGAGATGGGGTTTCACTATGTTGGCCCGGCTAGTTGTGAACTCCTGACCTCATGTGATCCACCTACCTTGGCCTCACAAAATGCTGGGATTACAGGTGTGAGCCACCGTGCCCAGCCTACATGGCATTTTATTAGGAATATTGTCTAGACCCTAAGAATGTACAGTGTAACCCAATTTTCAAAATAAAAAAAATTTTTTTGAGACAGGTTCTCGCTCTGTCACCAAGGCTGGAGTACAGTGGCATGATCATGGCAGCCTCGACCTCCTGGGCTCAAGTGATCCTCCTGCCTTAGCCCCCGGAGCAACTGGGACTACAGGCATGCACCATCATGCCTGGCTAATATTTTTTAGAGACAGTATCACTATGTCGCCCAGACTGGTCTCAAACTCCTAGCCTCAAGCAATCCTCCAACCTCAGCTTCCCAAAGTGTTGGGATTACAGGCATGAGCCACTGCACCTGGCCCTGTAAGCCAAATTTAACAGAAAGATGACAGTTTAGCGCAGTGAAGCACAAACATTGGCACCATCAGTTTCATGCTGAAAAACTCTCTTCGCTTCCCTTTGGACAGACCCTCCCTGCTGGAATCAGCTGCTTGGATTCCACATGTTGGAGCGGCTTCCCCCTCTGGCACCCTCAAACTCAGCTCACACCCTGGGCGCACCATCATCTCGTAAGCCTGTGTCTGGTCCGGATGCATCCAGTCACCCTGGCCGAAAACTGCGGGGCCTTGGTTCTCACTCTCATCCTCTCACCCACATGGTCATGTTGCCTATAAATCCAACCTGCTGAGTCGGTTTCCCCCGTCACCTCCATTCTGGCTTTCCACACACAGCCAGCAGGGGACCCCTTCTCAAACTCACAGCTGAGCATGCTGCTGGGCTCTGTGGGGCTGGCCAGGCCGCACAAAGGGGACACACCTGGAACCTGTGAGCCTCAGGATGGGGGGAGGGGTGTTAGGAAAGACTTGCTGAAACTATACAAATGACTGTGTGCACACATGCGTTTTTCTGGAGAATGAGTCCATAGTCTTCCCTAGAATCACAAAGGGGGTCATAATTTAAGACACGGTAAGAACTGCTGGTCCGTCACACAGAATCCAGACTCCTGGATGGTGTACAAATGTTTGGGTGATCCTTAAACTTTCCACCTTTTTGTCCCATCCCCTCTGTCCCTGGGCTCCAGCTCCATGCAGACACCTGCTCTTCCCCAGACAGGACACACCGCTTCCTACTGCCAGGCAAGCACATGGTAGCCCCTCTGTCTGGAATGCTCAATCCCTGTCAGCTGCCTAGGAAATGGCCCAGTAAACCAAGCCTGCTTGTATTAGTCTGTTTTCATACTGCTATAAAGAACTGCCTAAGACTGGGTAATTTATAAAGGAAAGAGGTTTAATTGACTCACAGTTCAGCATGGCTGGGGAGGCCTCAGGAAACTGACAATCATGGTGGAAGGGGAAGCAAGGCACCTTCTTCACAAGGCGACAGGAAGGAGAAGTGCACAGTGAAGTGCACAGTGAAGTGAAGGGGGAAGAGCCCCTTATAAAACCATCAGATCTCATGAGAACTCACTCACTATCATGAGAACAGCATGGGGGAAACCACCCTCATGATCTAATCACCTCCTACAAGGTCCCTCCCCCAACATGTGGGGATTACTATTTGGATTACAATTCAAGATGAGATTTGGGTGGGGACACAGAGCCAGACCACGTCACTGCTCTACCTGGGGAGGCCCTTCCATGTCTCCCCTCCTCCACAGGAGCATCCAGCATCACATTTAACACTCCCTGGAAGTGAGTTCTGTCTTCCTGTGGACCTGGAGCATCCACAGGATGTCACAAGCCATCGTGCCTTTTTTTTTTTTTTTCCCTGTAACTCCAGCGCTAAGCACAGTGCTTGTACGTACGGATGCTCCTGGGCTTACAGTGAGGTCATATCCTGATGAACCCCTTGTAAATAGAATATATCATAAGTTTAAAATGTACCCAATGCCCAATAAACCCATTGTAAGGTTGAGAAACTATAATAAAACCATCATAAGTTATAGATCCTCTATATACTGTAGGTAGTCAATAAAGGTTTAATACTTCCATTTGTTCCTTCTAAATGATATTACAGACTCTTAAACACTATTTACATTTGATGAAAACCAAAAAATATCCTTTGAAAGAATGTTGTTGGCTAGCTAAGAATAGGCCTGGCTTGGCACAACACAGTACAAAATTATTAAATTTCTGGCTCTTGCATTTTTATATTACTTTGGGTCCAAATCTGGACTTTGCGCAAAAGAATTTAAATGGACAGACTGATAACATCTCCAGTAGATGACTGAACTTTAGCTGATGTTTGCAACCTTGGCAAAAAGTAATTTATTGAATTACTGAAGCACTGAACGAAGGGCTGCTATGAGCTTAGGAAAAGAGAGCGCTTAGTCAACAGCAGTTCAAAATTAAGGACGAGGTTACTGGTTCAGAGTACTTTTTTGACCAGTACTTAAATGTCCAACTGTTTATGAAACTAAGGTTGCTTTCAGAAAGAGGAAAACCATACTGGAAAAAAAGTGTTAATCACAATGAAAAATTTTACTAGTAACAATGTAAGTTTTGGGATGATTTGAAATAATGTGGCTGGAAACAGAAGTTTCTTTTTTTGATAAGTAGACTTCCTAGTGCAACTAGGATTGTACAGGAGTTTTATTTTTACATATTTAAGATGCTAAAATGTGTTATTCTCTTTGGAAGAGCATTTACATGCTTTCTATTCATTAAAGTAAGTACCGGAAGGCAACGTTTTGTTGGCCTGGATTGAGTTACTATAAATCCTCGAATTTAATAAAAATCCACAATATTCAGGCTTTTTATTAATTCATACTGATTTCCTCCCCAGGAATTTTAAGAGAGCTTCTGCTTCAGAGATTCAGAGTGTTTGGGTCTGAATATTAGCTCCACGCCCTGACATGAGGATATGCCACCCCTGTGCTCTCTGAAATTGTCCTGGGTCAATCCTTGGTCCTTATCTCGTGCCCAGCAAGCAGGGCTCACATTCCAGGTTGAAAGGGAACTTCCAGGTCTCCTCGGTTGACAAGATTGGAAGATAAAAGCTCACCATCTGAGAAGTGCTTTCTCTCCTACGTCTAGAACAGTGGGAAAGCGCCCTGAAGAGAGGAAGGATTTGGAAAGAAACACCGACATCTGTAGGAAATATTCTGTGCTGAAAACCAACCTGTTAGTTGAATTCACTAGCAGGTCTCTCTGGAATCAAGAAAACAAGCTGGAGAATTCCATAGGGAGGATTTACTTTGTCTTCCCCAGAGGAGGCTGGAGGCCTTCCCACCTCCAAAGATCCATCCCATGTTACCTCAGTAACAACCTAGCCTTTTTCTGAAAGTGTGTTTTATAACAAGTGGATGGGGTTAGAAGAGTTAAGAGTAGAGCCTATCCTGGGAAGTATGATAGTGTCAGAAAAACAGGCCACCGGTGTCCGCAAAGCCTGTATTTCCACCTGTGCTGTGTGTGTCAGTCTGTTCTTGCATTGCAATAAAGGAATACCTGACGCTGGGTAATTTATAAGGAAATGAGGTTTAATTGGCTGATGGTTCTGCAGGCTGTGCACAAAGCATAATGCTGGCACCTGCTTCAGGTGAGGCTCAGGAAGCTTCCAATCAAGGCAGAGGGAGGGAGCCAGCATGCCACACAGTGAGAGTGGGAACAAGAGAGAGAGTGGGTGGGGGGTGCCACATTCTTTAAAATGACCAGATATCATGTGAACTAGCTGAGCAAGAACTCACTCATCACTAAAGGGATGGCGCTAGTAATCATGAGGTACCTGCCCCCATGATCCAATACCTCCTACCAGGCCCTACCTCCAACGCTGGGGACCACATTTCAACATGAGATTTGGAGGGGACACACAGCCAAACCATATACTGTGTTTCCAACAACAGAATAAAAAGCTTTACCCCATGACAAGGATTTCAGACCAAAAGGCTGGTGGATGAGGTGGGGGCAGGGTAAAGAGGAGAGTCCCAGGGTCGGACATCAAATTGTGGAAGTAGGTGTCCACCTCTGAGGCCAGCCTCTTAATAAACTGGAGAAGAAAGGAAGGCTGGAGCTCCCTAGAGTTTCACCGGGAACCTGCCTGGACAGGAGCTTCCATTTCGTCTGGGCTGTGCTTGGTGGGTGCGTTCCCGACCCTCAGAGCGCCCTTGTGCATGTTAGCCGAGGAGTCAGGGCCAAGCCTGTGGACAGCAAACCAGTCTGCACCGCAGACCTATGAAAGTCCTACTGTGGAGACACAGCCTGAAAAATGCCAATGCCAAGTCCTTCTGGAGTGAGAGGACGCCAAAATAAAAGGACTTAGTACAGAGGTCATTTAAAATAATACACTGTAATCAAGTAGCTATGTGATAGGACATTTAAAAATCTCAGTTGAGAAGAAAGATGGAACTAATTTTCTCTCTAGTACAAAACTGGTGACTAATGTTCAGCTGGAAATGTCCAAACAGATTTAGGGACATTAATAACCAAAAATTATGTTTGTGCATTTATTGAATAGGAATTAAATGACTTGCCTTGAGGACAAAGCGACTGTGGCAGAGGAGAAGTCAGGGCTCACATCATCTCAGGCCTTTGATTCCGGTCCCCTGGGCCCTTGCCTTGTGTGAGACCGCTGGCCCTTTGGTGATCATGGGGCCAGGCCTCTGCGTACCACCTCCACCGATCCCCGTGCAGCTGCCTTGGCGGCATCATGCTCCCCACCGTAAAGACTTGGGCTCACACTGGGCCAGGGGAAGTCCCTTGCCTTGTCCAGAGCCTCAGTCTCATGGGCCCCCATCTGATCCCAGTCATTCTGCTCCTAAGTCCTTTCCCTGAGCCCCAGGCTGTGTCACCTCCCTTGAAAATAAAGCCCCGTGGCTTCCACTTGCTGCTGGTATTCAGACAGAGTAAAATCATGGCAGGGAAGGCCTCCGCCACTTGGCCTCCTCCACTGCTACCTGGACAGGCTCCTACTCAGTTCTATTACCTTCATCCATCCATCTCTCCATGTCACATACATGCACAGAGTGAGCTCTGAGCTCCAGGCATTGTGGGACTGGCTGTCCATCCCTGGGAGCTGACGACAGAGTCATGTACCTGCCCAGGGCGCTCACACCAAATGCTATTGTTCCCATGCTAGCCCTTCCATTGGATCAAATGTAGTGTAGCTGGCACCCAGACCTGGGATCCAAACAAGTTTTCCTATCAATTCTTTACTCTCCACCCAACAAACACTAACATCAAAGCACCTGCCCAAAACACGTTTGGTTTTTAGCACATAACTAAGAATCTTTTTTTTTTCTTCAAACATTTCCCTACTCCCTGCTGGACTTTATATTTGTTTTTGGGAGAAAGATTTCTCTGCCCCTTTTGTTACTTGTTACAATATACATAATGGACCGGATTAACTGAACATTCTTGATTGCATTTGAAAGATATTTTTAAAAACAGATGCCCTTTTAAAATATTTTATCTGGCCCCTATTTCATTGGGAATCAATATAAAAGGATATGTTTATTTTTCTGAAATATATTGTTAAGAATTTGTATTTCTTAAGCTCAATCAAAGCCTCTGAAGTATTCATACAGTTGAAAGAAAGATGTGGGGCCCACATTTCTGGCTGTGAGCAGGGTGTTGTTAACAGTTCAAAGGCTGGGCACCACATCAATACTCCCCACATGGAACACCTGGACAGGGCAGACCATGATGGGTATGACTGGGAAAACAGCAGCCAGAGCCCAGGGAAGAAAAGGAGGCTGCCTTCATAATCCCCAAACCAGGGGTCTCCTAGCCCACATCCAGCAGCGAACGACCCCGCAACTGCTCATCTGTGTCTGCTCAAGGATTGGTAACATTCGACCAACTCTTATTGCCTCAGGTATGGCTGATCTAAAATCCCAGCCATCTAAAATATCATCCAGCACTCTGCTTTTGGTGAAAAAAAAAAATCCTAGTGACAAAATAATGAGAAGTTAATCCTCCAAAATAAACTCTTGATATGTCTAGGGCCAGTACCTAAAATTGGCAGCACGCTACATGTACCCACGGGCCTCTCCTCACTCTCTCTAGATTTGGTGTCCAGAGCAGAGAGACACGTGGCCCAAATGCTGAGCCAAGAAACAGGAGGCCTCCCTGCCTGGGATCCAGCCTTGTACGGAGTCAGCAGCCCTTCCTGCCCAGTGGTGGGGAAGGGGTGAAATCGGGCGGAAGTGCAGCAGCTGTGAGGGGCCCAGAGATGGCCCAGGACAGCCCCTTTCTTTGGATAAGCAAAGTGAAGTTCTGAGAGTTTCTAGGGTAGGCCACAGCTTCCTAGCTTTATGTTCTGGTCTAGAAGCTGCTCTCTTACCCTGATTCCAGACACCTGATTCTAGGCCACACTGCTTCTCAGGGGTGGGTTTCGTTTGCTTTTGCAGTGCCTCACACCCAGCCTGGTTTAATTCAGGCCACGAGCCTGGTTAATGTGCACAGCAAGTTGCATTTCTGCCTCATCGATCACTGGAGTCAATGGTGCATATTGAAGAATGAATGCCTTCATGGTAAGTGATAACATTATGGGATTAAAATACTTAATCACGCAAAATTTACATAATAATCATTTAGATTGCCATGCAAAAATTATCTGGCATGCCACACCACACTGATTTGACCTACTGATCTGGATGATGCACAAAAGGTATCTATCTATTTGTATGGTTTTTGGCTTGGTTCATGTATTCATTCAAACTTCATTGATTCTTTTTTTTTCCATGACAGGGTCTTTCTCTGTCAACCAGGCTGGAGTGCAGTTGTGTGAACATGGCTCACTGCAGCCCTGACCTCCCAGGCTCAGATGTTTCTCTCACCTCAGCCTCCTGAGTAGCTGGGACTACAGGTGTGCACCACCATGCCCATCTAATTTTTTTGTGTTTTTGGTACAGAGTTCCATCATGTTGCCTATGCCGGTCTGGAATTCCTGGCCTCAAGTGATCTGCGTGCTTCAGCCTCCCAAAGTGCTGGGATTACAGGTGTGAACCATTGCACCCGGCCTCAAACTTCACTGATTCTTACATGTGCAATGCACAGCATTAGATGTTGTAGGGGAAAGATAACCACAGTTTACTGCATACCAGCCAAGCGGCCTGTCAATTATATGTATCCTATGTCCCCCTCACAGCAGCAGCCCTGGGAAGTAGCGATGATTACTCCCATTCTAGAGAACACTGAAGCCTGCATTTTGAGTCATTTAGCCAAGGTCACACCAGAGTCAGAACTTGACTGACTGAACCCAAAGTACATGCTCTCAGAGACACACCCTCCACCCTTAAAGCACTGGCTGCCTAGTGGAGGAGATAAACTACTTGAGCAAGTGAACTGGAAATCAAAGTCAAGTCCAGTAAGTGCTTTAGGACAGGCAGAAATAACGTTCTATGGAACCAAGAGTAAGAGAGATTCCTCTCAGGTAGGGGAGCCAGGAAGGCTTTGTGGAGACTGAGACTTTTGAGGTGGGCCTTGAGGTATGGGTAGGAGTTTCTAAGATGGAAATAAAGGGGAAGGAGGCTGAGAGCAGGGAGCTGAGTCTTGGGATCTGGAAAGCTTTGGGAGCTTTATGGAAGACAAAGCCATTGGGTCAGTAGGAAGAAAGCCAAAAGAAAAACTAGAGATGTTCTTAGAACTGTAGTTTTCTTCCCAAGTGATATTCAAATATTAAGAAGGCCAGTCTTTACCCTAATGGATACATTCATTCCTGCTTTGGCAACAGAACTTCTGTGAGGGTGACTCAAATGTTATAAATGAAAAAGACTTGTCTAGCAAGGGAATACGGGGCAGCTTCGATCCTGTTCCCTCCCTGCTCCCAAGCCTGCCTCCCTGGGAGGTCACTTGGGGTGTCTCTGGTCCAAGCCAGCAGTCATTTTAGCAGGTGAGTCCAGCATCTCCAGAAGGGCTGGCCACATGAGCCCTGGATGGACCATGCCCATCCACATCGGCAAAAATGTGTGGCTGCCTATCAACCATACAACATCCACGCAACAGACACACACTTGCTCCATCAGCACATGCGCTTCGGGAAGGTCTCACTTCCAAGTTGTTTATCCATGGACAGTAGTCCTCAAGGCTCCACTGGTAGGCACATGGCTGGGCACTGGAGATACAGTATTGCCCTCTCTTCACAGAAACTATAGTCTGGCATACATTTCAGAAGCAACATGGAGGCTGGTGGAATTGGATGGATAAAGACAACACTGGGAAAGTACTGGAAGGGGAGGGGAGATCACAAGTTTGATTTTGACGCATTGAGTCAAGGGGCATTTGATATCCCAGGGAGAAATGTCAAGTGGGCAGCTGCGGAGGAGAACTACAGAGGAGTGGCCGGGCCTAGAAACACACCTCTGGCCTTCAGGGAGGGAATATTGATCAGCGGTGCACCTTAGACTAGGCTAATGGTGGTGCAGATGGAGCACAGTGGACCCACTGAGGCACAGCTGGGAGAAGCATACTTTCACCAGTTGAAACTGATGCATCTACCATCACCCCCACTGTGAATGCATCTTCTCTTGGGGTTTGGGGGCAAGATTTGCACACACAGCCACCTCTCTTCTCAGGGGCAAGGATGTACACACACAGCCGCATCTACTCTCAGGGGCAATGGTTTGCACACACGCATCCCTGGAGAAGAGGGGGCTCCCATCAGGGCACAGTGCTTCAGGACCTCCTCCAGGCTTCCGTGGAGGTGGCGGTGCTGACACAGGGAGCGCATCTCTCTCTGCCAGCTGTCCCCCACAGAAATGAGAGGTGGCCTCTGTGTGACTTTCCGCATTGTCCTCACTTTGTGTCCACACAGGGCCTCCAAGAAGCATCACACGTAAAGACAATAACACCCTCATCGACTTCCCTCAACTGGTTTGACTGGAACTGATGAGGGAGTGTGTGACTAAGTCCCAAGCCATCTGGACACATCCAGTGACCTGACCTTTTACAGAGACAAATCTAGCTCCTAGCTCTTGTCCACATGGGAACGGTCTGTTGGGGCAGGGAGGGGGCGGTGGTGACTCACAGGCATCACCAACATCAATGAACAAAAATCTTGGCCCCCAAGGTCAGATTCAGGGGCAGAGCCTTGTCTGGGAAGGGCTGGGTGGTACGTCAGGCCTCTCTCACTGACAGCGCAGCCCCCACCTCTTGGGCCTGCTCCACCTCGCCTCTGACCTTTTGCTCCCCAAATGCCAAGAGCCTGTGCTTGGAAAGTACAGACCCTAACCCTGTTCACACCACAGAGCTCTGCCCATACCATGCTGGCTGAGTGACCGTGGTGGTCAGACGCTTGCCCCAGCCACTGGCCCCCACCATTTCATGCCCTCCTCTGGCCATTATCCCAGTTTTGGAAACGACCCTCCACACCCCCCCTCCCCACCCACATACACACAGTTTAAATGGACAAGAGTCGTTAGTGTGCAGAGGCAGAACTTCATCCATCTTTGGGACACAAAGACCTCCAGACGCCCTGGGTCAAGGGGTACCTGGGGCCAAATGCAGAGCTGACTGGACATGGACACAGTAATTTCTGTATCACGTGATCACTCTTTGCTGGTGTTCATTCAACTCACCTATACGCTCATTCACTCTAAAATACAAGCAGAGAGCTGTATTCTTTCTTTGAGTTTCCTGGATTGAAACTCTGATGGAATGGTCACGACTCAAGACAAACCAATATCATAATTCTGCAAGTATAATTGCCTAATCTTTCTGGAAAGGTTTGCATGCCTGGAAGGAATTTAGGTCAGGTCCAGCGCGGTCTCCATCCGGCTTGGCTCTGCCTCCCCATCCTGTGGGTTGCCCGGCCTTCCCCAGATGGTCCCGGGAGCTCTCAGAATTGGCACCGCGCTCGCATCTGTGCTCAGGAGCCCTGTGAGGTCGTCGACCCTGCAAATCGCGGCAGTCCAGCCTGGACCACCTGCCAGGGTCTCCCTGCCGCATCTCCGACCCCCGGCGGCTGCTGCATCCCGCTCCACCTGCCTCCCTGGGAAGGCGCGGGCGCCCGCCCGGCTGCGGGGCAGCATCCTGGCAGAGCGCCGGCCCCTCCCAGAGTTGGCACAACTCGAGCCACTTTCTTCAAAGGCTCCAGCCTCCAGCCTCGAGTGGGCGCAGCCCCCCACGCGCGGCCTGCACCCCCTCTCTGTGTCGCCCGCTTTCACGTACGCCGCCCTGCCGCCGGCCCCCGCGCACTGTAGCCACCCGCAGACACGCGCGCCCTCCTCCTGTTTACCGAGAGGGAGCGTGAGCACTGCCACTGTGGTCGCCAAGTTGGGCTGGGGACTCCGGGTGAGGGGACGCGCCACAGGCCGGGGTCGGGGGTCGTACGGGCCCCAGCCGCTGGTACTGGGCGCGCCGCGGGGGCGGCGGGGCCGGGGTCCGGACTCTGAGCCCCGGAGCGGCCCCTCCCTCCCGCGGCAGCGGCCGAGGCAGCGCCCCGGCCTGCTTGGGCCTCCCGGGGTGCACAGTTCCCCACAGGGGCGCAGGGTCCCTGTCCGCACGCGCGCTCACCTCGGGGGGGCCGGTCTGGTCGCGCAGATCGCGCTGCAGCGGAGGCTCCGCATCTCCCGGGCGCCTGCCCGCCGCCCTCCGGGGCGCCCGGCTGTCTTCGCCGGGCGCGAAGAAGGGTCGCGGGGACGCGCAGAGGCCGTGGGTTCCTGAAGCCGCTCGCGCCGGCTCCTGCCGCCCGCTGTCCGCAGCCTAGCAGGAAATTTGTCCGGCCGGCCGCGTCCCGCCGCCGCCTCGGCTCCAGCTCCGGCTGTGGCTCCGCGGCGGGGGCGGGGGCCTGGGCGCTGCGAGGAGCGGGGGCGACGCCTGGTGCCCGGCGCGGGGAGCGCATCCAGGGCGCCCGCCCCACCTGCGAGGCGGGTATGGCCCTGAGGCCCTGCGGCCCTGCCCTGGGAGCACCCAGACACTGTGGGCATCCGTTTACTCAAGGCTGGTGCCCCTTCCGGGGAGGCCTGGTCCAGCCACTCCGCCGGGACCCAGGTGCGTAGACAGAGGGTCAGGGTATGGCAGGCACTCACACCTGGTGGAGAGCAAAGGCAAGGCCCTGCCTCTCCCTGCCCTATCCCTGTGCACCAGGAAGTGGCCTGACTAGGGACTCGCCCTGGTCTTGCAGCAGGTGTGGGACACGCAGGGCACCCCGTGCGCTTCTGGTGCGAGGAAGCTGGGAGAGCTGTGAGGTCGCTGGGCCTGGTGGCCTCCTCTGGAAAGAGGAGGGGATAAGGCGCCTGTCTGGGGGATGTAGAAGAGGGCTCGCTTGTCCCGAAGGCAGTATCTGTCAAAGTTAAAAACGCACAAAGAGAAAGAAGAGCGACAGAGCCAGGCACTGGGCCTGCTGTCTAGCCGACTTCTTCCAGGGAATTTCACTCAAGCTATTTAGGGAGCTTTCAGAGAAAAGGCAGTTCCCTGGAAGGAGCAGAAAAGACACTGGTGGCATGTTGGTTCTGAACCTTTGTGCCGTGCCCTCTGGATGGGGCCACGGCCCAGCCCTCATGAGGGAAGCTGCATTCTGTGGTAGGGACCCAGCTCATTAGGCTTATGAATGAATGAATGGATGGGGAGAAAGTGGCACTTACGGTGTGTTACCCCACGTTGCACCGATTGCCAGCCGACGACTCTTAGCATACTTAAGGCCTGTTTAGACAGAGCTACGGACCCCAAAGGCTGCAGAGCAATGGGTGCCTCCTGGCAGAGGCCACCCCCACGTGATTTGCCCAGAGTGGGACTTCCCCTCCACAGGGGCCGGAGAGCTGCGAAACCAGTGGAGAACTTGAGCTCCACCTCCCTGCCCTGCCCTGCCCATTTCTGTCCCTGGGGGCCTTGTCTAGCCCCAAAGCTTTAAACACCATCCGTATGGGAATGACTCTAAGCAGCACCACTCTGGGGCCCTCTCCTCCAAGCTCAGCTCCTCCTGGCTGTCTCCTGCTGTCTCAGACCTGCCTCTTGCTCTTACTTAGTTTCTCTGCAGTCGTCCCTGTCCCTGCCTCCGTGTCCCACCTCAAGTCCACCTCCCAGAGGGCCCAAGTCCACTTCCCACTGGCTTCTCCATGCATCTTGCCCTTTCATCTCACTGCCTGCGCCCCTCCAAAACCTGCAGTGGCTCCCCAGCTTCTGACCCACTCTCCCAGATGATCCATTCTTCACACTTGGTCCCAGGCACCTCACAAAGTGTAAACCGGGTCCTGCTAGCCCCCTGCTTAAAAGCCTCCAGGAATATTAAAACCCAAACTCCCACGAGGCTCTGCCTGACTTCCCTGGCTGCTCTGAGCCTCTCACCCCTGCCCGCTGGGCTCCAATCACGGCTCCTTTCTCTCAGTGCCAGAGCCAAGCTCCTTCCTGCCTGGGACTCCTCCAACCAGTGCACCTGGTTCCTTCTTACTGGTGGCTTCTGGAAGATCGCCCTGCATCCATCTCTTCTGCCACTCTCTTCCACATCCTCCATCACAGTTTGGAATTATTTGTGGGTTTATTGGCTCCTTTTGTGTCTGTCGTGCCCTCTTCCCCTACCCCCAGGGCTGTAAGCTCCAGCAGCCTAGGCTCTGTTGATCTCCATGGCTTCTCAGACTCAAGCTCCTAAAGCAACGTCAGTAGCCAGGAGGTGCTCAGTGAAGGCGTCTGGGCTGTCAGAGCAGAGGAGGATGGGCCCCAGCCAGCAGCAGCAGACAGCCTGGTCACCTCGGAGCCCAGCAGGGCGGGTGGCTCCCTCCTGAGTGCACCTCCAAGGAACAGCCCAGGTTGAGGTGGGGCCAGGTAGCACATGACGTCACCAGGCTTTGGATTTTTCTGCTGTTGTGGTCTACAGAGTCAGGCTTATGTACATGAAGGCCATAATTACAAAGCTCTGCTAAGCACAGTTTTGCTTGTTAACGCTGCAGGGCTGAGGAGGCAGAGACTGTGAGCTAAGAAGACAGAAACAACTTGCCTTTGTCAGACATCTGCTATTGGAAAGTGAACAGCCTTGGTAACATGATGGGGAGGCAGATGGCTCTTCTTTCCTCATAATATCTTCTCTGCTGGACCCCAAAAATTCTCAACCCTTTCTAAAGTCTACAGACATTCATCATTGTCACACAGAAGCGTGTTGTCAGAAGTGTTTGTGCCAGGGCCCTGTTGATTACCACAGGGAAGCCCTTCATCCTTCTTCACCATCTTCATTTTTGCCTCTCATAGGCTCAAGGTCCCTATTGACATCAGAGTCAATTCCCCTATCCTCCTCCCAGGCTTTGAGGAGCTCCTCTGCCTCTTGCCCTCCTGAACACCTCACCACTCCTCTTTTAGGGCCCTTCTTGAGTCCACAGAGTCCTCTTCAGCTCCCTGGCACACTGGCTGTCTGATCCTGTCTCAGGCCTGTCCGTGGCTGGCCTCCTGCCCGCTCTCCCCAGGCCTCCCCTACACCCAACCATTTAGCCCCTTCCCTCTAAAACACAGCTTGAGGCAGTGCTCCTGCGATTATTGATATTAACTGCACTTACTTGTCTTGTCTTCTATTTTACTTGAGGACTGGGCTTTTGGGTTTCTCTGCAGAAACTGAGATACTGCCCATCATGCTTAGAGGGCCCAATAGATGTCAATTAAAATTAAAATGCTGAGGCCAGGAATACTGTCTAGGAGAATAAGCAAAAAAAAAAAAAAAAAAAAAAAGGCAAAATCAATGTGTGGAAAGCAAATAAGAAGTTGCTTTTAAACATCATACAGAAACATTCTCATAAAGTTATTCAACCTTAGGAGGAAAAAAGCAGGTCTTGATCATTGATTGGCTGTGGGGCAGGGCAAGGAAGGAAAAACTGAGTGATATGGTTTGGCAGCATCCCCACCCAAGTCTTATCTTGAATTGTAGTTCCCGTAGTCCTCATGTGTTGTGGGAGGGACCCTGTGGGAGGCAATTGAATCACGGGGGCAGGTTTTTCCCATACTGTTCTCATGATAGTGAATAAATCTCACCAGATCCGATGGTTTTATAAAGGGCAGTTCTCTTTATAAAGGGAACATGCTCTCTTGCCTGCCGCCGTGTAAGATGTGTCTTTGCTCCTCCTTTGTCTTCTTCCATGATTGTGAGGCCTTCCCAGCCATATGGAACTGTGAGTCCATTAAACCTCTTTCCTTTGTAAATTACCCAGTCTCAGGTATGTCTGAACGGACTAATACACTGAGACAACACCAGAGTCCTTCAATGATTTTGTTCAGGCCCTGTTCCCACCAAGAGGTAACTTTTAGTAACCACAGTCAGGATGGTTATTCTGATCTCAAGGATGTACTAGATTGAATAACAAATAGGTTCAGAACTATCTATTTTTACATTACCCAACTATTCTTCCCTCTCCTCCTCTTTTTCCAAGTTATGCCCAAGTGTTAACAATTACTGAAATCAAGAGGACAGATCTTTTTGCTGGAAGATTCCTCTACTCACCCAGAAAAAACAATAATTAGGCCCTCCCCCAGATCCTTACCACATTTGAACTCTTCGTTTTTTTCTTGGATTGCTTTTCACTGATGAAGAGTACACACGCATTCTACAGATCTTAAGGGATACGCCAATGAGTAAAGACAAGTGTATAAACTAGTGAAATGCATACCCATCTCAAGGCAGTAAACATTTCCATCATTGTAGAAAGTTATTTGATGTCTCTTCCCCCAATAGAATCTCCCCACTCTTGCCAAAGATGGCCATTATTCTGAAATCTATCACCATAGGTAGTGTTACCTGCTCTGTATCTTCATATAAATGGAATCACATAGTATCTCATTTCTAATTTATTTTAGGCAGCAAACTCTTTTTGAGATTCATCCTTTATTGCTTATTATCAGTAGTTTTGGTGATGTACCCTTTTCCTCTAGTTGATTTTAAAATCTTCTCCTTATCACTGTTTTCAAGAAATTTGATTAAAATGTGTCTCGGTGTTGTTTTATTTTATTTTATGTATTTATTCATTGAGGTGGGGTCTTTTACTGTTACCCGGGCTAGAGTGCAGTGGTGTGATCATAGGTCACTGCAATCTTGAATTCCTGGGCTCAAGAAGTCCTCCTGCCTCAGCCTCCTGAGTAGCTGGGACTACAGGCATGCACCACCATGACCAGCTAATTTTTAATGTTTTTTTTCTGTAGAGACAAAATTGCCCAGGCTGATCCTGAATCCCCAGGCTCAAGCTATCCTCCCACCTTGGCCTCCCAAAGTGCTGAGATTATAGACATAAACCACTGCACCTGCCATTGATATGGTTTTCCTTGTGTCTATTTTCTTGGGATTACTTGAGTTTCTTATTTTATAAATTTGTAGTTTTCATCAAATTTGGGAAATTTTCAGCCATTATTTCGTTAAAAATATTTTCCCCTTCCTGTCCTTCTTGGACTCCAATGGATGCATGTGGTATCTCCAAATATTGTCTCACAAGGTTACTGAGGCTTTTAACATTTTTAAGCCTTTTTTCTTGTAGGTGTTTTAGTTTAGATGGTTTCTATTGCCAAGTTTTAAAATTGACCAATCTTTTCTTCTGCAATGCTTAATCTTCTGTTAAGTCCATCCAGTGATTTCTTTTTTATTTCTGTTATGTATTTTTAGGTAATAGACTTTTCATTTGGTTATTTTAAAAATAATTTTTATTTCTCTAATGAGGTCCTCATATGGTTATTTATTATATTCATGTTTTCTTTTAAATCTTTGGATATATTTAAAATAGCACTTCTAGGCCACTTAATTATTCCCAGTTGTTTGCTTTTCTTTTTTCTTCGTTTTTCTTTTTTTTTGAAACAGGGTTTCACTGTATTGCCCAGGCTGGAGTGCCATGGCACGATCTCGGTTCACTGCAACCTCTGCTTCCCAGACTCAAGAGATTCTCCAGCCTCAGCCTCTGGAGTAACTGGTACTACAGGCATAAACCGTCATGCCTGGCTAATTTTTTTTTTTTGTATTTTTTGTTTAAACAGCATTTGACCATGTTACCTGGGCCAGTCTCGAACTCCTGAGTTCACAATGATATGCCCACCTCAGCTTCCCAAAGTGTGGGTTTGCAGACGTGAGCCACTGCGCGTCCCAGTTGTTTTCTAACACAAAATGCTACAAGAATAGCCTTGTTCATATGTCATTTCACACATATGAGGGTATGATTGAATCTTAACTTCTTGGCCACCGAGTACAGGTGAACAATATATCATTATGTATGTGTGTGTAATTGTTTTGGGAACAGTTATCACATTGTCAAATGCATAAGGATGAGGGCAGGTGACCATTCCATGCACAGTGGCAAAAGTCATTTATTATTTCTCTTCTTCTATGATTAAGAAAAATTGATTCAATTTACAAAATAAACTGATGCCTGTAAATTAGAGTTGTTTTCATTGGAAGGCCAAATAATAAAATAATCCAGCACCTTCCATGGCCTGCTTCAGATGATTTCATAATGCATTGAATACCCGTGTGTTCCTCACTCAAAAAATCATAGGACTCTCAGAAATATCTACACTTTGGCAAAAGGATATTTTTCCTTGAACTTGAGAAATTATAAGACCTATGACATAATTTCTTTATTCCTCACAGTGAAATTCATGTCAATAATCCACAGAACATTATCACTGGTGGGATGATTTATTAATCACCTTGTTTCTACCTGGTATATAATTTCAGTTTGCTCTTGGAATTGAGGAAAAAGTTGGTAATGAGACATAATACAGCACTGAGGAAAGCTCTCCTAAAAATGAGATACAGATATTTATTTCTTAGCGGTTACTAAAGCACAATAGAAATTTAGTTTTTAAATATTTCATTTCCTAAAGCATGGCAGTGTTAAGAAAGGTTTTTACATATAAAAAAATTGCCTTTAATGGAAAAGTGTGGTCATCTTGAGGCAATTTTTCTACTTAAATGATCCCAAAGTACATATAAACTACATACGTTTTATGATGAAAGTATACATGTACATGAATTCATAGTTAAAAATGGTAAAATAAATCCTGTTATATATTCTGGAACTTCATGTGCTGTAAGGGGCATATTTGTAATTTTTAAAAAATCACTGATGTGTAGTAAGCTTCATGAAAAGTAGAAGAAATCAGCGGCCTCAAACTGTAGTTAAAAACAAAACAAAACAAAACAAAAAACAGTTTCCCCAGTGCATTCCAGCAACGTAGAAGGTCATTTTCTTTCTTCATATCAGCTAGGCCAGCGTTTTCCAAAGTAAGGTTCTATTGGGAGTGGTGTATGTGGAGGGATGTCAGAGATGATTGTAGATAGTACAAGGATGGCCACTTCTCATTTCATATATAAATTGTATATTTATTTTCATGTATATTAGAAAAATAGTGAGACATCGCTCAAGATTTTATTACAGCTAAGCTAATGTAGATAGTGTCATGGTCAATTAATTTATAAAAAATTAATTTAGAGAAAATTATTAAGGAAATAACATTAGAGGTGATAGTCATAGATGGCAAAAATTGCAACAGTGGAACTGAAATGACTGAGTTATGGGAAATCCTGAGCTAGGGCCGCCTCCCAGCCTCTAGTAGTGACCTGCTTTCCAGATTTTGGTCTTTCTCTCCTCCTTTCTGTGAGGGCTTCGTGTTCTAGATGTTTTCAACTTGAAGAGGCCTCTTCACCACAGGCTCTGACATCACCTTCCTCTTATGTACACCCAGACTCAGTCTGCCCTAGCCCATCCCTTATAAAGTTCCTGTTCCTGGACAGAGTCTCAGGCTGCCTCTTACTCTGAGCAGAGGGACAAGATAGTCCCCATTGCCATGCCCTGTGCAATTACCAAGCCTAATTAGAAAAGGTCCTTGACTGCATGGAGATTCTGATTAGCCAAGAGCTGATGGAAGCAAGACCACCAATTCTGCCTCCCTAAACTCAGAATGAATCAGCAGTAATCCTACTTACAACACAACAAGACCTCTCCCTGCTTCTGTCCAGCTCTAGGTGTGTGGGTGTGTGGCAGCATTACAGCAAGTAAAATGCTGAGAGATTTCTGGGGGAGAGGCATACGATTCTTTCTTGTAATAAACTTGAAGCTGAGAGGATAAAAGTTCTGAATGAGGATCCAAGTCCATGAACTTGGGAGCAGAGCCAAGAGAAACACAACCCAGAGATGGAGAAAGAGCAAAATGATGTCCTGGAGACCTTCTTGGAAGCCCTGCATCATGTCACATGAGAGGTTTCCCTTACCCCAAACTCCTGTGAGCTTAAGCTAATCTGACTTACATGTTTTGTCAAAGATCTGTATACGTTTTTCCCTCCTGGATGTATTTAGAAAAAAAAATGATAGAAAACCATCCAGTCAAAGAGTGACGCATGGAGAAGCTAAGATAAATTAGCCCCAGGTAAGGTAAGAAGTATGTCAGGGAAACTCACTAATCATGGATTCGTGTAAACCAATAGTTGGATAGAACTTCTCATGTTAAACTAAGCAAGATGAAAAGAAATACCCTGGGATCTACCCAAACACAGCAGAAGAAAAGAAAGTGTAAACACACCTCGGGCTGGAAAAACATCCAATCCAATGGGATCTACACCAACATAGCAGAAGAAAAGAAAAAAAGGGTAAGCACACCTCAGTCTGGAAAAACATCCAATCCAATGGGCGGAAGCAGTTTCTTCTGCATGTATTATGCTATGTAAGAACTTACTTATAATAAGAAAGATTCAATTACGCAAGGGACTAATAATGAGATATAAAACAACAGAGATAAGTTAATAGAAAACAAATTGAGACTCCAAGCCATATAACTTAAGATTTAATACATAAGTTAGAAAAAAATTTAGCTAAAAATGAGTTATCATTGTGGAAGAAAATCACAGTGAATAGACAGCAAAAATATAAAGGGAATAAAGCAATTAGAAGAAGGTGAATAGTGGATATGAAGGTCAAAGATCACCCAACACAACAATAACTGGTGTGTCTGCAGGTAAAATTTCAACAAGTGGAACACATAATTTAGAAATATGACACAGAAAAATGTTTCTGTAATAAACTGAATATGCAAATTGAAAAGAGAAATTACATGAAAGGAGAATAAAATGAATCAGAATAATCTAAACAAAATTTAGGTGGGTATGGCTGCACTTCACAAACAGACTCTTATAACCATGCTATCAGAGTAACTCAGTAACATACAGAGAGAAAAAATATGGCTGGCCTCAGACTTTTCAACAGCAACGTTCAGTGCAAAAAGCCAATAAAGTGGTAGCTACAAAATTCTAAGGGAAAGAAAGTGTGACAGCCATGTGGTCATTCAGTGAAGGCTGACTACCTCCTTGGACTATGATGGAGTAAGAAGGGCCCCCTATAGTCTTATAAAATTAATAAGACAGAAGATGATATATAAAGGAATGGTTTCTATAATAGACCTTGGACATCAGGCAGCACAGGGCCATGATTCCTGAGATAAAAGAAACAAATGAAGTCAGACTGACAATTGCGCCAGGAGGTTTTCAAGGAGGAAATTTCCAGGCTACGGTGTGGAAGGGGAAACCAAAGAAGCCAATGGTCTTCTGGAGTTGAATAGAAAGAAACCAAGGTTTGAGGAGGCCAAAGTGCTAGGATTGGTGGTGAGTGCTGGAGAGGAGAGAGCTGCAGAGGGAAGCGTAGAAATCTAGAGGGATCCCTGGAATCATTAATTGAGTGCTGAGGCACACACCTCAGAGGAAGCTACGGAGACCAGGACGGGAGCCATGGCAAAGCCAAGTGACAAACAATTCCTGGAGCTTACAAAGGACTGGAAAGAATGATCTCTTAATAGAGAATCCAGAAAGAGACCCACACAGATATGATCATCTGATTTTCAAAGAAGACGCCAAGGCAGTTCATCAGGGAAGGGATAATCTTTTCAAGAAACCAAGCTGGGACAACACCCTAGCCACATGCATAAAAATGAACCTCAGCCCTTACCTCATATCATATACAAAAATTGACTCGAAATAGACCATAACCTTAAATATAAGACCTAAAAGCATAAAATTTCTAGAACAAAACATAGGAAAATAAATATTTGTGCTCTTGGGTTAGGCAAAAATTTCTTAAATATAACATTTAGACCATATTCCATAAAATGAAAAAATTGGTAAGTTAGACTTCACCAAATTTCAAAAATTTTGCTCTTCAATGATGCTGTTAAGGAAATGAAAAAACAACCCATATACTGGAACAAAATGGTTGCGAGACATATAACTAATAAATATATGATATATATAAAACATATATCTAATAAATATTGTATCTTGAGAATAAAATATAAATAATTCTTACAACTCAACAAAAAGAAGACAAATCAATAAGAAAATGGACAAAAGATGTAAACAGAGGCTTCACCAAAGAAAGCATATGAATGGCAAAGAAACACATACAAAGATGTCCAACATCATTAGTGTTAGCAAAATGCAAATAAAAACCACAGCGAGATATCAGTAAACACTCATTATAATGCCAAATTTTGAAGGACTAATAATAGCAAGTGCTGGTGAGGATATGGAGCAACTGAAACTATAATACATCTCTTGTGGGAATGCACAGTAGAACAGCCACTTGAGAAATCAGTCTATCAGTTTCTTATAATGCTAAATATACACTTACCATGTTCCAGTAATATCTCTCTTATTTATTTATGCAAGAAAAAGGAATCAGATATCCACACATATACTTGTACTCGAATGCATGACAGCTTTATCCTTAACAAATATAATATATTGATGTAACTTGAGTCTACCAAAATGTCCATCAGCTGCTGAGTGGATAAACAAATGTGTGTATCTATATCTAGATGAATCTAAAAAATAAAGTCAGATACAGAAGACTACTTACTATAATATACCATTTTTATGAAATTCTAGAAAAGCCAAAACTATAGTGACAGAAAAGCAAACCATAGAATTGTAACTTAAAGCAATATTACATATAAAATAACAAACATTTTCCAGTGCTATAGAAAAAAGGGCTTTCTCATACATTTATGGTGGGATTATGAATTGCAAGCCAGTTGGGGGCCAATTTATATTTAATATAATAAGTCTAAAAATGTCTATCTGAGTCAGCAATTCTCCTGAGATTTATTTTAAGGATATAGTTAATGATCTGTATTTAAGCAAATTTGTATAAGCAAAAAATTTCATAATATCCAAAATGGCCAAAATAAAACATTGTTAAATAAATGATGGTAAATCCATTAAACAAAATAGCCTACAGTGACAAAAAATGTTATAAACATTTATAAACATTGATTATAAATTGTCTACAAATAAAATCTCAATAAAACCCTAAGAGTAGATGTATTTTAAGATCACATTATTTGATTAAAATTATAGACAACTAGAAACAAATAACCGAAATAGAAATAATGCTACCATACAATTATCTTACAAACTTTGTCCTCAACAAACAGGAAATAAAAAATGCAATTTCAAGATGTTAAATGCCAATTTACATATGTAAAAACCTATGGAACCTAGCCAAAGACATATATATATATGAAGAGAAAAATATTCATGGTTTTAAATATTTTATTAATGCAAAAACAAAATAATTAAGAAAATAAAATATTCATTTCAGAAAATTAGAAGAGGAAAAACAAAATAAAAGACAGCAACAGAATAGCAGGAAAGATAAAATTTAATATTAGAAAAAAACCCAGGAAATGAAACAGATATGCAGTAAGGAGCAGAGAAGGCAATAGAAATTCTAGTTCTAGTAATTTCCTGAGTTCTCATTGTCACCTCACCTTGGGGAATGCAAAATAATCCTGTATCTTTAAAAAAAAAATCACTTTTCTGTTTCACACAAACTTGAGTTGGTTTTTATATGTAAATAGCCTTAATAACTTTGGAGTTGGGATACCAAATCCAGAAAGTATAAAGTATAAGACTGAAATATTCGGTTACATAGACATTTTTAACCTGAGCCAGCAAAATATCTACACATATGTTTAAAATGTATAAATGTATAAATATGATTGAAATGCAAATAACAAAATGAATAAATATATTCAATGAATATATTTCAGTATACATATATATATATCCACAAGATACACAGAACTGACAAAGGTTTACTATCTTTACTGTACAAAAAATCATAAATAAAAAACCTCTCTATATAATAAAGGAGCCAACATCATAAACAGAAAACTGTGTCAGTAAAAATACACATGGGTAATAATCTTATTAGAATATAGTAACTCTAACTGACATGTAAAAATCAAATAATGCCAACAAGCTACTTCTTGTCTCCCAGCTTGTGAAAGATTAAAAATAGTAGCAATACTATGCTGTGGGGAAGCTGTGGAAATTGGGGACTCTAATGCAAAATGCTGTTGGCAGGAATTTAAATTGGGACACACTTTCAGCTGGTGAACACATATTTTTGGTTGACTCAACAATTCTCCTTCTCAGAATTTATCTCAAGGAAATACCTAGAAAGGTTAGCAAGGTCGAACATAAAAGGAGTATCACCACATCACGGGTACAGCAGTGAAAAGCTAGAAACAACCTCAATGTCCACCAAAAAGGGTTTGTAGAAATAATTTGTGGTTGCTTTATACAATGGTAAATGTGATCTATTGACATGAAAGGATTGCCATGGCAAGTTGTTGAAATTTTTATGAAGCAGATTATAAAATAGAACATAGAGTAGGACTCAATTGTATTATAAATGTGTGCATGGTGCTACACCAGATGTTTGTCTCCTCTGAAACTCATATTGGTGAGTTTCAGTGTGGCAGTATGGAAAGTTGTCACTTTTACGAGGCAATGGAATTATGAGGGCCCTGCCCTCATGAATGTATTAATTATTTCATGGACTAATGGATTAATGGATCGATGGGTTTTCTCCGGGGTGGGACTGGTGGCTTTATAAGAATAGGAAGAGAGACCTGAGCTAGCACTGTCAGCCCACTTGCTATCTGGCCACCATGATGCGCGCCCTGTGCCACCTCAGGACTCAGAATCCTCACTAGCATGAAGGCCCTCACCAGATGCAGCCCCTTGACCTTGGACTCCTCAGCCTTTAGAGCCATAAGAAATAAATTTCTGTTCTTTATAAATCACCCAGCCTCAGGTGTTCAGTTATAGCAGCAGGAAGCTAAGACATAAAGCTGTAGGTATGAAAGTCTTTGCCCAACTGTGAACACAATTACTTCTTGTTGGATAAATTATTTATTATATTTACTTTCTTCTTTATTCTTGCCAGTTCCATTTGAATACATTTTTGTAATAGGCCTATGTAATACAAAATACAATAATAAATACAAAATTATTTTCCACACTAGGAATAGGGCCAGAAGGAACTAACTACTGAAATTCTGTCCCACCCTTTAAAAGTGTGGTCAAAATAAATAGACTTAAATGGAAAAAATAGTAAATTTTCCCAATAATATACATGTTTTGAGGATGTAGGAAAGTGTGCACCTTCATTGTGTTAAGGGCATGGTGGGTGACTGGTATCTTTTTCTAATGAGCAGCTGGGCAATGTGTAGCAACAGCTTCAGTAACATTCACAGACTTTGACTCACTTCTAGAAGTCTAACCAAAGAAATAATCAGAGATATGGACAAAGGTTTATGCATAAGGATGTTCATGCATTGTTCTTCCTTAATCATAATTTTAAGATAGAAACAACATAAGTGTCCACAGTAGTAGAGTATGTGTGTACGTATCTCCAATAATTTATTGAACAAATGTTTGCTGAGTGTCTTCTCTGGGCCAGGCTCTTTGAGAGTTCCCTGGAATCCAGTGGTACACAAAACAAACATGTCCACCTCCCGGAGCATGTCATCTAGTTACAATAACGGAAAAGACAGATGATCAGCTAGTTCCACAAATAAGTTAGGTGTTAATGAAGAAAAGTAGAGGATGAAGTAATTGCGTTTTTTTGCCATTAAAAGTAAATGTAACTTTTAATGGCAAAAACTGCAATTACATTTGCACCAACTTAATATTATATTACTAAATAATCAAAGAATACAGTAAAAAGCGGTATGGAAAACATGCTATGAATGTCTATTTATCATCTCAAGAAATGATCTTTTCGCCAAATGGGAGAGTTTTTCGAAAGTCCAGAAATGACCATTTATAAACTATTTACCATTCAACAGAGTGGATACAGCTATAACGACCAAAAACAAGAATGTTCAGAACCATCTCTATCAGAGTACTAAAAAGTAATAAAGATGAAACTTCTCAAGATATAATTTAAATAATACGCAAATATGATCCAATTTGAAAGAGGAAATTTGAAAGCCAAACCTCTCTGATAAAGTCTAAAAATAGAGAGGTATAAAACATAAGGAGGTGTAAGCTTTTCTCTTTCCACTCCACAGTACATTTGACAAAGGTTTACCCTCCTTAGGATTCCTCTTGGAACAATTATAAGAGTCAAATCACTAATGAGTAAAGAAACTGAGCAATGCATAGCAAAAACTTCAGAAAAATCCACAGACTTCGTCAAACTTCTAGAAGTTTAAGCAAGGAAGCAAGTGGAGATATGAACAAAGGTTTATGCCTAAAGATATTTGGGTGTTGTTCTTTCTCAATCATAATTGTGAAATTGAAGCAACATAAATATCCACAATAGTGAAGTATATGTTTACATATTTCCAATAATTCTTGGAGGAGTTGGGGTTTCATGTTGTTGTCTGCTAGACTCAGCAACGCTTTGGGAATACAGATCCTCCACGCCCTATTATTTAGGAATTCTACTCCTGTCATGATATGGTAGGCTAAACTTGCTTCCATGACACTTGGCCAAGGATTATAAATTAATTGCATGATTGAGGAAGTCCCTGGGAAGACCATGCCCACCCCTTGTTCATGCTGGTTGGCTGTAACCATAGCAGCCTCTTACTCCAGACCAAAGTTCAGCTACTGTTAATTTTATGGCCATGTTCAGAGTTCAATGTCCATTAGCATAACCCTTCCTCAGGAAGAGTGAGATTTTATATTTGACAATAAAGTGTTAGACTCCATTTCTAAATACCAGACTTCAAAAGATAAGGTTCAAAAGTGTTATAAGAAGATATTCCTTTTTTTGTCCTAGAGAACTTATTTTCCTGTGAAAATGCCTACCACAAAGAAGACATTGATGTTCTTATCAAGCTTTTTCACCAGCCTTGGGTCCTTCATTGTAATTTGCTCTATTCTTGGGACACAAGCATGGATCACCAGTACAATTGCTGTTAGAGACTCTGCTTCAAATGGGAGCATTTTCATCACTTACGGACTTTTTCGTGGGGAGAGTAGTGAAGAATTGAGTCACGGACTTGCAGAACCAAAGAAAAAGTTTGCAGGTAAATGATAAACTAATTTGAATGAATATAGTGAGATTGAATTAAGGTTTATGTCATTCTATATTTGGGCCAAATAACCATTCAAAAATAATTTCTTTGTAAGTTTTGGGTTAGGCTGAAGGTACAAGCTTAACTCATAATTTTGGAAATTTGCCATGTCATTATTTGAGCTTCCTCGGTTCTCCTTGTGTCTATTAATACAATAGTCTATATCATTCTAGCAGTGGCTGTATTTAAATAATACCTACCAAGTTGACTGACAAGTAAATAAGTAAAAATATGTGGCAGCAATACGGCATTGAATAGCCAGTAGGAACACATGTTTTAACTGTATTGACTGGGTTTTTAGCTGGAGCCACAACCTCTGTCTAGAACTTCACAAGTGGCATCTATGCAGGAAAGAGTAAAATGGAAAATTTATTATCTCTATTTCTCAAGTTCATTTCTTTAACTGATTTTAATTTACCTCCAAAAAATCTAATCGTTGGAAATTATATTAAATTTCCATTAATTTATTAATTGTATATTTGATAGGAATTCCTAAACATTTTTTTTTCTGATTTCTTATATAATAATGCCCTCCTCTCCATGGAAGTAAAATTAAAAGTTCATTGAGAATAATAAGTTGATTTAGCTACTTATTTGACTTTTGAGGTTTGATAACCTACCTTCATGTTTTCTAAATTTAAAAACATTTGTAAATTATGTAACACATTAAGTGGACTTTGTTTTGAACAATGTTGTATGCAAGTATTATACAGGCATTATTGGGTATCATACAGTCATTACCTTTTGACTTATAAATATGCATCATTTTCTACCTTATACACATGTAATGTTTAGTCCTTGTGTAATGCATGAAGAAGTTTGAGTCCTAGACACTAGCTCTAAGTTCTAGCTCTAGTGTGTTTATGACTTTGTTAATGAAACTATTTTCTTAAATCCAAAGCAACCTGGTTATGTTCCCAAGTTATACATTTGTCATTTAGATGTTAGCAAAAGCAGCATCTCCCCTAGCATTGCCATAGCCTTTCAGGGACATCTCCTCTGGTGTCAACCTCAGCTTCCCATAAGGATGGGGAACATTGGCTTTACAGCAACTTTCAGAGACTCAGTCATGCTTTCAGTTATGTGAATAGCATTTTCAAAACCAAAAACTGCCCTGAAGCCTCAGACACATTTAACAAATTTTAAGTAAGAGACAAAACCTACAGTTTTTTTTGGTTTCCATATGGTGTCTGTTTGGAACCAGTTGATTTCCAATTTGAGATAAATGGCTTCAAAGAAAGCATCAACTATCTCTATGCACGGAGACTCAGAGGAGGCCAGGATGTGTCAGGACCTGGCTCTAAAGCCCTGTGTGCATGCAGGTGAGCATGGTGATGTCAGGGGACCAGAGCAGGCACTTGTCAAGGAGAGCCCTGAAGGGGCCCAGGGCCAGGTAGGTGCGGCAGCCCAGGTGGGAGCACAGCCAGGCAGAATATTTGCCTTCCCTTTGCTGGATCTCTACTTTAAGTCTCTGTTACTGGGGAGCCACATTCTGACCTTCCCCAAGTCACTGCCCAACCTCCTAGTGCTGAAGAAGGTGAACCACCACCCAATTAATGAAGGGGCTGCACTGTCACTCTGGTTGACACCTAAGGACCTCTCAGAGCCTAGGGGATCTTTATTGCCAATGATTGTAATAATCGCTGGGCTTGAACACCTGTAAGCAGTTCTCTCAGACAGGGGAAAGTCATGTTACTGAAATCTTCAACTTGCGGTGTTCAGCTGCTAACGATCCCGGGATGCTTCTCCTGGGAGCAGCCCTGCAGTGTGTACATGGAGACGTGGGTGCTCTCCTGTGGTTTCTCGTGGTCACTTGGGGCTTTTTTCAAATCAGAAACCAACCATTGGCAGCACAATCAAATCTGTACAAACGCCCCTTTCTTGCCCAGCGGTGGTGGACTGACTGTTCCAATTGAGAATTTAACCATATCAGCTTCTTGGCTAGCATGAGGTCACATCAAGAGTCCCCCAAGAGTAATAATTATTGCAAAGCTCTGCTATATTTCTGCATGGTATTTATCATATTGAGCCAATTTTGACTGTAGATTTGAAACGAAATAGCAGAAGGAAGCAATGACAGCTGATTTCAAAGTGCCAAAATAATTCAGCCAACATTGGTCAATCTGTGGGGAAAATCGTCCTTCAGACCTGGTAAGGAAATCCTCCAGTGTGTAACTGGAGGGTGCGGGCAGCTCAGGCTGACTTGCTGCATCCTAGTTTGTCCAACATCCAGATGAAAAGTGACAGGTCCTGTATGTCCATCTGTGAGCAGGTTGTCTTTGCTACTCCCAAAGTTCTGGAGATCTAATTTCTGTTCAAAAAAACTTCCCTGAGCAGCTGCTGCATGTATAAGGGGCTCAGGATACTGAAAGGAATTGCACATGGTTCCTGGCCTTGGAGGGCTCACCATTCAGTGTGAGATTAAGACCCTTCCTCAGCTAAAATCAGTGCCCTGCACTCACTGCTGGAGCATGGTATGTGCAGGTCTGCATGCAAGCAAGGGGGTTGGGGGAAATGCATGTCTGCAAAGCCCAGTTGGAGGACAGAATCCTGAAAAATGAGCTGCTAGGAGGTGTAAGCTCACACTGTGGACACCCACCTCCTTCTCGGTTCTGGATCTTGGGTGCCATGTAAAAAGAAGTCATTCCTTTAACTCTGTGTTTTGAAAATGTGGTCAGGGCCCCGGAAGCACAATGTGCTCTGTTTCCTCACACTGGCAAACATGACAAAATGAGTCATTCACATTTAGGACATGGAATTCCTGTGAATGTCGTTTCAAATATTACTCAGCCTACGCACTGACCAGAACTTATTTTTTACAGAATCATTTTGACAGGAAAAGTGTTTATGATAGTTTTGTTGTTGTTGTTGTTGTTTTGTTTTTTCATCACCCAGGCTGCTTCACACCCAGACTGGAGTGCAGTGGCGCCATCTCGGCTCACTGCAATTTCCACCTCCTGAGTTCAAGCAATTCTCGTGCCTCAGCCTCCCTAGTAGCTGGGATTACAGGAATACACTACAACACCCGGCTAATTTTTGTATTTTTAGTAGAGACAGGGTTTCACCATGTTGGCCAGGCTGGTCTCAAACTCCTGACCTCAAGTGATCCACCCACCTCGGCCTCCCAAAGTGCTGGAATTACAGGCATGAACCACTGCGCCCGGCAAGATTTTTCTTTTCTTTTTTGAGACAGCGTCTTGCTTTGTCGCCCAGTCTGGAGTGCAGTGGTGTGATCATAGCTCACTGCAGCCTCTACCTCCTGGGCTCAAGAGATCTTCCTGCCTCAGCTTCTGGTGTAGCTGGGATCACCAGCACACACCACCACACCCAGCCACTTTTCTTACGTTTTGTAGAGACAGGGTGTCACCAGCCCAGGATGGACTTTATTATGAGAGATATTTCTCCTCATGTGACACTGCACTCTTTGTTCTCAGTTCCAAGAACAGTCTGATTTGCAGATGTGTGGGACTTTGAGCAATCACGTTGCCTACAGCGGAAGGTAGACTCACCTGGGATGCGGGTGAGGCATCCCCACCCTGGACCAAATGAATAGCAATCTCCGCGGGGTGAGGCCCTGACCTGCTCGTTTTTTAAAAATCTTCCCAGGTGATCCTAATTGAGTGTTGACAACAACCAGCTTCCACCAAGGCCAGGCACTAGATTGACAGGCATGGCTGTACTGGGTATTGTTTTTTAAGTCCTTTGGATGTGGCCTGCTTGAAATTAAATTAATTTATTGGCAAAAGCTCTGGACAACCTTGCAAAGGAAGCAAGGCAGACTGAGGGAAAGCTCAGCTCCCGGCTGGTCTTTGAGTGCTGCGTCCGAGTCAGGATTCACTGCAGCTGGCGGGAGTCTCTCCCCATCTGGCACTCCCCCACCCGCTAGTCTCTTTCCTCCACTAACCTCCATGTGTTCTCAGGGAGCTCAACATTGCACCATTAGGCCAGGCTAAAAATAATTAGAAAAATAGACCTTCTGCAGAAACTAATGAATTGCAAAGAGAAGAACAAATGAAGTTTATTTCTCCAGAATTCATAAAGAGCCCCCACCTTACTACTCCTACCCTGTCCACATAAGGAGATTCTCCTGGAGAGCAGGTTCATCATCTGCCCCCAGAGATATAACCACACTGTGATGGGGAGAGTAGAGAGGACAAAGAGGGTGCCCTCCCAAGCTCAGGCCACTTCTCCCTAAGGAACCCTGGCAACTTTCTGAGAGGCTGGGGCACCAGCCTGGGCTCCCTGGGAGAGCTACCAGGCCACACTTGGAGATCTGTTGATAGAATGAGCTCCTCCCATGGGCACTGGGAGCTGCCCTGTTCAGGCTCCCTGGTGACCAGGTGCTTACGGAGGGAGTCACGGTAATTCCCACCCATCCACTCACAAAGCCACGGGCTCTCCCTTGATGTCCGAGGACTTACAGAAAACCAGAACTCAAAAGGCAGATGGCAAGTGGGGCCTGAAGGGTTACATTTTCCTGCATGGGGAGCCCAGATGTCCGGATGGCTCTCATGGGCGCCCATTATCCACTGCCCAACAGCACGTTTCTGCCTCCCAGGTGCGGGATCTGCGGGCCAGACGCTCTTCTCTTTGGCCACGTTGTTCTTGGCTCTCTCCTGGGGCAATTAGCGCCAATTGTGAGGTGGCCTTCCTGATTCACACGCTTGCCCCCTAAAAGGAAGAAAAAGAACGGAATGTGTTTGCTAATTTTGTAGGCAGAGAGCAGCTGTCAGATTCTATGGAAGTTTATTGTTATTTCATTCTTGGTAACTTTCCCTGAATTTTCAGCTTGTATTGTCTAAGTTCTGAGCCAGGAGCTGGAGCGGAGATACAGCTGTCAGACCTGTGTGGCAGGAAATTCAGAAAGCCGGAAAATAATTTTAAAATGCAGCAGTTAGAATCAAGATGAATTGTCACCTTAATATGCAGAAAATATGAGTCAACAGGCCCCAAATGACTCCCTTTTGAAAAATCACATCATTAGATCTTACCAAAAGTCACAAACAAAACCAAATTCAATTGTCACTTTCTAATTTACTCTGAAAAAAAAAAAAAAGGAATGTGAACCATTTACCAGTGAATACCCAAAAACAGCTTTTACTAAGTGTGTAAAGCAGAAAAATACTGCAAGCCACTTCAGGGGCCTTGGACACAGCTCCTTTTTTGCTAAGGAGTGAGTTTATTTAGTCCCCAGCAAACTTTGGGATATATCCTGGAGTTTCCCCTTTAGCGTCCAGGAGGAACTGGCGAGTGTGGAATGGGAAGCGATTCCCTCTTATGGTAACTCATCTGCAGCCTCTGATCTGTCCCCCTGAACAGGTGTGTCCTACGTGCTGTAGATTTTTTCCTTCTCTCCTCCGGTGTCCCCCTCTATTACTTTCAAAACAAGTGTGTGCTAAATTGTAGCAATATTAATCCCCCAACGGCTGCACCTCCACAGCGAGCAATAGGCAGAGGCAAGAAATTTCACCTGAGGTCAGGGATGGAAAAAAAGGTCCCAGCCCAGGTGGCCACATCCCACCCACCCAGAAGGCAGGCCCAGCAGGCCCCACCCGTCCCTGCCCAGGCAACAGGCAGTGGCTGGCGTGACCCAGGTCCCGCTAGAGCCCTTCCCTGGGATGCATAGCCAGAGACTATGCTGAGAATTTCACCACGCTCTATGGGTTATTAGCAGAAATTGCAAAATAGTCCAGTCACCATTGAGCACAAGTAGGCTGTACCTGTGCGAGCTGGACTTTGCTCACAGTCCCCAGTTCCACTTGAGGAGCAGGGTGGTGAATTCATCGTCCTCATGCCACTGAGCTGAGGCTTGCCCAGTCTTCTCCTGGTTTGCTCCCTTCTCCCATGGGTTTTCAAGGCACATGCGGCCATGCCAACCGCTGTGAGGCGTATCCACATTGCCCTCCTCCTGCCCTTTTCTCTCTCCTCCCCTTTTCTTTCCTGCACTTTCTCACTCTCCCTTGCAGCCAGAACCCTTGGGTTACCAGTCATTGCTGCTTCTGGGGCTTCTCCCCCTCCCGGTCTAGGAGGCTGCACCCCGAGGCCTGCACCGCTTGGGATGAGGGTCTTCACCACAGAACCCTTTTGCCAGCAGCCCCTGAGGCTGTTTCTCAGGCACCTGATTGCAAGCTGCTGGCCACATCTCCTTCATGCCCACTCTGTTCAATGGGAGGAAACTTTTCTTCCTCATAGAACATTGCTGATTAAAAAGCCAAAAAAGAAAACAATAGTGAACAAATAGAATTAAGAGGTTCAAAAATGGAGTGATGACGTCCTCCTGTCCAAGGGGATTGTCGGGTCTCATTGGGAGCCCCACGTCTATCTGGCTATGTGTGGTGGCCTGTAATCCCAGCACTTTGGGAGGCCAAGGAGGGAGGATCACTCGAGCTTAGGAATTGGAGACCAGCCTGGGCAACATAGTGAGATCCTGTCCCTATGGAACATTTTTTAAAAGGCCGGGCGTGGTGGCTTATGCCTGTAATCCCAGCACTTTGGTAGGCCAAGGCGGGCAGATCACCTGAGGTTGGGAGTTCGAGACCAGCCTGACCAACATGGACAAACCCCATCTCTACTAAAAATACAAAATTAGCCTGGCATGGTGGTGCATGCCTGTAATCCCAGCTACTTGGAAGGCTGAGGAAGGACAATTGCTTGAACCCGGGAGGCGGAGGTTGGGGTGAGCCGAGATCGCACCATTGCGCTCCAGCCTGGGCAACAAGAGTGAAACTCCAACTCAAAAAAAAAAATTTTAAAAATTAGCTGAGCGTGGTCGTGGTGGCACATCCTGTAGTTCCAGCTACTCCGGAGGCTGAGGCAGGAGGATTCTTTGCTTGAACTCGGGAGATCAAGACTGCAGTGAGTGATGATCTTGCCACTGCACTCCAGTCTGGGTGACAGAGCAAGACCCTGTCTCCAAAAACAGAAGAAAAAGAGAGAAAGAGAAATAGAGTCAGAATAAAGTATGTGTAGGAGGCCAGGCTGGCAGGAACTTTGCAGTCACACTCAGCAGAGAATACTCCAGAAATGTGGGCTGTTAATCATGTTGGGATTTATATCCCTCCTCAAATATTTGGAAAGGCTGCCAGGCAGGAAAGGAGCAAGTGAATTTTGTATGATTCCCAAAGGAGAATTAGGACCCCTGGGTTTAAGTCGTGGAGATGCAGATTTGGGCTCAGCATAATGAGGAATTTTTAAATCATTACGGCGATGCAAGGAGGGAAAGGGGAGGGGACTTGGTGACCCCTCCCATGGGTGCCCACAGCACCCTGGGGTCTCCTGCCTCCCATTCTGAATTCTTTGAAACACTCTGGTTCCATTAGGAACTCCTTGACCTTCGACCCGTGGGCATATGCTGAGGGAATACCACCCCTAGGCCCAGAAACCAGAGATCCTACCTGGCCTTTTCGCTTTCTGTTCTTTAAAGCTGCTCCAGATAAAGAGGTGAGGGCTCCAAGGCTCTCTCCCTGGAGACCAGAGAAACCAGAACGGAAACAAAGAGCCTTTCACTTGTTTTTACCCACCTGTTCCCAGTGATGTTGCTGTGGCCTTACTGTGACTCGGAACTCTTCTCCCTAATCCCTTTCTCCCATGTCCTGGTGACTTTCATGGAACATCCTTGTAAACACTATTTCATGTGCTGGCCTCCTCCACAGGGCCTCACACACCCTGTCAGCCCGTGGCTGGGCTGGGCTTACATGTAAGTGCAGCCCTGTGGTGCCTGGGCATTGCATCCTCCACAAAAGAGCCGGTGGAGGAGATGGCTGGTGGCAGTCAGAAGCCTGAGAAAGGCAAAACCAGGAACCCAGGACTGACAGCCAGGGCACCTTTGCTTCATGTTATAAGAGTGTCCTTCCATGCCTGGAGCTCCTCTGCACTTAAGAAATATGCAAATTCATCCAATGCTGTTAGGATTCAGAAGAGTTCTCCTTGGAAAGCAGAGTCAAGGCTCACTCATGGGCGAATTCCCAGCCGCCTCCAGCGTTGGAGCCCTCTGGGCATCTGGTCCTCTCTGGCCCCAGGGAAGTGGAGTCTGAAGTAGGACCCACAACTCGATTTGCACCAACAGAAGTCATTTTCTTATGTCAGCCTTCAGCTTCCACTTTCCTGGTCACCTTTCTTAGGCTTTTCTCTGCTGATGCCACCCCTGACTCATGCAATTACCCCAGATGCCACAGGGCTTGTGGGATTCTCACAGTGCACAGGTTTTCAGGGTGACCTACCCTGTGAGTGCCTCCAAGTGGAAGCCAAGTTAGTGCTCAGAGCAACAGGGGCACTGATGAAACTGGGAAAAGCACCTTGGCAAGGACGGAGCCCGAGCTCAGTAATGGGAAGGCTGTCCAGCCCTGCTGCCGGTATCCAGGAAGGTAAACTCTTTCCTAGGAGACTTCAAAATCAGCATAAATGTCCAGTTATCTGTAGTGTCGCGGTTATACCCATCCAACCACTGATTCAACAACCAGCCTCCAGTGGGGAATGCGGGTCTTGTTCTTGCATGGGTTGGAGGCTCCTGGTATCTCTAACTGACATCCAACAACCAGTAACTCAAGTCACTAAGAGGGTAGGGTGGGGAGGAATGCCAGGCCAGAGCTGGTGTTTGCATTATGTGCTATGCACTCACAAAACATTGTTTTAGTTTTAGAGATACTGAATAATTCTTCCCAAAAAACTCTGCATTCGGTGACTATCCTGTTCCTGGTCCTGAGTTTGATCACGTCGCTGCTGAGCTCTGGGTTTACCTTCTACAACAGCATCAGCAACCCTTACCAGACATTCCTGGGGCCGACGGGGGTGTACACCTGGAACGGGCTCGGTGGTGAGTGGCCCTGTGAGACTCGGTGCTCTGCAGAAAACTGCATCCCGCTTGTCCCCATGTCTCTGCCTCTCACACATGCATGAACATACACAGTCACGTTTACACCAAGGAAACTATGAGGACCTCCCATGAGCTGAGGGCTGGGGTTTATTTTGTCAATCCAAAGTGTTTATGAAGCATCTCTGGAAATAGAATTCTGTTTTAAATGCACTGCTGAGGAGGCTTATAACAAGCCAGGCTTTGCTTTTGAGACTCTAACATAAGAAGTCAAAATGCACAAAAGTCAACAAAATATTGACCGGGCTCCTGCCATGTGCTGAACTCCAAACTAGGCTCTGTGTGGCATGTAGAAGCACACACATGTGCACACACATACACATGCACACGCATGCACACACACATGTGCACACACACACACACACACATGAACACACCAGCACACACTTCCTTCTCTTTCCTCCTCCACATGACAAGAGTCCACTTGGTCTCCACACATGACATCTCTGCATGGTCGTGCCACAGAGCCACAGATAATGGCACATAAGAGAATCTGGGTGCAATACCTTTTTTGTGGGCTACCTGTGAGCCTGGGGTGTTGCTGGGTGGTGTTGCTTGGTTATTTTGTTTGTTTCATGGGTGTGGTGCTGGGAGGATGGAGCCCAGATGGGAAGCGGGTCCCAGCTTTGACTCACAGTCTTCTGGCTTTCACTGGGTTTTTCCAGGGCTCTGCAGCTGCCCATCTGCCCAGAGCAGGGCTGGGGAAGTACCTATTTGCCCTGCCCAGCTGCCTTCAGGGCCTTTTGCTCCCACCAGGCAGTCAGGTTTCTCCTGTTCTTTCCCTCTCCACCATCAAAACTGGACCTTGGGAATGAAGCCTGTCCTAAGGAAATGATTTCTGAGGTGGCTTCATGTAAGCTCCAGGTGACGCATTTTAACACAGGCCTGAAATTTTGAAGCACAGGAAGGAGGCTCTGGATATCAGACATGTCAGGAAGCCTCGGAGGAGGGGCTGAGGGCAGCATCATCCTGTCCCTCCATTGAGTGTCATCCTTACCACGAGGTAGGCGCAGGTGGCTGAAGGAGGCCAGCGTCTCCATGTCATGGAGTAGAGGTGTGCTGAGGAATATGAACAACTGGCTCTCCAGTAGGGAAAAACAAAAAGAGAAAAAAGCCCTGGTGATTGGAATCGTGTAAACACAGCCACATGGCCATTTTCAAACTCCCAATGTGAGATCACTGACGTGGAGTTGAGATGTACAAACTGGCCCCAGCACAGCACAGGTAGGACGGTGAGGGATGCTTTTTAAAATGGAAAAGCATTAAGCCAGGACTACAGGTGGACCAGAGTCACATTACATACTCACACCTCAGCTCTAAGGATTTGGGGTCAGGCTAGTTTAACCACATTCATATATGACTGGCTCTTTCTTTCTGTGCTTTTATTATTTGGGGGTAAAAACAAATAAATCCCCCAATTTAATGGGCAGCCACTATGGACGAGGCACAAAAGTCCTGTAGAATGAATATCACTGTTTCCCTTTCTTATGGCAGAGCTGAGTGTCAGAGGTTAAGGGACTTTGTTACACAATCAGATATACTCACCTGAATGCCAGAGTCCCTTGCCTAAGCTACTTGTATGATGATGGTTCACCCCAGTCAATCAAACCAAGGTAAACCAATTGGTACTTATGGCCAGGGTAAAGAGATAGATTATTTTTACTTTTGCTCATGCAACTAAGAAAGTACGAGAAGCAGTGGCTTCAGACACAGCTCGAGTCAAGGTCTCGGCCTGTGTCGTGAGGACTGTTTCCTGCCATTGCTCCATCTATTGAAATCCTCAGCGTTGACTCCATCATTCATTAATTGGCCAGATCAATCCTCTTGAAGATAAGATGACTGCTGGCCACTCTGGGCTCATTGCTGATGGTGGCAGCCCCAGGAGAAAAAAATTTCTCATTTCCTCCAAATTCAGAGAAAGTCCTGGGCTACTTTGCACTGGCATTGCCCTTCTCCCATCCCTTGACCAATCTCTGTGGCTGGCAGGGTTGAATTCCCCAAGCCATCCACTAATGGGCCAAGGCTACCTGCCCATCCTGGAGCTGGGGCTGGAATCGGCCCTTCCCCAGCCGCAGGGGTGAGTGGGGAAGGAAGCCTGCATTCCTGGAGGGAAAACAGGCGCCAGGACCAGAGTAGAGGGCCAGGTGTGGCGCCGGCCGAACAACAGGGACCCAGCATTGCTGTGTCTACAGCCTGCAGGGTTCAAAGTCCACTGCCTTTGCCACTAGGCTGTGGCTCCATATCTCTGCTCCTCCGCAGCAGAGTATGGGCTGGCTTTGCATATAGCAGAGGCCTCATGCATGTTTGTGAAGGAAAACATGAGAAACAGGGACCTGAGAGCCTCCCCGTAGCCCTGCCTACTCCTATCCACAAAGAATTGTTGGACGGAGAGGGAATTCCTGCCACCTTCCTTTCCTGGCTCAGGAGCAAGTTCTAACACACAGAGGGAGGCTGTGAGGTGGGCAGAAAACAACCTGAGAGGTTGATGTGTAAGGAGCAGATTGCATTCTGATGCCTGCCTGGGAGAAGGCCTCAGCACAGCTTAGCTTCCTCTAAATGCCCCTTGAGGCCTCTTGACCCTAACAGTGTTGATAGGCCTGACTTTTGCCCAAAGTAGCCCTTTGGGGGTTCCTGATTTTCTCACAGGAGCTTTGAGGGTTGGAGAACTTACTGAAACTCTCAGTTTCCAGGAGGCTCAGCCTGCAGAAGGGCTTGTATACAGAGATGTCTTAATTCTTGCCTTGGGTCATGGCTGTGGGACAGCATGATCAGACTGACTTCTGGGAGTCCTGGGGCCAGAAGGAAGTGCTCCAAACTCCTAGCGGCTGGTTTTGAACTACCTCTGCTTGGCCAGCAGATGTTGGGTAGGGAAGGAAGTGGGTTTCCTGGCTTGTTTCTGACAGAAAGAAGCAGGTTCTGCTTTGAGGAGACAAACAGCAGTCTCACTTCCTAGGTTCCCGTGACCTCTGACCTCAGCCTACCTTCTACACCACACTGACCTGATGAGGCTGTATCCTGGCCTCAGGGGATAAAATTGTCCCCTGAGAGAAGCTTGGAGCCAGAGACAACTTTGCAGACTGCCTGTTCCAAATACATTTGTGTCTCATCTGAGGAACTCAGAGAGTGGAAAGTGATCAGGAGGTCACAGGGCCCGATGGTCACAGGCCAGGACAGAAGCCAGGGTCCGTGAGCCTTCCGAAGCTCCTCATCTACCCCGGGGCTTCCTCCAGCCCCTATAAATCCTTCTGTCCCAGAGGCTGGAGAAGCCTGGCAGGTAGAGGCTCTGGGCATCTCATCACTAAAGGGGACTCAGGTTTGCATTTTGTGTCTGTGTGTCGGCCCCTCCCCATTCAAATCAAAGTTCTAGGCAGCCCGCTCTGGAAAAAAGCATTTAGACTATATACATCCTGCCCCTTTATGATTAAGCTTTTATAAGAAACTTCACAAGAGGAAAATGAAAGATAATTAAGGCTGTGAGGCACCTGGAGAGCTTCAGAGGGTCAGGGCTTTTGTACGGACAAATTATTAAGAAATAAAACCATTACATTGAGGATGAAGATCTGTCATCAAGGAGTGTTTAAAACATTCTCCTCATACAAAACCCCTCTAATTAAGGCCTTTTGATGGACCGTTTGGAAAGTTTCCCTGGGTGTGGGTTATAGCAGGATACATTTGATGTCCACTGAGTTCCGGGTACATGGCGGCAGACGGAGTCTCAAAGGGCTTCCGTGGCCAGGATCCCCTGGCGGCCCCCGTGCGTATCAGACCTCACTGGGTGAGCCTGCTCACCGGCCTCATCACAGATCCTGGAACATAGGCATCCTTATCCTCCAAAACCTTTCTTTTAACAGCTTTATTGACACATGAGTCACACACCATACAATTCACCCATTAAAGTATACAATTCCATGGTTTTTTGTATGTTCTCAGACATGGGCAAGGCTTACCACTGCCAATTTTAGAATATTTTGATCACCTTGAAAAGAAACCCCATGCCCTTTAGCTATCACCCCCTCCCAGCCCACTTCCAGCACTAGGCAACCGCGAAAGCCCTAATCTACATTTTTTTTTTTGTCTCTATCTCATTCCCTTTGAAAGATGAGGAATGAGGCTCAGAAAGGCTACATGACTTGTTCAAGTTCATCTAGCTGGGATTTCCAATCCTGTTCTCTCTGACTCCAGAACTACGTTCTTTTAACTAGACAAAAGTGGCTCTCCCAAGTCTATACTGAAGAATGTTCTTTAGGGCTCGGCAGAGTAGCTCACACTCGGCACTTTTGGAGGCCGAGGCAGGTGGATCACTTGAGTCCAGGAGTTCGAGACTAGCCTGGGCAACATAGAAAAAGCCGGTCTCCATAAAAAATTAGTCAAGCATGGTGGCATATACCTGTAGTCTCAGCTAGTCAGGAGGCTGAGGTGGTAGGATCAATGGAGCCTGGGAGGTGGAGGTTCAGTAAGCTGAGATTGTACCACTGCACTTCAGAGCCCAGGGGAGAGTGAGACCCCATCTCAAAACAAACAAAAAAGAATGTTTTCTAGTGGAGGATATTGTGAAGAATAAAAAAGGGAAGACATAAACATGCAATAAGTTCTCTTCTCTAATGAGTTTTGTAAGGAGATTCCTCCTGATTAGACACTTGCCAGTGGCATCATATGCCATGAGATTCAAGCTCCTGGGATGGCATTTGTGGCTCTCAGGGCAGCCCAGTCTCCGTACCCAGTTCTTAGGACCCTGGGACCTCTCCCCAGCAGCTGAGCTTGTATCTCACAGTCCCAGGTGCTCCAGGCCCACTGCCCACCCAGGGTCTTTTTAAGGCGGCTTCTTCCATCTGTGATGCCCTGTCCTTCCTCAGCTCTTCCCAGACCTCCTTATACAGCTTCTCTCTGAACTGTCCTAGTCAATCATTCATTCAGCACACTACTGCATTCACCACCTAGGAAGTGCGCTGTTTGGTAGACAAGTTACACAACTGCTTCTGAAAGCGTTTGAGTCAGCACATTCACTATTGGTCATACACAGCCCTGCACAATCTTTAGTGTTCTATGCCTAGACATCTAGTTTGTGTCTTACAATTTTGTACCTTCTCCCTAGTGCTTAAAAGAGTGTAAACTCCTGTGTAGATATGCAATACATTCCCATATATATGTGTTCCATAAAGATAAGTGACATTAAAAACTGTATCACCATGCCATGCATGAAACTCCATCTTCCTTTCAGCATCCTTCGTTTTTGTGACCATGATACTGTTTGTGGCGAACACGCAGTCCAACCAACTCTCCGAAGAGTTGTTCCAAATGCTTTACCCGGCAACCACCAGTAAAGGAACGACCCACAGTTACGGATACTCGTTCTGGCTCATACTGCTCGTCATTCTTCTAAATATAGTCACTGTAACCATCATCATTTTCTACCAGAAGGCCAGATACCAGCGGAAGCAGGAGCAGAGAAAGCCAATGGAATATGCTCCAAGGGACGGAATTTTATTCTGAATTCTCTTTCATCTCATTTTGGCGTTGCATCTATTGTACATCAGCCCTGAGTAGTAACTGGTTAGCTTCTCTGGACAATTCAGCATGGTAACGTGACTGTCATCTGTGACAGCATTTGTGTTTCATGACACTGTGTTCTTCATTGATGCTGTACTCCTGAAAATTTTTCCCACAAGGTTGGGGAAATGAATGGGAAATGTCGCTGGTCTGTGTGGTATTCAAAGCAGTAGTATCATGATGAGCGTAACGACCCTTCTGACCTGGTCTCACGATCTGAAATAATAAAAGGCTGTGTCATGTTTCTTTTCTTTGAGTATCTCAAAGCACTTCAGTGCCTATGATCTCATTCCCCTCAGGAGGGACTGGGTATTTTTATTCTACTCTATGCATGAAGACTTCTGGGAACAGAGGGTTTCAGAACTCACCTTTCCAGGACCAAGTGCTGGAGGCAAAGAGAGATTTTGGAGTAAGTGACTTGGTTCTCTGGACCCTCAATTGCTGGCATATTCAAACCCAATGGTGGGTAAAGGTGATTATTGTGATCCTCAAACACATTTTTGATATTCCAAGATGGGGTTTTGTTCAGAAAGAGAATAGAAATGAGAATATCAGAGAAAGAGAAAAATGATAGCCCTGTGGTCTATATGCTAAAGAGGCTAAACATTATATTTTTGGTTTAATAGGATTGTGGTGAATTCAGTTAAAATAGAAATGAAACATTGCAGCAAGTTCTAGCATCCACCGTGTCAACCAACAGCCTTAGTTTCTGTGGTGTAGACCTGGGTGTGGCAGGTCTGATGGGAGTGTGTCATCCATCAGCAGGCTCCTGCCCAGCCAGAGACTGAGGGAGAAATGGGTTAGAACACTGTGGCTTGCAGGCATTCATTCCTTGAGTCAGGGACAGGGCAAACATGGAACATGGGCATGGGGTAGGTTAGCCCTTTGAGAACAGATTGGGTGAAACTGGTTCCCGGTTTCATGAGAAGCCGGTGGGCAACCAGGAAAATGTTTTAAAGGCAACGGAATGGATCTGACCTTCTTTACAGTAGAATATTTTCCCAGAAAATCACTTTGAGAATCTTTTGAGCTTGACTATTTCACAAGTTAGCCAGGTTGAACACTGATAGGGTTCTGAAACGATCACCTTGTGTGTCTTCATGGGACCATGGCCAAAAGGAGCAGAATTCCCTGGGTGTGATTTGCAGAGCAGCATCTCTTTGGGCAGAAGAATATCTCATTTATGAAGCTATCAGGGATTAATGACCTTCTTACTCATGATTTTTTAACACTGTCTTAGAAAGAATATTTTTCATTTAAGAAATACATGTAGGATACCTGCGATGTGGCTAGCACAGTGCTCACCAGGGTATCCGCCCCCATGGAGCTACTGTTGGACAGTCAAGACAGGTATTCAGAAAGCAATTGCTAAACTCCATTTAAAAGAGGTACTTAGTCACAAATTGTGCTCATTCTTTGAAAGGTCAGTTCTCTGTCACGTCCTGCTCTAAAGCCCTACTTATTCAAAGTTACTCTTAATATTAACTTTGAATATATTTTTAAAAATCTGATCAACAGTGAACATTTTCTAAATTCTTTGGATCTAGAAACACATTCTTTGAAAGTTTGCATTTTATATCAGATTTTAATAATGTAAACAACTAATGAAGAGGAAACAGCTATAGATAACAAACCCGCAGAAACAATTGCTAAACAGGCACTCGCATCGTGTGTTTGTGTGAATGATTGTGTTTTGTGGGAAAAGCGCTGCATTTATTCACCTCGGCATTTGAGCAGAGCTCAGTTTCCTTAGGGGGAAAATTTTTCTCAATACTTATATCACAAATGACCTTTAAAACATGGGAAGCAGGTAAATGGAACTACGTTTCACAATTTGGGAGACAAAGAGAATGGTTTCCTTAATGTGTTTTAAGGCAGAAGATAATGAAACTACACATGCGAAGTCTGTAGAAATGGCTTTAATGCTATTCACAAGCACAGGTGGGTGTACATTTCACAAGCACAGGTGGGTGTGCGGAAGGGTGAACACAGGCCTCCATGCCTCAGCCTACAAGATGGGTGGATGGCATAGTAAGGCAACAATTCATTACACAATGAATAGTAATTTGCTGTTTTAAAACAACTAATAAATGTACATTGTTTTACATTTGGTGAATTGATTCACCTGAAGCACTATTTCGAAGGGGTCTGAACTAGTCATATTATGACCGTTGAAACACTGTATGACTCTAATGAACCCACGTGGTCTTGTTATGATGATCTGGGTTGCAAAGGTTTATCCATATTTGCAAAATAAGTAAGTTGTATAAAACATATGCTCTTCATACAGTCTATGATGAGAACTTTAGAGAAATCAGTACTTTGTTGTCAAACTGGGCTCAGCCAGTGAGTTAGTGTTTGCAAAGCACAGTGGGATACGGGAGGGAACCTCCAGGTAAGCTTTGCTATCATCATTAGAATTGTGTCTGATCATCTCAACAAACTCTGTGGGTTAGGCAGGACGGGAGCGTTGTGTCCTTGGATATGGTATTTCTCAGGGTCCGCCTAGGGATCCTGCAGCCAGCCTCACATGGCCAGGCACTAGCGATGCCCTTGTATGCTGCCTGTGGAGCCGCAGGTACATGCCAGCAGCTTCATGCCTTTTGAGGCTGCTCAGCCTCTTGGAGGGCCTGGGACCCTGCAGATTCTGCAAAGGGCAGCAGGTGCTAAGCCGAGTTGCAGAGTGGGCACTCCTTCCCCACCCCACACCTACTCAGCAACCCTCCTTCTCTTATGCTGGAACCGGTCATTCAGGGTAGACTCAAAGCAGGTTTCTAGCTGACTAATCTGTTGCCTTTCTACAGCCTAGACAACAGGCAAGATGTGTAGGGGGCAGGGATGGCTCAGAGTCAGGGGCCCTCTGACCCTGAAATTCCAGTGTGGAGAGAAGCTGGGGGCCCTTGGTCCCTGCGACCCTCTGGACTGTTTGGACCCAGCACTCAGAACTTTCAGGGGCCTCAGGCAGATGAGGTCATCGGCCGGTGGTGCAGAGGACTGATCTCCCCTAACAATTGACCAGCTCTCTAGCCCTGGTCCTCGTTCCCTGACCCTTTAGACACCTCCACCTCCCAGGACTAAGAACGTTCATAGGCTGCTCTGACATCCCACAGAGAGTGGTGAGAAACCAGCAAAGTCACTGCCTATCTCTGAGCTCATCTTTCCTCATGAAAAAAAATAAATACATAAATAAGAGAAACAAGAATCAGTGTAGGATGAAGCAGGGAAGTTCTGGAGTCACGCCGCCTGGGATCTGCTACTTACGACTCAGAGAAGTGACTTCATCTCAGTCAGCCTCATTCTAATCATCTGTGAAATGGGATCACAAGAGCTGGTTTAGCTTGCAGGGCTGTTGTGAGTGAGCCATAATAAGGAGCTCTGTGCCCTTGACGGCTCAGGGTGGCCTCCTCTGTCACAGACCCATAAGTCCCTAGAACACAGTAGAAACTGTGAGTGGGAATAATGTCACCACCCTTAGCCACTGCAGGCCACACTCATTCTGCTGTCCTGTAAACAAACAGTAATAAACAAAACACTTCAGCCCAGAGGCGTTAGTAGACCTGCCCAGGAACTCAACCTGACAAGTGGCAGAGCTGAATGGAAACAGGTCTCCAAGTCCTTTCTTTCTGTGTTGGATTCGTTGGACAGTTTCTGTGTATCAGGCCGAGGAGAGGTGCTTGGGTGGAGTCAGGAAGGGAAGGAAGGGTGGCCCCTGGTCCCGGAGCTCTGTCCCAGAGGGGAAGTGTGGCATTCCTGGTGTGCCCCAGAGGAGGTAAGGCCTCACCTCACCCCGCTTGTGAGTCTCATGGTGGGTCTTCTTTATTCAGAAGGGAAAGAGGCAGTGGGCCCAGGCAAAGGCATCCAATGTGTTTCACATGAATCCTCAGGTGAGCTTGGGTGCTGACCCCAGCAGGGGATGGTGGGGTCTCCTTTGCATGACCCTCCACACCTACCCAGAGGGGGACTTTGTGATCCTTCAAATAGAAGGCCAGGGCCCAAAGCACTCCTGGTGACCAGGGCGCTGGTTTACTACGGCTGCACTGGAGAAGGACCTGAGGCATAAGGGATGTCTGTGAAACCTGAATGCCCCATGTGGGGTAGCAGTGAGGACGCCGTGGATACACAGGTACTATTTTCCCCGCTGTTAGGGCCGCCAATTCTGTGTTTGTTATGCGCTTGCTGACATATGTCCTCACACTGCCCAAAGACCCTGAAAAATAATGACAGCACTGATTAGAATTTCAGACAATGTCCTAGTTTAAAAGCAAAAAAGAATTTGTTTTAGTGACAGGTTTCAGACCATGAAAGTTTCATTTTCAAAATGTTTAAATGTTTAGTAAAAAGGGAAGATTGAGGAAGAAATGAATTATATTTTATGACTATTCATTTTACAAAAATCACTGTGAAAAAGAACACCCCTCCTGCTTCTCACGCCCCTCCTGCCAAGCGGCAAGGAGGTGTTTCATTTCGTCCTGGCCCTTAGTTTCATCCTGGCCCTCGGAATGCCCTGCTCCTCTGGCTCTCTTGAGGCACGCCACTTCGGCACCATGTTCAGCTCCCGTAAGTCACTGTTCCCACAGGGGGAAGCTTCTCCTTTTCTTACTCAGTGTAGGGATATGGTGGAGCCTTCCAGGGTCCCCCAGAAGAGAGCGGGGGTCCCAGTAGGGGTCCCAGTCTTCAAGGCTGTTGCAATAGCAGAGACCACAGCCACAGGTGCCAGGCCTCAGGGTGTGCCTGCCCCAAACCCTGCAAACAGGAGATTGTGTTGAATCCTCACAGCAATATCCTGTGTTGTTTTATAGTTAACCCCATCTGATAGATGAGCCACTAAGGCTTAGGTTGGCAAAGTGGCGTCCCCACCATGCCACAACCAAGGAGAGGCTGAGCAGATATTCTGATGCAGATTTACCCGCCAACGTCTCCTCGAGGCACACCTGGGACCTATAGCATGGCAGCGGCCCTGCGTGTGTATAAAAGGGTTGCACAAAGTCCAAAGTGCACTTCCCAGTAGTAGACCTTGGCCTCCCTCTGCTGGCCCCAGGCCCGTCTCATTTTGAGTAACCCAGTGTGCAGGACTCTTGTGGTATATACACTGGGAAACATTGACCTTTTGACTACAAATGTAACCATTTTCACTGGACACTACATGCTGACCAGTATCTTTCCTGTCTTCCTAAATAGGTTCTGGTCTTAAGATCAATGAACCTTTTTCTTCCCCCAAGCTAGCAGATGGGAGGCATTGTTAGTTAGCCTGCCTCTCCCACTTGGAAAGACGAAATAGTGTATAGAGAGTCACACTGTGAACTTTTCTCCAAGAGCAACACAGGAACTTAACAGAAAGGGAAAGAAACCATAGTCCCTTTGAAAGAAGTGGCGGGCAGCAGCCTATACCGCGAAGCAGATGGAAGACTTTGAGTCTCTAGAGCGTGAGGGGAGACACAGCTGCCAAGACGCTCACTCCCACAGGGGAGCTGCAACCCTCAGAAGCCCATGACCCTGCCCAGCACTGGAGCCGAGTTAGTGAGTGGTGGGGAGAACAGAGGGAGGAGCAGCATCGGGACAGGCTCTGTGGGCACTCCCAGGCTCCAGCGGTGATGGAGCGAAGCCATTCCTGATCCCATCCCACAGGGGCCCTTGTGGAAGTCTGCCAGCCGACTCAGGCGGTGGTCACAGGGTGAGAGAAGCTCCCAACTGAGTTTTGCCACATAATCTCGAGAGGGGACGAACCCTATTGGCTTGAACCCAGGGGCAACTGGGAAGTGTGCTATGGCCACGAGTGCAGGAGCTGGCACCCCTGCTTCCCGGGTGGACCTGGAGGGCCGAAGCATGAAAGCCAGGTTTCTGTCTCTATCAGGAAGACTCATGGCCTGGGCGGTTTTGAGTTCTGAGAGCAGGCTGCCTGGAACCCAGCTCGCTGCTGTTGGCTGAACCCTGCGGGTGTGAGGCCTTCCTTGCCAAGTGCGTGGGAGCTGAGTGGGACTGACTGCCGCCTGTTACTCCTCACTCCCCATGCGGATTCTTTTGTGCAGCAGCGGCAGCTACACTCATCTCTGGAACATTATCCCAGCAGCCAGAGAACTGCCCTCCAATCCCCCGCTGAGGACACTGCTTGCCCCTGCATGTAGGGAGCCAGGGCGTGGACTTACCTGATCTAGCCTGACCCGCTTTGCCCCTTCACTTGCCCTGGTAAACACAAGGGACAGGGACGTTTGGGAACTCCAGGACCCCGCCCATTGCCTGAGACTCCAGAGTACCTCCCCTGGGTAACATGAGGCAAGCACCAACCCCATCACTACCACCTCAGCTGGTGATCTTTTGCGAGTGCCACCTCCTGGCTGGTGGCCAGCTGCCACCATCCATTGCAGCATCTGCAGGCACAATAACACATTACTCAGGAAGAAGAAAACCTCTGTGCAACCTCGCCTACTGACATTGCCTGCATCACCCTGGCTAACCAGATGTTGAGTCTTTCCATATGGAAAGTACGTTTCCATATACCTAGTACGTTACTACTATTGTTGGCTTTGAGAAAGCCAACATGCTAAGGCTATTTACAACCAAGAAAATCTCAGTCTATGTCTCTCCCCTGCCACTGCTGGGAGACTGGACAAGTTACATCATTGGATCCCTTGTAGATATCCCTAGCACCAGCCTGGAATGTGGCAGCCCGACTGGGTGGCTAGACCCAGAGGAGCAGCAGCATTCACAGTAGTCTGGCCTTCAGGGGCTGCTACTCCTAGGGGAAGTGAGAATGCACACATTAAGGGAGGACCCTATGAGACAAAGGAATTCAGAAGGCAGGCCTTGAGTGCTAGAACTTTCCACGGGTGGGAAGTTTCTTTCAGCAGAGGCACAGGTGCAGTGCTCGGTTCGGTGGGGAAAGTCTGTTGCTCTACCCAAGTAGTCAGGCAGCCCTGATACTTGTGAATGGTCTTGGAGAAGGGGACTTCTTCCATCCCTTGACCACCACTGCAGAGGTAGCGGGGGCTTCTCCCATAGGAGCTTGGTGTGGGTGCATTAGTAGGCACCCTTTCTGGAACACTCTAGGGTGACTGCATCCCCACAGCATTCCCTTCCAGGTTCAGGCTTGCATGAGAGAGAGAGAGAGAGAGAGAGAGAGAGAGAGAGAGAGAGAGAGATTCACAACCCCTTTCTACATGAAACATCAGTATTCCTGATGAATAAGAGCTGCCTGTCTGATCTAACAGCTGGAATACCAGGTCAGGAGTGGGCTGGGAGGTGGATTACTTTCCTTCTGGCCTGGAAGGAGAACTGTGGTGGATCCCTCACCTCCCCCTGAAAAGAACTCAGTGCATTTTACTGACAGCTTCCTCAGTCACCTCTGTCAAAGCTGGGACCTCCACCCACCACTGGGATATCGCTTTTACCCACCTGCTTTAGCTGCAGCCATTTTCTTTTTAACCCATTGGCACCTCCTACTGGCCCGAAGCCTGAACTGTTCAACCTAGTGAATAAAATACTGGGGAATTTTTCTTTTTAAGTGCACATCACTGGGAAATGAGATATTCATGAGACCACGGCCATTCCAGCCCCACATGAGACAGTGAATCTGCTTACACACACAACACATTTTTAGTACATCCAGCATCTGAGAAATCCATCACACAAAGATTCTCCATAACCAAGGAACTCAGAGTCTTTGCCACTGAAAGTATGCAGAGCTGAAGCTAGGTGACAATGAACTATAAACATTAAAGTCACATCCTCACGGGGAAATGTTTTAAAACCAGTCAAATAAAAATTAATTTAAAAATCATAAGAAGAAAGAGTCTACCCAAATGAGAGTAAATCAGAAAGATAATTCTGGTGATATGAAAAAACAGGTTCTAAAAACACCCACAAAAGATTACACTAACTCTCCAGCAGTGAGTCTAAGTCAAGATGAAATCTTTGAGATACCAGATAAAGAATTCAAAAGGTAAATTATTAAGTTACTAAAGGAGAGACAAGAGAAAGGTGAAAACCAACATAAAGAAATATTAAAAACAATTCAGGACATGAGTGAAAAACTTTCTAAGGAGAGGCATATTTTAAAGAAAAAACAATCAGAACTTCTGGAAATGAAAGACATATCTGGGGAACTACAAATACTGTGGAAAGTTTTAGCAATAGACTAGACCAAGTAGAAGAAAGAATTTCAGAGCTCAAAGACAAGGCTTTCAAATTAACCTAATCAGACAAAAATAAAGGAAAAAAAGAATTAAAAAAAATAAACGAAGTTTCCAAGAAATATGGGAAAACAGCTAAACCTAAGAATTATAGGCATCCCTGAGGTAGAAGAAAAAGCAACAAGTAGGGAAAACCTATTTGAGTAAGTAATTGAGGAAAACTTCCCTAGCCTTTCTAGAGATTTAGACATGCAAATACATGTCTAAGAAGCTCAAAGAACTCCTGGGAGACTCATTGCAAAAAGGACATCACCAAGGCATATAATCATCAGGCTATCTAAAGTCAATGTAGAGGAAAAAATTCTAAGAGCAGTCAGACAAAAGCACCAGGTAACCTACAAAGGAAAACCTATCAGACTAACAGCAGACTTCTCAGCAGAAACATTACATGACAGAATGCAATGGAGTCCCATCTTTAGTCTCCTCCAAACAGAATAATTGTCAGTCAAGAATTTTGTATCCAGCAAAGCTAAGTTTCATAAATAAAGGAGAAATAAAATCTTTCTCAGACAAGCAAATTCTGAGGGAATTTGTTAATATTAAACCAGTCCTGAAAGAAATGTGAAAAGGAGTTCTAAATCTTGAAACTAAAGGTTGATACACACAGAACAGAAACTCCTGAGAGCATAGAATTTACAGGGTTTATAAAACAATAACACAACGGAGAAAAAAAAGTTACTAGGTAACAATCAATACAATGACTGAAACAGTAACCTACATCACAATGTTAATGTTGAATATAAATGACCTAGATTCTCCACTTAAAAGATACAGATTGGCAGAATGGATAAAAAATTACAAACCAAATATCTGCTGTCTTCAAGAGACACAACTAACATGTGAGGGTTCATATAGACTCAAGGTAAAGGGGTGGGAAAGGATATTTTGTGCAATTGGAAAACAAAATGAGCAGGAATAGCTATTCTTATATCAGATAAAACAGGCTTTAAAGCAACAACAGTAAAAACAGACAAGGAATGACATTATATAATGATAAAAGGACCAATTCAATCAGAAGACATAACAATCCTAAATATATATGCATTTTTACATATAATAAAATCTGAGCTCTCAGATTCATAAAAATATTACCATTAGACCTAAGAAAAGAGATAGACAGTAACATAATAATAGTGGGGGACTTCAACACTCCACAGATAGCACTAGACAAATCATCCACACTCCTCCAAGTATGGGGTGGTGATGTCCCCAGTGACAAGTTGTGCAGTTTGATGCCAATGCCTTGATACTGTGGTAAGGTCAACCCATCTCACCCACCATTGCTTTTCCACCATCTGTTCAAGTATCCCCAAAGAAAAAAGGAAATAACATCTAAGTATTGTGATGAAAATAGTTTTGATCTTGCAAACCTCACAGTGTAGTCTCAGGAGCCTCCAGGAGTCTGGGACCACTTTTTAAGACCCGATGCTATAGATGCCTCCCACCGAAACTCTGCCATTCTGGAATAAATCAGACAAATCTAGTTTATTAAATAAATGTCACACACCTGGTTTTGGTCTTCCCATCAGTTAGGTTTTGATATAGAATTTTCAGGAATCCAAAAAGTCCTGAATCTTGAAGACAATCTTCTATTTCTTTAGTGATTATTTACTTTCCTGTGGGTAGCTTCTTAGACTTGGGAAAAGGTCCTTTCTTCAAAAGGTGATCAACGGAAAACAGCAAAAAATTCAGATTAACCTGTTAACTTGGAGTTTGTATCACTATTAAAAAGCATTTGAATAGTTATTCACTGATTTAGAGAAAATAATCTCATCATCTCGTGGGTCCTCAACACTAAAGCTTATAGTGTCAACACTTCCAAATGGCTTGCATCTAATCTTTGGAAGACTCACTCTGCCATCAGCAATTGACCTTTGTGCACAGCCAGTCTCTGTGTTAACCAGTCCAAGGCCCTGCTCCACCTGGTCTGTAAATATACTCCCTGAAGCTGGACTTCTTAGAGTGAGTGAGGTTGCTGAATATACATCTGTTGGCCATAACTGTTCTGGACTCTTCTTTTCAACAGAGTCTCACTCTGTCACCCAGGCTGGAATGCAGTGGTGCAATCATGGCTCACTGCAGCTTCAACCTCCTGGCCTCAAGTTATCCTTCTTCATTGCCCTTTCAAAGTGCTAAGATTACAGGCATAAGCCACAATGCCCAGCCCTGGACTCTTTCTTTGAATTGGAATTAATTTTTCTTGTCTTTTTTTTGTGTGTGTGAGATGGAGTCTCGCTCTGTTGCCCAGGGTGGAGTGCAGTGGCATGATTTTGGCTCACTGCAATCTCTGCCTCCTGGGTTCAAGTGATTCTCCTGCCTCAGCCCCCTGAGTGGCTGGGATTACAGGTGCACAACATCATGCCTGGCTAAGTTTTTTTTGTATTTTTTAGTAGAGGTGGTGTTTCTCCATGTTGGCTAGGCTGGTCTTGAACTCCTGACCTCAGGTGATCGCCCTCCTTAGCCTCCCGAAGTGCTGGGATTACAGGCATGAGCCACCATGCCTGGCAAACTTTTCGTTTTGTGAGGGCTCCGTTATGTCTTTATAAAAATTCAAAGTTATACAATAGTTTGTAATCACATGTTTTTTTTTTTAAAATCTTCAAGAGCTTTCCCTGCATCATCTGGAAGTGTGTTCAGTAGTGTTGGAAGCAAGCTGTGTGGCAAATGTAAATCCTCCTGCTTTTAGGTTTTAAATGCACAAGCCAGGTTCTGTTGTAGCAGAAGCTCCCAGTGGGAGGGCCACCCAAAAACCCTGTAGCATGAAATACTTCATTTTATCTTGAAGGAAATCTGCTTGTTGCATGCTCTCCAAAGGATCTGGCTCCTGCCTGTAGGTTTAGTTTTAGACTGATGTATTCCATAATTTTCTTTGTTTCTATCTTTAAATGCTGGAGAACAGGCTAGGAAAGAGGGAGGAATAATTGTATTGACTCCTCAAACTACAGAAGACTTAAAAAAAAACTAGGTTGTGTTTAAATTGCATCTTCATCTTGATCCAAGGTGACCATTTATCTTTGTCACCAGCAACACTCAGGTCTACCCTCTGCCAGGACAGTGGCTTCCAGATGACTAGTGTGCCCATTGGACTATTGGACTCTACACACAATGGTCTCAGATCTCTGTATTTGTTTAGTTTCTGGATTTTTCCTTTCTAGATAAATGCTCTCTTTTCTTGCTGCTTGTTTTTTCTTTCAGTTTGCTTCTCTGCTGTTTAGACACTCATTTGTAGAAGGCCATGACCCACTTCTAATTTGCTGATTCTAGTTTTACGTGAACGTAACAGCACCTAGCTGAGCTTCCTGGCCCCATCCCTTCTTTCAACAATGCATGGGCATCCTTCTTGGGTGAGCTGCTATGCTGACTGCTGGAAATGTGGAAATACATGAAGACAGTAGCGGAATAAGGACAGTGTACCACAAGCGCCCAGTGGAGGGAGGAATTATCTGGATGAGTCAGTAGTAAAGTCGTCCTAGAGGAAGAGATCCTTTTACTGAGGCTTGAAGGACGACTAGGCGATTGTCCTGGAAGTGGGAGGCGGAGGATATTCTGGCCCCTGTCCTGGGGAATTCTCTTTGAGAACTGCTGTTTGAACCAGTTTCCAGGCCACACAGGAAAACAGCCCCCTTCCTTGAGAGCCTTGTCCCCAAGTAACATTCCACAACTCAGTCACAGTCTTGGTTCTGAATCGGCTGATTCCAAAGGCTAAATAAATCTACCTGCAAGAAGGTTTTCTTCCATTCAGGCTGCTACCTTGGGCTTCTGAGGCAATTCCTAAACCTGTTTTGAGAATGGTCACATGATTGAAATAGGTAAACAGTCTTCTATAGTAAGTAGGAACTGTTTCTAACCTGCAGTTAGGTTTCTAAATTAGTTTTTGTTATGCTGTAACATAGAACTCAATTGGAACAATATTATCAAAGGAAGGTTAAGATCCCAAGATGGTCTCCATTTTGCAACTAAGAATCTATATATTAATAAAGCCTTTGAAACTAATTTCCATGTTTTACTCTGTTTCTATGGAGAATGACAGTTATGGAAGTTGGAGATGTGGAGAACGTGGTTACATCCATGCATGGGATGTGACGAAGCAACTGAAAATCACGCTTGAGGAGATGATATGTACAATATGATGTATGAAAAAGGCAGGAGTGAGATTGTTAACACAGGTGCCTCTGGGTGGTGAGGCGTACTGGGTTTAATTTTTCCTAACACTGTCCTGTTAAAACAAAAGTCCTCCATATTCACACAATGCTTCTAATACCAAATGTGTAGTTATCGACACCAAATTCCCCAATTCTGTGGGGACACCAGCTGGGTGTCCTACAATTTAATCCACTTCTGACACTATCTACCTGGAGTCTGGGCAGACTCCCCAAATTAAAGAGCTTACCCTCCCAAGACTGCCCCACTTCAGACACCAATCACAAGTAGTGGGTCCCCAGGTTACCCACACTTCTCTCCATCTTGGCTGCAAATCAGAGGTTCCCCCATTCCCCCCCTCTAGTTTGATAATTTGCTGTAATGACTCACAGATTAAGGGAAACACATTACTCCCTATTACCAGTTTATTACCAAGATACAACTTAGGAACAAATGGCAGAGACACATAGGACAAGGTACTAGGGGGTAGGGTAAAGAGAAGCTTCCATGCTGTCTCCAGGCACAGCACCCTCCCAGCTCCTCGGTGAGCTCACCAACCTGAAAGCTTTTTGAACTCCATCATGTGATGGTTTTCTGGGGGCCTCATTGATGAAGGCATGATCACTAAATCGTTGGCCATTGATGATTAAGTCAATCTCCAGCCCTTTTCCCCTCTCTGGAGGCTGGGGGTGAGGTTGAAAGTCCTAATTCACTCATCAGGCCTTGGTCTTTCTGGTGACCCACCCCTATCCCGAAGCGACCCTATGGGCTCCCAGCCAGCAGTCATCTCATTAGTAGAGAAAAGACACTTATCACTCTGGAGATTCCAAGGGTCTTAGAAGTTCTTGTGTTAGGAATGAAGGACGGAGACCAAATATTATAACAAAAGATGCACCTATCACCCCTATCACACAGGAAAGTATAAATAACCAACAGAAATTTATTTCTTGCAGTTCAGGAGCTTGTGTCAGGAACCAGGGACAGAGACCAACTATGCATTTCTTATGATGTCATAATTAGCATGCATTACTTTTATATTTAGCAACAATATTCAACGTTTTCCTTTTTAAAAAGGAAGAGAACAGAAAATGGGGAAAATTAATTCACTTTTCATAAGGTCTGGAGGTTTTAGAGCATTAGCCAGAATCATAGGAAAGGGGTAAACTTGGAATTGCAAAGCTTGCTGGGGGTTTGATTTCAACTGCAAAACTGAGAGCATGTGACTAAAATGCTGGTCCAGTTGCTCATCACTTGTAGAATCCAGTTAACAAGAGTGAGGTCTGGTATAAAGAAAGTAGCTTTTTCACTCTAAAGCTGGCTTAAGGGAATAAGTATAAGCTTCCTGCCTAAGGGTACCATTTAGCTTTTGGAGAAGAAAGTGAACACTTGTAAGGGAGGCCTAACATGAACGGCATGTGGTAGGCGGGCTATCGGGGAGTCCAAGGAGGCAGGAGTGGGGGAAGTGAGCAGTTTTGGGGCCCATGTGTTAGCTTGGTAGATGCAGTCAAGCTAGTGATGGCTGGTGTCTTCGTGGGCATGCATACTTTGAGTTGTAAATCTACTGTTATCTCTTGAGGCAACTTCTTGGTGGGTGAGTTCCCTTCTGAAGCTCCCAAGCACATAGTTAGATGAACTTGCCCTGTAGGGAGTGTCTAATAAAAGGAGGTAAAAAAGGCTATATATGCATTTCTAAAGGGCTAAGTAGGAAGTAGGAAGTGTGGAAAAGGAGAAAAGAGAAAAAGAAAGAGGAAAGAATAATTAAACTATCTCTTAGAAAAAATGGGGGTACTTGGTTACAAGAACAATAACACAAACCACCTCTTACCATAGAGGTTATCACCAGGATAAAATGAGACCATTGAAATCACTAATTTTGGGGCAAATGTTGGCTGAAACTGTGATCCATACAGCATGGCCTCCCCCTTGTTAATTCACCACAATTTCTAGTGTCAAGTGGTGTCTTCCAAGATGGTCCCGGAAGTTTTCTGCATTTTGGGGGTTAAGGCTCTTTTCACCTAAGGAGAGCATAAGGAACTTGAACAGAAAGAAGACACCAAGGAAACTGTTAGAAACAAGAGCTCGGAGTCACAAGGAAAATGAGCACTCAAACAAAGGATTTCTCAAGAAGGCAAATTTACTTCTGCAGAAGTATGCCGCTCACAATTCTGGCCACTGCAAGAGCACACCAAACAAAGGAGGGAAGGGGTTTTTATCCCTAATGCGGTTAGTTCCTGGTTCTGTGTCTGGTCCCCATTGGCTGGAGTTGGATCACACAATCTAAGCTGACCCCAGTTGGCTAAGACTTAAACTTTTCCAAACAGGGTAAACATGTGATTCGTAAGGCAGGGAGGGGGCAGGAGTGGTCCCTCTGCTGCAGCACAAGGCATGTTCAGACATGTCTGGGCAAGTCAGGGCACAACAAGAGCAGGAGGGCTGCTTAAAGGCTAGAAACAAGAAAGTACAAGGAGATGGGGCCTCCGAACCAAGGACAAGGACATTACACAATTAAACCCTTTGAAGAGGAATTCACCATCTCTGGCAAAACTATGTGGACTACGCAGGAAAGTTTTTAGGGACTCTGAGAATTAGTCAGTGGTTCTTGAGTGGGGTGGGAGGAAGAGGCAGCGGGACTTCCAAATATCTGGCCATGCATCCTTGAGCTTTGACTCTTCCTCTTTGGGCCTCCATTTTCTTCCTCACATGACAGAATGTTATGATCCCTGAGCTCACTTCAGATCTAAACATTGGATCTTTCACAAGGATCTGCAAAGGGCAACTCTAGTGAATTTTCTTGTTCTTAACTATCACTTTGCACTGCAGCCAGTCTTTGGGAGTAAAAAGCATGAGCTTACTGTGGTGGGGCATGAGGAAAATAAACGGACCACACTTGGAAACATTTATCCTTTAGATGAGGACAGATTCTAGTGGTGAATGAAGAGGAGAAGCCCCAGTAGGCAGACAGTCAACAGCATATGCCCTCGGTCTGCAGGCCAGCCCAGACCCACCTGGTCCCTCAGAAATCACCCACTGCTGTTTATCATTTTTTGACAATTTAATGCAGGTTCAGGAGGGATGATCTCTGCCCAAGTCAGGAGGAAGATTGATAAAGCTTTTCAAAGGCCACTTGTTTGAGCCATTGGCACTAAGAGCTTGCATAGCACAGGCCTTGCCCCTACCTGAGACCCAATCTCTGCAGAAAGGAAATCTAACAGCCACCTTCAAAGGAGACTCAATAAAATGGAAAAACACAGCCATGAATTTTTAAGGGACCCTAATGCCAAAAGGGTGATGACAGAGGGAGGAATTTTCTGCATGGAAGAGCTTGTTAGCCCCATGGATCTGAATGAGAGCATTCACTGTGGCTTCTGCCTCCATTTCAGGAATATACAGACCAGAGACTCAGGAAAAGCCAATTGATAAGCGGGCTTCTTATCGCCTCAGACACCTGCTCCCAGGAAGAATCCCGCTTTCTCACCCAAGACCTTCTGCTGGGTGGAATGTTGCCAACTGTAGGTACAGAGTGCTCGTAATTTGCCTGATTCCAGCCACACAATAATGTTTTGTTGCCCTTCAACCAAAGTAAATAAAAAGCCAGTGTTTGGGGGCAAGATTTAGCATTGCCATCAGTGGCAACAGCCTGGTGTCCAGGCTGCCCCAGAGGAGGTGGCTGTGATGAGCAGCTGCCACGGGCCCATCCTATGTGGGTGACTTGGGAGAAGGCAGAAAAGCTGGAGAACTCTCTCCCCTTGGAGCTGATGAGTGTACAGTCTACTGCAAAAGTAAAATATCACCTCCTACCTGACTGGAAAAGTGCTGGGTAAAGCTCCTCACTCTGCCTTCTGGAAGTCTGCACTCCCAGGCCTTAGGTGTCTTCCCCATGAGGCTAGCTCAGAAGGGAAATGGAGCAGGCATCTTGTGGGCCTCTGGTGTACCTGCCAGCTCTTTTGTACCTTCTCCTTCAGGCATCTTAGGCGAGGACATGGCAGATGTTATATCAAGCTTCGCCTGCTGAGGTTGAGTAGTGGGTCCAAGGCCGTTCTTTATATTCTTTGAAATAAAGATTGTGAAGAGGAACAAGAAACATTTTAAAAAGTTCATTGTCAGGCACTGATATTGCTCTACAGAAAGTAGCAGAGTGGTGTTTAACCACCTGGGACTTGGGGTCACACATCCCCAAGTACAACCCTGGTTCTGCCCCTAGTAGCAACAGCTTCTCTTCTTTGACCCCAGGGCATCCCAGGATGTCCCAGAGGATGCAGAGGGATGCTCTTGGCTTTCCCTAAGGCTGGTTCAATTTCCTCATCTGTAAAATGGAGTGGGAACAGAAGTGTGTTTTTGGGATGTGGTTAGGAGGTTACACAAGGTCCACGGGAAGGACTGGCTCATGGTACACGTGACATGGAAGACATGCGGGCTGCTATAACAAAGCACCATAGACAGAAATTTTAAAAAACCGAAATTTATTTCTCACACTTCTGGAGGCTTGGAAGTTCAATGTCAATGTGCAGGTGGATTTGATGTCTGGTAAGGGCTAGATTCCTGGCTCGTGCATGGTGTCTTCTCCCTGTCCTTGCATGGTGGGGTGGGGTCGAGGGGAGGGGTGGGGGAGCACTCTTTTAGAAGGGCACTGATCCCATTCATGAGGGCTCTGACTTTATTACCTAATCACCTCCCAAAATCTCCACCTCCTCATACCATCACCTTGAGGGTCAGGATTTCACATGAATTTAGGGGACCATGAGCATTCAGTCTGTTGCAGAAGGCACCGTAGATGATCATGAATGACCAGAGCAACCCCTTAGCAGACTCACTTCCAGATGAATCTTTGTGGAGAAGGGAAGGGCAAAGAACCAGGTGCAGAGTCGGGCTGGACCAGGCTCTGAGGGACAGGGGTGGCAAGACAGTGCTGGGAACTCAGGAGGTCTGGTCAGGAGGACAGGACTTGCTGAAGACCATCTTGCTGGCCCCCTCCTGGTGCTGACCTTTTCAAAGGGTCCTCTTTCCTCACTTGCCTGTGGCACTGCACAGGTTGTGGGGACCCATGGGCGGCAATGGAGTGCACTCGGAGGGTATTTTAAAATCCTTGCTAATCGTAATTATGCAGGAGAGGGCTCTAGGGGACTTCTGGGGCATTGCTACAAGGACGGCGAGTGAATGACACTCTGTCTTGGGAGGGTGGATGCTCAGGGGACCATCAGAGCTGGGGGCCCTGAGTTGAGAATTGCCCTGGCTGTCCCGGCAGGGAGTAAGGGGCAGGCCCCGGGGCATGGACAAGGCTGCTCAGACCTAACTCTGCTGTCCCAACTGCATCATGATCATTTGTTGAGGCCTCACTCTGTGACAGACACTTGGGTAAGCCTCCCTTCATTAAGCCTCCTTACTATTTATTAAGCAAAATAATAAGCAAAACATTTTTCAGCAAGGTGTAAGCATACAGAAAATAATATGCCAAACGCCCATATTTCCATCACTCAGAATTTAAAATATTAAAAGTCTGTGCTCATTGACATTAGTTACCAGGGAGCTGCAAATCAGAACCACAGTGATACTGCGTCACACTCATGAGTCTGGCTGGAATCAAGGCATCAGATAATAGCAAGTGTGGTTGAGGATGTGGAGAAATCAGAACCTTATTCATTGCTGGTGGGAATGTAGAATGGTACGACCTCTTTGGAAAAGAGTCTGGCAGCCCCTCAAATCATTAAACAATTACTCTGTCACCCCACAATTCCACCCCCAGGTGTATACCCAAGAGAACTGAAAACATTTCAACACAAAAGCTTATACACAAATGTTTACAGCATTATTCATAATAATCAAAAGACAGAAACAACCTAAATGTTCGTCAACTGACAAATGGATAAACAAAATGTGATCTATCTATACAATGGAATATTATTCAGCAATGAACAAGGAGTGTAGTGCTGATACATGCCGCAACAGGGATGAAACTTGAGAACATCCTGCTGGGTGAAAGAAGCCAGACACTAAAGGCCACAAAATGCATGGTTCCATTCATATGCACACATTCCCATGATTCCATCCATATGAAAGTGTGGAACAGGGAAATCAGGAAAAATAGAAGGTAGATTTGTGGTCTCTTGGGGGAGAAGGAAAGATGGGGGAGAGATGGCTAAAGTTACAGTTTCTTTTTGAGATGATGAAAGTGTTCTGAAGTTGTAATAACAGCTTCACATATCTATGAATATGTTCAGTTGATGCAAAAGTAATTTCATTTTTTGGCATTATTATTATTTGAGACAGAGTCTTGCTCTGTCACCTAGGCTGGAGTGCAATGGTGCAATCTCGGCTCACTGCAACCGCCACCTCCTGGGTTCAAGCAATTCTCCTGTCTCAGCCTCCCAAGTAGTTGGGATTACAGGCGTCCACCATCACATCCAGCTAATTTTTTGTATTTTTGGTAGAGATGAGATTTCACCATGTTGGCCAGGCTGGTTTCAAACTCCTGACCTCAAGTGATCTGCCCTCCTCAGCCTCC